>NC_000002.12:234762345-235065375 GCF_000001405.40 Homo sapiens | reverse complement strand
TGCAAAGAATCCACGCTGTCCAGCACTCCCATAAACAGGCACAGAATTGCGTTTGTACCTGTCAGTGTTACAGGTTGTTATGCTGATCTGTCGGTGTGAATTTTGCTGTAAATTCCTCATTCTGTGTATGTTGGTTCTAACCAGGCTCGGGATAAAAAATGTAAGTGACTCAGTTCTCTGGATCTTTTCTCTCCTAGACAAAAAGGATGGCTCTGAGCCTCCTGGAGTTGCCAGGCAACCTCCCTATCCCCCCTCTGCCTGCCTTGGGCTGGCTCAGGTGTCAGGGGACTGTTCAGAGAGAACTTTCAACCCCCAGAAAGCTCACCTGAGGCTACAGATGTCCACCAAGCGTACCCACACTTGCTATTCTCTCCTACGTGGGATCGTCTACACCCTGGGTGTGAACTGATTTTGCACTTCGAGTGCAGAAAAATATGTGGGTGTGTGAAAAATAAAGCAAGCACTTGTTATTCCAAAGTGTGAGCTTCAGCTGAGTTAAACATACGTAACATTATAGCGGGAAGACCAACAAACTAAAAACGAGTAGAGATGAAACTTTCTAGAACACGGTCTGGATTCACCCACAAAACATGTATTTGTTAGATTAAGAAAGAAGGAGTCGGCTGGGGGTGGTGGCTCACGCCTGTAATCCCAGCACTTTGGGAGGTCGAGGCGGGGAGATCACAAGGTCAGGAGTTCGAGACCAGCCTGGCCAACCTAGTAAAACCCCGTCTCTACTAAAAGTACAAAAAATTAGCCAGGCGTGGTGGTGGGCACCTGTAATCCCAGCTACTCCGGAGGCTGAGGCAGAAGAATCGCTTGGACCCAGGAGGCAGAAGTTGCAGTGAGCCGAGATTGTGCCACTGCACTCCAGCCCAGGCGACAGTGCGAGAATCCATCTCAATAAAAAAAAGAAAGGAGCACCACAAGGTACTCACAAAGCTATTCAGGCACTGGGACCTGGCCTCCATGCCCCTGAGGAAATTTCTCTGAAGATTTCATTCATCCAAGAATGTATTGAGTGTGAGGTTGAATTTATTGAGTGTGAGTCCAGCGCTGTGACATCCTCCTTGTCCAGTTCACAGTCTGTGGGGTACACCAGGCAAAGACTCAGCTGTGATACAGAGAGATTCAAGTTCTATTTGTGGTGAGGTCAGAGAGCTATGGGAAAACAAAGGAAGGACCTTTCGCAGAGGGAGCATCTGAGAAGACTCACCTAGGAGCGTGATTTGCAGAGCTGAATCCTGAAGGAGTAAACAGAGCAGGAAGTCAAGGTGTTCATCTGAAGGCAACAAAATTGCCAAGTGTTGATTCTTCACCAAAGGGGCTTATTAAAGGGGACCTGGGCGATTCACAGTAGGGCTGGGAGAGCTGAGCCCCACACTCAGTGCTAAGCTTCCAGGAACCCTGTCCAGAACTGGCCTGGTGACAAAAGTGTGGCTGCAGTGGGCGTGCCTGGCACTAGAGCAAACTGCCATGGCTGTGTGTCCCCCACAGACCCTCGGCCGGGTCAGGAGCTCACCCCCGTGACCACTGCTGCCCTGACGCTCCCGCCGGCTCTCTTCCCTCCTTCTGCATGAATCGGAGCCTCAGAGTCCAAGCTCCACGTGGTGGACTCTGGTCATACGCTTATATTTAGCTGCTAGGGAAGCTGTGAGTTTATGTTTTAAGGGTCCCAAATATAGCGAGAGAGTTTCCAAGGTGCTGAGCACACAGACGATATGACAAAGGCCACCCTCCCAGTGAGGGCAGAAATAGCCACAAGGGCAGACAGCCATGGAAATGCTGCAGGCAGGCGTCCCGTTTCTCCCTCCCTGTGTTCAACAACACAAGTCCGGAACAATGTGTGATGTATTATCGGCCAGCCTTTCACCTTACCAAGCGAGGCATTAAAACACCAAAACAACTCCTGCCACTACAATCCCCTGTCACCTTCAGTCACCAGGATATAGGACATTTTAACACGAGAAAGGAGTGAAGGGCTTAATCTCAGGATCAGAGACAGTTATTTGATGTGCATCAATGTGGCCTCATGAAAATCCTCTGTGCGCTGTCTTTTCTTCTCTCATTTTTCAGGTACCAGTGAAAGCTTCATCGGGACCCACAATGACCTCCAAGCTGGCATTTGGGAGCCTCCATTCATCGGCTGAAACCAGGGGACTGCTGATGGCAGAGGCTAAGCAGGAGAGGGGTATGAATCCTTTTTTTTTTTTTTTTTTTGAGACAGAGTCTTGTTCTGTTGCCTAGGCTGGAGTGCAGTGGCACAGTCTCGACTCCCTGCAGCCTCTGCCTCCTGGGTTCAAGCGATCCTCCCACTTCAGCCTCCCTAGTAGCTGGGATTACAGGAGTGTGCTATCACACCCATCTAACTTTTTGTGCTTTTAGTAGAGATGAGGTTTCACCATGTTGGCTAGGTTGGTCTTGAATTCCTGACCTCAAGTGATCCACCCACCTCAGCCTCCCAAAGTGCTGGGATCATAGGTGTGAGCCACTGCACCTGGCCTGAATCCAATTTTTAACTTATTTTGTATTTTATTTTATTTTAAGACGGAGTCTTGCTCTTGTCGCCCAGGCTGGAGTGCAGTGGCATGATCTCTGCTCACTGCAACCTCCGCCTCTCAAGTTCAAGTGATTCTCCTGCCTCAGCCTCCCAAGTAGCTGGGATTATAGGCACACACCACCACACCCAGCTAATTTTATATTTTTAGTGGAGACAGGGTTTCACCATATTAGTTAGACTACTCTCAAACTCCTGACCTTGTGTGCCCCGCTCACCTTGGCCTCCCAAAGTGCTTGGGATTACAGGTGTGAGCCACCGTGCCTGGCCTGAATCCATTTTAGAAGGACCCTTCTGGGGGCCATGGAGGATCAGCTGATGGGATAAGGCTGGAATTGCAGTTACAGGGAGAGGTGACAGTGCACAGAAGTACAGCAGTAGCTGTGGCGAGGGAAGAAAAGCGATGGAAGGCAGTTGAATCAGACGCCTAATGACCAACTCAATGGGTGGATGCATGAGGGGCTGCTGACCAGGTTTCTACGTATTTTCACCTTTTCTTCTCACTGGCCGTCTCTCAAAGGCCTTTAACCTCAGGTCCATGATCTTCCAGCTACACCTTACATCCTCCCATTCAGAGCCGAGTCCTAGATCTGCTTCCCCTCCTGCTCCCCCATCTGTGTCTTACTCAGCTTCTCCCCACACCACAGCCTCCACCCCTCCTCTCCCCACGTACAGCAAAGCCGTTCAACACAGCTTAGGCCACATTCTCTCAGGACACCAGTGCCTCTTGGCCCAACCCGCTCCTGTCCAGCCAAACGGCAGACTGAGTTGACCCTCCCTCCTCCATCTCTGTCTGCCTTCCCATTCCTGGGACTCTTCGGGCCCAGCCAGGCACTGCCTGAAGGTCCCACGGCCTCTGCCTCCCTGTCTGCCATTCCAGGCTGCTCGCCACTGGCCCGTCTTCTCATCTCTCTTAGTCCATTTGCACTGCTCTAACGAATGCCCAGCGCTGAGTGGTGTCAAGACAACAGAAATGTATTTCTTAGTTTGGAGGCTGGGAGGCCAAGATCACAGCTTGGGCAGGTTCGTGGGCTGGTGAGGGCTGCTCTCTGCTTCCAAGACGGAGCCTTGCTACCATCAAAGGGGAGCAATGCTGTGTCCTCACGGGCAGGGCAGAGGGGCAAGGGTGCCAAACGCTACTTGAAACCTGTTTTTTTGTTTGTTTGTTTTTTGAGACGGAGCTTCGCTCTTGTCACCTAGGCTGGAGTGCAATGGCACGATCTTGGCTCACCGCAACCTCCGCCTCCCAGGTTCAAGCAATTCTCCTGCTGCAGCCTCCGGAGTAGCTGGGATTACAGGCACGCTCCACCATGCCTGGCTAATTTTTTGTATTTTTAGCAGAGATGGGGTTTCACCATGTTGGCCAGGCTGGTCTTGAACTTCTGACCTCAGATGATCAGCCTGCCTCGGCCTCCCAAAGTGTTGAGATTATAGGTGTGAGCCACCGTGCCTGGCCAAAGCGTCTTTTTTTTAAGGGCCGTAATCGCATTCTCGAAGGCAGCAGCCTTCCTGATCTCATCACTGTTTAAAGACCCACCTCTCCATCCCACTGCACTGGGCGTTACTTTTTAACACCTGGTGTTTCTAGACACATCCAACCATAGCTCATCCCACTCTAATCCCCCCTTGCCCTTTTAAAAGCAACTTACACTCCAGCTTCTCTGAGCTGCTCACTCTTCCCCAGACTTCACCTCACTGGGGAGGCCTTCCAGGCTACCCTGCTCCAGCCTCGCCCCGGCCAGTGCATCACTGATTTTTCTTCCTAGCACCTCCCTCTCCCTGATCATATGAATTTAGTTTGTTCCTATTTCCCCACTAGCATGTGGGCTCCATGGGGACAGGGACCCTAACCCCGGGCCTAGAACAATGCCTGGCAAATAGAAAATCAGTGTCTATCAATTAATAAACACCTCTCCCTGCCCTTTCTGTATCTTCTCAGGACCCCAACCTGCCTTGGGAGGCTCTTCTCACAGCCTTGGCATACCCAGCCGCAGTAGCATCCAAAGTTCCATCAAGCAGCAGGCGCTCTCCTCTTCCTCAAGCACTTTCTCTGTCCACTGATGACAATGCTGCCATCTCCCTTGAATTTCAGGTGTTTGTTCCTGGGTCTTTTTTTTTTTCTTTCTTTCTTTCTTTTTTTTTTTTTTTTTTTGAGACGGGGTTTTTGCTCTGTCACCCAGGCTGGAGTACAGTGGTGCAATCTCAGCTCACGGTGGCAACCTCCACCTCCATGGTTCAAGCGATTCTCGTGTCTCAGCCTCCTGAGTAGCTGGGATTACAGGCACTCACCACCACGCCTGGCTAGTTTTTGTGTATTTAGTAGAGACGGGGTTTCACCATGTTGGCTAGGCTGGTCTCGAACTCCTGACCTCAAGTGGTCTGCCTGCCTCTGCCTCCCAAAGTGCTGGGATTACAGGCATGAACCCAGTGCTCCTGGCCTGCTTGTGTGTGTTGATCTTCCTCATTGGATACAAACTCCTGGAGGCCCAGGAACCATCTCTTTCTCCCTTGCTGTTCCTTGGACCCTCTGTGTGCCCAGGACTGACATGGGCCGACCTGTCTCTGACGAGCAGTGAGTCGACCCTCCATCAAGCTGCCCGTAGCTCACTAATATGTATGCTGCACCCTCCCAAAATGAAAATTACATCGAAAGTTGTAATATATATATATATATATATATATGATATAAGCACACAGATTTTTTAAAAAGCCAATTGAAATGGAAAATTAAGAAAGATGACTCTAGATACTTAAAAAGTCACAAGCACAGCCCATTAATTTCTTCACATTTTCCTTCTCCCTCATGAAGCAGAAAACTCTATCAGAGAAGCAAAGCTTTAAAAATACAATTCTTGCTAGCCTGGAGCAGAAAATACTAATACAAGCACTTAAAAAATGTGTACAGCAAATCTGGGTGACTTCAGTTTCCTTAGGACAAGCTCTTTTTTCTTTAATAAAGGGAAAACATTACATCTTTATTTTCATTAACCTGAACATTGGCGCTTCCTTCAAGAATGCACCTAGGCAAGGAACCTCTCTAATATTAGGAGTTCCCGTAATGTGCCAAACATAGAAATCTCTGATATTTTTATTTCCATCAATGCTTTTGCAGGTATCTAAATGCTCATCACTATTTTGAGTTTCCGGGGGATGTAAGATTAACTACTAGATTGTGTTATTTAATGCATAAAGAAGTATATATATTACACCACAATTTCTAAAAATTGTTGGTAATTGTATGTAAACATAATTGCTTTCATCTGTGATCTCAGGGTTTTTATGTGTATTTCCATAATACTGAGGAGTTTATAGCCTTTCTCAAACTGCCAGAGGTGTTGACCTATGGCACAGAAAGAGCTAAGTTGCTCATTTCAATCTATTTTACATAAAGCCAAATTTTATTGCAGCATAAATCATGGACCAAACTGACAATGTTTCCCTCATGCCAGAAAATGATTCATTAAGGAATATAATGGTTCTTGGTATACACTTCATTGAGCTCCATCCCTGCAAGCTTCCTCTTTGACCTCTTAAAATCCAAGCTGGTTTTGATGCATTCATTGGTGGACAACTTTTCGCACATCTCTTACATTGGTTGTAAACATAGCATGAAGCCCATTCTATTCAGTCCAATAGCCAAAGCCATCTTATTTGGAGATGCATTTCTATTGCAGAGATAGGAACAATTCCTTCAAGAAACCAGTATTGACTGTGCTAGGCTCTTGGGATTCAGAGATGAGCCAAGACAAGGTCACTGTCCTCAAGGAGCTCAGTGTGTGACTCTGCCAGGTGGGGAAGGAAAGGTGCCACAGCCTGGACACAGCTTAGACCAACACAGGGAGGTTTACAAAAAGATGGTCAAGGGAGTGCTGGAGGAAGTCCGTGTGTGCGAGGACATAGCAAAGGGGGTGAGCCCAGAGTTGACCACACAGAAGGATGCAGGAAGGGCTCCTGTGAAAGGAGTCCTTTGTCCTATGGATAGGGGAGGACAGAATTGGAGGGAGGACCAGGGGGAGGGTGTTGGAGTAGCTTGGTCAAAAAGAAAGAGGATGAGCATCCAGGAAAAAAAAGTCTTAATTCTGGTCATGGCAGTAGGAATGGTTGTGAAACCTATGAGTTGCTGGAATCTGGACCACTGATGGGGAAAGGTCCCAGGACCGAGTCTGAGCTTGGGCACTACTGTGGGGTGATGGATACTCAGAGGGGCTGGGGGCTGGAGGATTACAAAATAACTGACTTGACACATGCCCCAAGTGACTTGACAGAAAGATGGCCAGGTGCAGATCAAGGCAAGAATTAATCAGGGACAAAATTTTCCTTTCGTCGAGAAGTCAGAGCCTAACTCTTTTCTAACTAAATCTTTTCTCCTGAATGAGGTCCTAAAGAACATCTACAAATACCATAATGTTATGTTAATTATCATTCTCAACAACATCAATGTCAAAATCAGTATCAATGAAAAACTGGAGGTTTAACTGAACTGCTTGGCCTGGCCTCGGAGTATTAGGGAGAAAAGCCATTTATATTCAGACTGGTACTGACCAATTGTGAACACATTTAGGCCAAGAAAAAATAGTGTGGAAGGGGTGTTCTTGTTGCTGGAAATAATCTGGCTGTGACCATCTCACACCAGTTAGAATGGTGATCATTAAAAAGTCAGGAAACAACAGGTGCTGGAGAGGATGTGGAGAAATAGGAACACTTTTACACCGTTGGTGGAACTGTAAACTAGTTCAAGCATTGTGGAAGACAGTGTGGCGATTCCTCAGGGATCTAGAACTAGAAATACCATTTGACCCAGCCATCCCATTACTGGGTATATACCCAAAGGATTATAAATCATGCTGCTATAAAGACACATGAACACGTATGTTTATTGCAGCACTATTCACAATAGCAAAGACTTGGAACCAACCCAAATGTCCAACAATGATAGACTGGATTAAGAAAATGTGGCACATATACACCATGGAATACTATGCAGCCGTAAAAAATGATGAGTTCATGTCCTTTGTAGGGACATGGATGAAGCTGGAAACTATCATTCTCAGCAAACTGTTGCAAGGACAAAAAACCAAACATCGCATGTTCTCACTCATAGGTGGGAATTGAACAATGAGAACACATGGACACAGGAAGGGGAACATCACACACTGGGGCCTGTTGTGGAGTGGGGGGAGGGGGGAGGGATAGCATTAGGAGATATACCTAATGTAAATGACAAGTTAATGGGTGCAGCACACCAACATGGCACATGTATACATATGTAACAAACCTGCACGTTGTGCACATGTACCCTAGAACTTAAAGTATAAAAACAAAAACAAAAAAAAAAACAAGACAGCATCTTTAACTTGGTTGCACCATCGACAATGAATAACACGGTTCTAAGCTTCAGTTTCCTTCTCTGAAAATAGGAATAATAATAAAATTAATAATAATATTTTAAAAAAATAATAATCCAGCTGTGGTAGGGATGTTTCCCAGTTAAGAACAAGCTGCATTCCCCGCCAGCTTGTGGATTACAGTGATCATCTGGGTCTAAAAGCAACACCAGCCACTGTAACAGCTAACTCACCTTCTCGGTGGCCAATCATAGTTTTATCTCTCTAGATACCGTGTGACAGACACTTTGCTGAACAGAGCTTACTGGGGGTCCCTAAGGGATCTGGGGTCCTTCTATCTGCCCCTGCCTCACCTTTAGGGACTTGGAGTTCCTCCTGATCAGTTGGAAGAAGGGAGGATTTCTGGAAGGTTCCTGTGAGCCAGACTCAACAGCAGGCGGCCCATAGCATTCTGGTTCCCATCTCCTAGCTGGACCGCACCTGACTGCAAGGGAGATGGGGAAAGACAGCCCAGTCGCTGGCTCAGGAAGAGGATGGGTCTTGGGGGAACATGGCAGTCCATCAGAAGAGCTTTCTCCTTTTAAGAATTGCCTTCCTCCACCCTGGCTTTGCTTTGTGTTGGGCGGAGGGCACCAAGATAGATTAAACCTGATTCGTGCACTGTTCTTCCCAAGCAGGCTACGCCCAAAGGGCCAGGCATGGAGCAGGGTGGTGAGTGAATTGTGCCTCTCAAAAAGACGTGTCCAAGTCCTAAACCCCGCTGTGAATGTGACCCTACTTAGAAACAGGGTCATCATAGGTGTGATCAAGTTAAGATGAGGTCTTGATGGATTAGGGTGGGCTCTAAATCCTATGACTGGTGTCCTTAGAGAGAGATTTAGTCACAGACATGGAGAACAAGCGACCATGTGATACCTTGATTTCAGACATCTGGCCTCAAAAACGGTGACAGCACACATTTCTGTTGTCCTTAGCCATGCAGGGCACTTTGTTACGGCAGTCCTGAGTTAAGGTCCCTGCCTCTCTTATTGGCTGTGTAAATTATGGGACCACATTGAGCCCTGTCCTTAACTGCAAAATGGGTATGAGGACCCAGCTGGTAGGTGATGCATGGTGGAATTAACACAGGTACAAGCGGTGGAAAGCATCCAGGTAACAGAGGGCTTGTGCTCACTCCACAAGTCCCAGCCACGTGGAGGGTTTAGCCTCTCCTTGCCCCACGTACCGTGTCGTCGATGCTGCCGACACACTGGTCCCCAGGGCTGGTCTGTTGGTGGTCTAGCTGGCTCCCACTCAGCCTTCAAGCCTTTCATCAAAGTCATGTTCCCAAGAAAGATTTCCATTAGCCCCATTCCTCCCCCTACCTCCAGGTGGAGCTGGTCTCCATTAGGAGTCCTTCACTCCTTTCTCCCCCACAACACGGTCTTCCTAAAGCACGGTCTGCCCTTGTTTGCCACAATCAGCACTTCAAGGCTGACACCTGACACACAGAAATGACTCCATCCTAAACTTTCTATTTCGGGACTGGGGTTGCCAATTCATGGGACCCAGAAAACAGCAAGTCATCGATGTGCTTTCCTTTGGGTGCCTGGTATAACACCAATTCCCATTTGGTTAGTGGTGACTGAGTGACTCGTGTTTCAAGAGCAAATTAAATGAATAGCAAGAAAATAGACACCTGCCACACCAGCTGTCCTACTGTCATCTAGGGGTGACTATTTTGGGGAGGCAGCCATTGGTGTATGTATAAATACGTACATTAGGTTTCATGTTTGTTTTATTTAAAGTCTGGTTGGGTACAGAAAACACACACACACTTAACAGGTTAAAATATCCAAATAAAATTTACTGCAACTTTTGTAGAATTTTATTTGTGCTACAAGACACGTTGCATAGGAAACTATTTAAAGCCCCTGAGGAAAAAATATCCATGGTTTAAGGTGCAACTGGTTTTGTTTCTTCTTTGGGGAAAAGGTGATAGATGGTCTCTGGGAGAAATTATGGGGTGGAGTTGAGAAGCACAATCGAAGGTTATATGGTGGGATGATTGGCGAATTGTGTGTCCTGGTTCTTGCAGCATAAAATAGCTAATGTTTGTTCTTTTTTTCAGTCCGTTGGTCTTCAGTATCTGAATAAGTAGCTATACAACGTTTCAGGCCAGTAAGGGAGTATACATTGATTATACTAAGGAAGTAACATGTTTCAAGAAAGCAGTTTTAGAGAATGAGATTCGGGATCCCAAATGGTCCCTGACAACTGCAGGCACACAGGAAGTGTCCTGGCACGTTGCTAAGGATCACCTCACTCTACTGATTTGCCAGTATCAGTCCTTCCTCCTGCTCCCTTCCAACACGCGACATCTACGACGCATTGTGAGATTCACACAGCATGTCTGCACCCTAAAGTTATTAATGCAACACTGTGTCAAGTTCCTGATTTTATGTGAGTCACATTTTCATTTTTACAAAATGCTCATCTTGCTCAGATGATCTTTACATTGTACAAAAAATGGTTTCATCTAAACTATGACTTCCTTCCGAGGAGACACAGGTACACCAGGAAGGAAGAGGGGTTAAGCCTTAGATGAAATGAAATGCAGAGTTTGGCAAATGGCAGCTGGCACCTCTGCACATCAGCATAAGGCGTTGCTTGTGAGGCCAACCACAGCATCTGCAATAAGCACGAGAGTCAGTGGCCACCAAGGCTCTGATTCGGTCATGAAGTTTTCTTCCTGTCCACAGAAGAGGCAGCAAACTCTATGGGAAGCACTGCTTTGACCTCAAGGAAAAAACAGTACAATGGCCTCGTAGCAGCAGGGACCACCTCACTCTCAAATGGCATTGTTCTTGTCAATGACTAATTGCACACTGGCAGGGGCCCTAAAGACTGTCAACTCATGGCTGCTTTCTAATCTATTGGCAGAAACAGCTCAGGGCACCTAAATGCTAATGCGGGACTTCACTCTGCCCACTGAAGCTCACCAAAGATTCACATATTCTATGGATGGTCATTTACTACGAGTGAGGCAAAGCACGGAAGACAATCAAATCCGAGGAGGGAGCAGGACCTGGGGCCTTCTCAGAAAGAATGAGCTGTACCCGTTTACTGAAAAGCCACTTTTTCCCACGTGATTCACCTTCTTACACGCAGGGAGTGAAAGAGGTCCAACAACCGAACGAGCATCTTTCCGGGCTGAGTGTTGAAATGCAAAGTGTGGCCGGGAATCAGAAACGCTCCCAGTGACCTTTAAATACCTATATACATCTCTAACATAATTTAAAAAGGTCTATAACAACATAAAAACCTCAACAGCCTGTGCCCCTATTTTCTTTTAAACCTTTATGGTCCATAAAAAAATTAGATACCACCTTTCTCATAGATCCCTTCCCCCCATTCGTTAAAAAAGTGATTTTAAATTTAAATTTATACTTAACAAATAGAAAGCTATGTGATTGGCAACGAGCTGCAGTAGGCAGTCCCTTCAGGCCTCTCCCTCGATGGAGGAGGGCGGCGCATGATGGGTGTAGCCTAGCTGGCGGGCCCTAAATCTGTCTGAGCAGCCGCCCCTTCCTCCCTCTTCAGCTCCGCGGTGACAGCAGGGCACGCAGGGCAGAAGAGGGCTTGCACTCCAGAGCAGCAGGAGGGGAGGGGACCCATTCAAATCACGAAGTCGTCCTGGTCCGCAGGGCTGAAGGCGGCTGCTCTCAGAACGTCCAGGGAGTTCACCAAGATCAGAGTCCCAGTGAGGTGCTTCCAGCGCTTGGTGATGGGGTTTTTCATCTTGTCCAGGCCCAGGTGCAGCTCCTGGATGACATCCCGGTAGCTGTCCCCGATCTGATGGCTCCAGGTGAGTAAGAAGTCATACGCAGGCTTCCACATGGCCTGGGAGGTGGAGTTGTAAAAAACAAAAGGAGGGAGAGAGGAAGAAAGATTAGGAGACAGAACGAGATTTGTTCCTATTACTTGGTGCAGCTTCAGTAGTCACTATTTGGGACACTCTTTCACGAGTGAGACAAGCCCACAGAAGAAACAGTGGAACCATCTCGGGGCCAGGGTCAGCACATTCCAGAGGGAAAAGCAGGGCTTTGTGCAAGAGTAGGTGCGCAACAAATGAATAAACAGAAAGGACTTCTCTTTCCTTACAATCTTTATGGCACTTTCTCTCTGTGCCATTTGTTTGGAAATTCATCCCATTCATAAAAGACAGCTTTGTCCTTGGGACTTCCTGCTTCCTGGATCTTGCAAGCCTGAACCGTCTTCCAGGAAGCTTACTAGGGTGCCCTCCACAAACATGCGAGAACACAAAGGACCTCTGAGCAAGAGCCCGGCCACACCGGCTTTGGCCCAAGTTATGTAACATACCAGGTATCACTCCAGTCCAGAGCGGCTCACAAAGTCCTCTGTGTATGTGTTATTGCATTATTCAACCCTACGGATGGTAATTTAAGATCAAAATGAACAAGGGACAGGCAGTTCTGTTTGTCCTTCCCATGTCGTGTGGAACAGCCTTGACATCCTAAAGCCAGGGCTCACGACAACCAATCCGGAGGATGGCTCCCACTCAGTGAGGCACACCCAGTGCTGGGCACATGCGTGCACATTTCCACCTGTTGCACCCTCACAGAAATGCCGCGAGGCAAGACTTTTTATGGCTGCACTGCATGGGTCCACGGAACCCAGGGACAGAGGGGCTCGGTGAGCTCGAAGCTCAGCCGCTGCTCACCTCGCTGTCCACAACCCCGTTCCTGTCCCGGTGGGGAGACTCGTAGGCGTCCATCTGCTGCTTGGAGACCTTGGCCAGCTTCTCAGCCAGCTCCCGCCAGCGCTGGGCCACCTCTACAGCCGTGGTCAGGAGCACAAAGTCCTGGATGAGTCTGACCACCAGGCCCTGGCAGTCCATCTTCAGTAGGGCCTGCAGAGGAAGAGGCACACAGCGTGAGACAGTGTAGGGAGTGGGGCAGGCTCTGCTCCCCGCAGAATTCCAGCAGACGGCGCAGGAATGGCCATGGGCTCTCTATTCTCCATGTTCCCTGGCCTACTACCAAATGTCCCCTGAAATCGATCACTGCCAGGATTCACGGGAGAAAAGAGATGATGTGCAGAGCGTGCCAGGTTCACCAGTGTCTCCCTCCAAAGCCCACATCCACCCAGAACCTCAGAACGTGACCTTACTTGAAAATGGGGTCTTTGCAGATAGAATTAAGATGAGGTCCCTCTGGATTAGAGGAAGTCACCAAGGACTGGCGTCTTCATAAGAAGAGAAAGCAGACAGAGAGGCAGAGAGAAGAAGGCCGTGTGAAGACGGAGGCAGAGACGGGACAGATGCGGCAACAAGCCAAGGAAAAGAAGGAGGGTTGAGCCAGTGGGGCTTAGGAGAGGCAGGCCTGCAACCCCTTCTCCCCCACTGCTTCCAGACGGAGGCCACCCTGGGACCCCTGACTGAGACCTGTGGCCTCCTGAATGGTGACAGGACAGGTGTCTGTTGTTTGATGTCCCTTGGTTTGTGGTCATTTGTCTTGGCAGCCCCAGGAAGCTAACAGACAGGGTGAATATGGATTAGAGTTGTCACCACTCCCACTCTCTGGGGACACCAGAGAGAAACGAATGCATTTCACCAAATAGACACCATAGCCTGAGGCCGAGACGGATGGAGGGCGAGCTGGACCTGCTGAGTGTGCGGTGCTGACATTGGCCAGTTAGAGAGCACCGCGGGTAGAAGGCTGGGGGACTCAGGCAGGGACCACCCAGGGAGAAGAAGACAGAGAACAGAAGAGGCCCTGGTCAGAGACAGGGTGTACCACCAAGAACCACGGTGACCAGGAGATGCACAGACCTCCCCCAGGACTGTGCAACATGAGAAAACGGTTTCCACAATTGGTGGGACTGCTCCCACGTCAAAGCTGCAAGAACTTTCTACTGTGTCTTTAGGACAGGGATTACTAACCACAGAGGAAGTCAGAGGGGAGGTAATAGGACAGACAGCCCTGCTGGGACAGTGAAGTCCCAGCTGAGGCTGGAACAACCACGTGGCCGCCTTGGGACTCAATTCCCTCCTAAAAACGGGGGCTGGATGGGACAGGCATTGAACATATGGCTAATATATCTGGGGGACCCCAGGCTGGGGTCAAACTCACACTTCTGGTTTAAAGAAACAAATCAAATTGGCTAGCACAAGACAGCAGGCCTGCTAGTCCTGTACACTGTGCCAAGTCACATGACTGCCACTGGGTGTCATGCAAGCGACTCTGGCGCCATCCTAATTATAAATGAGGCCACACATGGTTAGCGTGTGGCTCTGAGCCAGTCAGGATGACGTCACCAGGAAGGCAGGAGAGCCGCATGCTGGGTCTGATTCTTGTCTGAGTCTCCTCTGCCATAGAAGGCACAGCTCACCCCCACCCTTAAAGCTTTCTCTCATCCAACAATGGGAAAGGCTTGGCTTCCAGGGCACAGTGGCCTGAGGCAGCCCAGAGACGGTTTCTGAGGCTCCCGTGAGCCCCTGGACAGGCGAGTTGCTAAGAGAAGAGGAAAGTCACCAGTCCTGGCGTTCTTTCTCTCTACGCTCTGTTTCAGCACCTGAGGTTGTCATTTTAGGACTCCAAAGTGTGCTAAAAAACAAACAACCCCCCACCCCCGCCAACCACACCGCTGGTACCGGCGCTCTTTGGCCAACTATTTTGTGCCGATAGCAGGGTCGTCTTGCTAGTGCTCATGCGGTCGGCTGGGCTGCTTACTTCAAAGCGAGCCCAGCTGTTTTAGACTGAGCATTCTAATGTACACTTTATGTTTACCTGGGGGGAGTCTAACAATACAAAAAGGTGACCTTTTTGGCGACTTGTGGCATGCATTAGCCAGAGTAGGTGACTCACGATCCTTCTAGGTGGGCCCCCAGCATCTCAATCCATGGAATTTAAAAAGAACCAGGAGCGACAGATCATTCTGATGCCTCCCTAGATATGAGAGGCTGACAGCTGGCTACCAACGAGGCTGGCCAGAAGGGGGTTTGAGGACCTGGTGGCCGTTTGTTTTTGTAGAAGCTACTAGAAACCCAGGGCTAGGCCAGGAGCGGTGGCTCACGCCTGTAATCCCAGCACTTTGGGAGGCTGAGGCAGGTGGATCACGAGGTCAGGAGATCGAGACCATCCTGGCTAACACAGTGAAACCCTGTCTCTACTAAAAGTACAAAAAAAATTAGCCGGGTGTGGTGGCGGGCACCTGTAGTCCCAGCTACTCAGGAGGCTGAGGCAGGAGAATGGCGTGAACCCGGGAGGCGGAGCTTGTAGTGAGCTGAGATCGCGCCACTGCACTCCAGCCTAGGGGACAGAGCGAGACTCCGTCTCAAAAAAAAGAAAAGAAAAAAAAAGAAACCCAGGGCTTGCTGTGAGCCAGACACTCAGCTCCTCCGCTCCCCAGAGCCCCCCATGAAGCAGAGGCTGAGTTCAACCCACTTTACAGAAGAAGCTGAGAGAGGGGAAGTGGGTTTCACACCGAGAAATGCCAGAGCCAGAGCTGCCTCTGGGCACCCAACCCCAGGTCCTCCCTGCTGTGTGGGCCGCAAGGCATCTGTTCTACAGATAAGCACAGGAAGCCTGCAGACCCCAGGCTTGTCCCGGGTCCCACAGCTGGAAGTGACAGGCGTGGAGGCAAATATGCAAACTTCTCAGCACTCGGCCAGCGGCCTTCCCAATTCCATGAGCCCCACATGGAATTGGGAATTGAACCAAATGTAATACCGGTCTGGATTATGCTTCATATCAACTATTTATATATTTCAGAAGAAGGTCTGTTTCTATTTGAATTTGGATATATTCAAAACAAATTGTTTTAAAAAATTAAATGTTGACTAGATTTGTTTCAGAAGATAAAAGCATACACGTGTGTATTCACGTGTCAGGAGGGTGTGTAGTTAGCTGGTAGGCTGTCAGATCCTAATTTTCTTGCTGTGGTGGCAGCCTCGTCTGTGGTCCTGGGAAGGTGTGCTGGACCACCACAGGGTTTGACACGAAGTCACTCAATGTCCCCAACTCAGCTCTTTCGTGGCTACTCAGCACACACCAAGCTAATCTGGCTGTGTGCACAGCTGCCTGGCTCCAAAGTGGCCTCATTTTCTAGGTAACAGAACAGGTCAAAGTCACCTGCTTCTGACTCGAGTCATTCCTGGTGCGAGTGATCAAAACCGCTCTCTCCCCAGGGGAACTGGGCACAGGTCCCCAAGGTCCTGGGAAACACAGGTGTTCTCTGGCCCCTGGGAAGGAGAGCGCCTGGACTCCATCCAGGGGCAGCCAAGGTCCCATTTCCATGGATCCCAGATGAAAGGAGAGGTCGGCACTTCCAACACCAAGAATGAAGGCATCTCTCCCTCACTCACTTACACAACTTTTACTGAGCCCAGCCCTGGTTTAGTTTGTTACAAACCACCCACACCATCAACAAGGCATAACTGATGCATATTTTTAAAGGACAAATTTTGGGTGCCAACCAATTCTTAGCAATAGAAAAATTTCACAGCAGGAGGCTCTAGCTCTATGAACTTGATCCTTGCAGCTTCCTCTTTTTATGGGCACACAGGTACACCAGGAAACACTCGATGGACTGCTGCACTACCCTGGTTTCAACTGGAATTTTGTTACAGTGAGTACACCATGATTTCAGTCAGGGTGACTGAACTTTATAAAGGGACAGATAGTACTTTTGCCTTTGTGGGACACACGAAGCCTGAAAGCCACAGACGATGCAGATGGGAATGGGTGTGGCTGAGTTCCAACAAAACGCCATTGACAGGAATAGCGGGCCT
This sequence comes from Homo sapiens, assembly GCF_000001405.40. Classification (NCBI taxonomy): domain Eukaryota; kingdom Metazoa; phylum Chordata; class Mammalia; order Primates; family Hominidae; genus Homo; species Homo sapiens. The sequence continues at coordinate 235,048,679 of NC_000002.12, read as the reverse complement.
GGCGGCCAGAGTCTGGGAACTTGCTTCAAGAGATATTCTTGTCCAGCCATGGTGGCTCACCCCTATAATACCAGCATTTTGGTAGGCTGAGGTGGGAGGATAGCTTGAGCTCAATGAGTTCCACACCGGCCTGGGCAACACAATCAAACCTTGTCTCTACTACAGACAAAAAAAAAAAAAAATTAGCTGGGTGTGGTGGCACCTGCTTGTAGTCCCAGCTACTTGGGAGGCTGAGGTGGGAGGACTGCTTGAGCCCAGGAGTTCGAGGCTGCAGTGAGCTGTGATCACACCACTGCACTCCCGCCTAGGAGACAGAGCGAGACCTTTTCTCAAAAAAGGGGCGGGGGAAAATACTCTTATAAAGTACAAAGAAATACAATTTAGGCTTTTTTGCTGCATGTTTATTCCATCCTGCTTCCTTCCCAACATGCCCCAAAACTCGAGGGGAAGCCTTCTGCACATGGCATCTGGACAATGGGCCCATCCTCCTTCCCTCTCCCACATTAACAGCCACAGGCTCTGGCTTTGGGGCTGCCTGGGAGGAATCCCTCAGGACCCCATCCAATGCACACTGTCCATCAACTCCTCCTCTTCTGGAGGTTAAAGTGGGTCTTCTCCCAATCCACAGAGAGTCCCTTCACACCACACCAGTCTTTCCCGCCCCAATGCGCCCCATGCACTTGCTAGCTTCCTTATTTCTGTTAGTTTTCAAGTCTCTTTGGGTTTATTCCGGCCCCCACTCCACTCCCAAAACAACCACCCTCCCTTGCTTTGCATCCCACAGCAACTCCTTCCCTTTCTCATAGAAACTTCTCTACAGAGCCCGACACGCCTATTTCCCTACCTCCCGCAACTTGACCAAAACGCCCCTGCTACAGCCATCACCGACGGCTCCAGGTCACCACACCCCACGGCTTCGTTCTTATGGTGGATCCAGGACCAGTTGTGACAGCTCACTCTGGCCCCTTAGGAAGTTCTCCCTGGGCCTGAGGCCACCGTGGGCTGCTTCTGCTCCCATGGCTGATGGCCACTGCCCACGGCTATCTCCAGCTGACTCCCCTTCCTTCCCCACCATAACAGAGACCATGTGCCGAGTGCTGACAGTATCCCGAGAATTGGGAATAGTCTCTTGCATCAAAAGGGCGCTGCTGAATGACTTTTCTGATTCTTAAAAAGCTGGGTTCCCTTTCAAAGGCCTCTACCACTGCCAGACGCTGCCCCTCCTCTTTGCCTGACGGGAGCCCACCGACCACGCAGTGTTTCTGGCCAGTCTACAGAGGATGCACAGCGAGGGTTTCATGTCCCCTGCTTCGCCTCTGACGCATCAGGGGGCTGAAAGAAAACCCTACCCTTGAATCATGCCACTGCCACCATTTTTTGTACATGGGACCCCTGAAGGAGCACAAGGCTTAAATGTGAATGTGCACATTTCTCCTTTCATAAATACTCATGACTCCCCCTACGGCTTATTGAATATGTATATTTGGCCACCAATATCCATAAATTCTTGTTGCCTTTGCCCCTCCCTTGAAGTGTCTGTTTTTGGCTTCTGGCAGGAGGCTCTGCTTCCCAACCTGTCAGAATAGCCACCCACAGGCTGCAACCCTTTATGAGGAATGAGGCTCTCCTTTCCAAATGAACAAACCTTGTCATTCTTCAGCTGACACCATCACGGACAGAGGCTCTGGTGGGAGAGAAGTGGCCAGGACAGAGGGGTGCTCTGAGTGCAGCCACAGCCATGCTGCTGGGAAGGGGCAGGCAGAGGTACGGGGATGCCTCACACACGGACTCTATCAAAAACAGGCACAAAAAGAATGGAAAGAGGAAATGGAACCACAGAACAGAAGCATGGTATGGCCACGTGAGAATGCCTCCCGCTTGGATTCTTAGCCCAGCCCAAGGCCTGCATTCATTCATTCATTCATTCATCATTCATTCATTCATCCATCATTCATTCATTCAATCACTTATCCATCTAGTACCTCAGTGATTCTTATGTGCCGGGGCCCTTCCTCTCATGGGACCTATGTTCAGTTAGAGTAATAATGAGAAACAAGTGCACAAGAACATAAACAAACTTGTTTCTTTTCTTCTCTTCCTTTATTTTCAAGACAGGGTTTCACTCTGTTGTCCAGGCTGGAGTGCAGTGCTGCGATCATAGCTCAGTGTAGCCTCGACCTCCTGGGCTCAAGTGATCCTCCCACCTCAGCCTCCCAAGTAGCTGGGACTACAGGTGCACACCAACACACCTGGCTGATTTAAAAAAAAAAAATTGGAGAGATGAAGCCTCACTATGTTGCTCAGGCTGGTCTTGAATTCCCGGGCTCAAGCGATTCTCCTGTCTCAGCCTCCCAAAGTGCTGGTATTACAGGTGTGAACCTCCATGCCTGGCCAAAACAAACCGCTTCTGATTCAAGAAACACCATGGAGACAGAGGATGATGGAGTGCGCGGGGCTGCAGAGAAGGACGTCCTGGAGAGACGGCATTTGAGCTGGCAGCTGAGGGAGATGAGGAGGTCTGGGAAAGGGAGCTCCAGGAAGAGGAACAGCATAGCATCTGCAGGAGCTGGAGGCCGGGCGAGCTGGGTGTGTTCAGGGCAGGGGTGCACAGAGCACAGTGGCCCCCAGGGTTGGGATGGGTAGGGCCAGATCTTACACGACTTTGTGGGGCAGGGGCAAAGGCTGACCCCGTTCTAAAGGCAGTGGAGAGAGGAACAACCCAGGTCTCATTTGACTCCTTTTTCCTTCCCATCTCCCTGCACACTGACTGTCTCAAACTCTCACATTTTCCCCATCATTTAAACACTGTTTCCAACCCAAGGCATCAGAACAAGGACACCGAAAGCTATGCTAAAAATGAGAGGCAGGGGGTGGCCTGGCTGTGACTCTCTGGGAGGGGCAGGTAAAGCGGTGGCAGAGGCCGCAGAAATCGTGGCAGCCCTGTGATGACAAGCGGAATAGAACAGCCAGTTTTCAGGGTCTCCTAATAAACGACCTGGGAGAAATCCGTCTGTGGTTTCTATAAGTTTGGCCAAGATGATGACTGACACAGGTGTGGGGGGCGGGTGGGGACACTGCAAAACCAGTTTCACTTTATCACCACAAAATCTAACCTTGCCTCAGGGAGCCGACCTGGCCAAGGGCAAGTTTCACTTCCTCCTTTCTGGGTAGCGGAAGGACTCGGGCACAGAGGACACACCCCTCCCTGGAGCGGACAGGGAGGCCCACCAAAAAATCCCCTCCCAGAGATGCTCACCAATCGAATTGAGAGAGTTTGATCATTTATGTCTTTTGGAAAAAGATAAAAAAGCAGGAAAATGAGTGTAAAAGCCACCTACTCGGCGGTTATTTTCCACAGCTGGTGTGGTACTCCTGGTTGTGTCATTTTTCCACCTCTGGTGCAACGTCGAGGTGAGTGTCCTGGGCTCAGCAATGCTGTCAGGTTCCACGACAGCATGCACAGCCACGGCTGTGGTCTCGGGGCCGCCCGCACAGAGGCTCTCACGGGATGGAGGCGCTTTGTCTGCCACTGTGCTGGGTGCACCCGTGAGGAGACCAGGCCACGGCCCGGCACCAGGTTCTGGAGAGCCAGGAGGTGTGCTCTGAATCACACATGGGTGATGGCTGATGGGAGGGACGCAGGCCATCCCCTCCCTGCAGGTGACCCCACATGGGGGCCCGGAGGCTTCCCTGCTGCGTTTGTTCGCTTCCTCCCCACCCAAGTGCAGTGATTTCCTGGTTGCCAAGGTGGCCCCCCTGACGGCCGCTTCCAGTTCCATCTCCCTCCCCTGGGCAATCTCGTGGCTCCATGCTTCTGGCACTGCACACGACTGCAGGCCACCCAGAGAGGGTCTCACCCGACTCCTGCCCCACTCCTGCCGGGCTGCGTCCCTTCTGTCTCCTGGCTCAACATGGGCAGCCGAGCCGGGTATGTGCCACATGTGACCCTTGCCTGCACACCTGTGTCTACAGGACACTCTGGGCTCTCCCAGACAAACAGGGCTCAATCCAGGGGAGCCGGGGAGGTGGCAGAAAGGCCGGGCACCAAGAAGCACGCCTCTCAGAAGCTAGGATGCAAGAAAGCCTGCGGGCTCAGAGGAACGAGGAAGAGCGGCACACGCCAAGGTCACAGGGTTTTCCCACAGGAATGAACACCAGCAATGCGCCCCTCTCCGGAGGATAGGGGTGGACTCCGTTCTATCACAGGGAGAAGTCCACAGGGACTCTCCACCACAAACACCCCTGGGGATGCCAGGACACGGATATGGCTAAGCCTAGCCAAGGTAACCGCCAGGACCCAGCTCTGCTGACGGTGGGGCTGCCTGCGGGGAGCAGTGCTAAGAAAGCGTTGAGCAAATGCTCCCCGGTTGGCTCGTGGGCCAGGGCGTAACCCACAGTCTGATGCTTACTTCCCCCTTTTATTTCTTTGGATTCCAGTTCACGGTTGTGCTGGCAAAACAAATGCTGTCCTCGCCCCAACTCAAACCAACACAGAGGGGGAAGTGGAAACAATACAGAGATGTTAGAAGCTTCAAGGAAGCAAAGGCAAGAAAAACTCACATTACAATGAACACAGGCTTTGGGGCAGCGGTTCGTGGGACTCTGGAGTCAGAGACCCTGTTGGGAATCTAACGAACCACATCTGCTCCCAAGAGATCTAAACTGAATGGCGAGAGCACAGGCCGCCTTCTGCCCCCACCCGCATCTGGTCCATTCTGGGACCCTCTTGGAGCTCACAGATTCGGTGGGAAAAGTAACTGGAATGCTCTTCTTTGCAGGGTCCTTGGGTTGTCTGGGGCCCCCCAGGATCCCCCGTAAACCCCATCTCCACTTCAAGCACACTTCAAGCCCCACACGTATATCCCAGGCAGCGGGACATCAGCCACAGACACTGTCCTGGTGACTTACAACACCACGGCCCACGCCCACGCATATTGGGAAGGCGAAAGGCTGTGCTGAGCCGCACCTATCTCAGGCAGCGGGACATCAGCCACAGACACTGTCCTGGTGACTTACAACACCACGGCCCACGCCCACGCATATTGGGAAGGCGAAAGGCTGTGCTGAGCCGCACCTATCTCAGGCAGCGGGACATCAGCCACAGACACTGTCCTGGTGACTTACAACACCACGGCCCACGCCCACGCATATTGGGAAGGCGAAAGGCTGTGCTGAGCCGCACCTATCTCAGGCAGCGGGACATCAGCCACAGACACTGTCCTGGTGACTTACAACACCACGGCCCACGCCCACGCATATTGGGAAGGCGAAAGGCTGTGCTGAGCCGCACCTATCTCAGGCAGCGGGACATCAGCCACAGACACTGTCCTGGTGACTTACGACACCACGGCCCACGCCCATGTGCACTGGGAAGGCGGAAAGGCTTTGCTGAGCAGCACCCCTGAACGCCCAGGCACCTGCTGAGCACTCACCATCACAAGCTCCTTCTGGAAGGACTTCCGTTCTTTGTTCTCAGTGTTGTTACAGTCCTCCTTCAGCTTTTCTAGGACGGACGCCACCCGCTCGGGCTCACTATCCAGCTCTGCCCGGCAGAAAAAGGTGAGCGGCAGGTTCACGTAGCCCAGGGCGTCAGCGAAGGAGCGCCAGCTGCTGATGTTCTCCATGAGCAGGGTCCTCACGGAGGCATAGATGTACGTGAGGAATTTGCAGGGCCGCAGGATCTGCTCCAGCAGCACCGAGGTGCTCAGCTCGGGGCCCGAGCACAGGCTGGGCCGGGCCCTGCCGACCACCAGCACGTTCTTGGTGTGCACGAGGCCCACCCTGCCCTGGTAGTAGCCGATGTACCACTCCTTGGTCCACAGCTGGCCCCGGAGCCTGACCCGCTCCTCGCTGAGCAGGGCGATCCCGTCGCCCTTCTTGTACTCCAGCAGGTAGTGGTTCTTGTTCTGCCGCACCACAGTCTTGAGCAACTTACCAAACTTGAGGCTGGACACCGGGCGGTCCTGGAAAGTCGGGTACTTTGTAGTGGTGGCAAACGGGGACAGGATGATTTTCCCGACTTCGTTCTTCTTGAGAAACCTCCTTTGCCCGGAAGGCTTGATGGCACTTTTAGGGGGTGGCTGAGGAGTCTGGACACAAAACTGGGTGAGGATGGCCTCCTGGTCGTCCTTCACCTGAACCCGCAGCGTGAAGTCAGAGAGCTCGTTGGGGTTCTGGGAGGTGATGGGGAAGATCAGGCGGCTCACCTTGCCCAGCTTCAGCTGGAATCCTCGCACCACTTTGGCCTGCTCGCTGGCTTTGACCTCGTAATTCGTCATATTGGAAAACATACAGACCTTGAGATCCTGGGGCCTGGACAAAACGAACTGGTGCTTCCCCCACAGCTGCAGGGCCACCGGGGCAGGGTTGGGTGCCTGGCGTGTGACCTCGCTGACCAGGAGCGTCTTTGGGGCACAGTCATGCCCAAAAATGGTCACTACCGTCTTGAAGGATGGGTGGATGTGTTTAGGGCCGTAGAGACCCACTGTGACTTTTTTATTGATGAAGTCCCACACGGTGGAAGGGTAGAGGATGCTTGGGCCATGGGCCACGACAGCCACGTACATACAGGGCTCCAGGTTGTGCAGCTGTGCCTGGACCGTGTCCCCACAGCTGCAGTTGAGCGGGACGGAGACATATGGCCCTTCCTTCGAGTCGCTCCTCAGGCACTGGAGGCCCACTGTGCTTTTGCTAAAAAGGTCATTTTTTATCTCGGCTGACACTTTCATCTCCAAGATGATAGAGGTTTTCACCTCCAGGTTGCTCAGCTTGACCTCCAGCACAGGGCTGATGCTGCAGGACCTGTCACTGTTGAGCTCCAGCGGGGGGTCCAGCAGGGCTTTCATGGAGATCTGCTGGGTCTCCCCAGGGGCGACGTGGCCCTCGGGCACGTGGATGCTGATGCTGGTGTCAGGAAGCTGGACAGCACCCCCGGAGCTATCCAGCTTGCACACGATGTTTGTCTCCACGGCTTGGGTCTGGCCCCAACCAGGGCTTTGGCCAAGCAAGTCCAGGTCGTGGCAAGACCGGGCCAGCTTCCTGTGGTTTAGCCAGGCAGTTCGAAAATCCTCCCGGCTCTGAAATTGCTCGGGGGCAGGTGATTTCAAGCCGGTGAAGAAACTCGACGATGTGGGAGCATCGGACTTGGCTTGGAGGACGGAGAGTTCCGAGAGACTGTAGGAGCGCTTGCTTCTGAAGAAGGGGTTGTCCCGCCTGACCGGCGGCTCTGCGTGGAGTCCGTTTGTGACTGGAAGCTCATCGAAGATGTTGCCAGTGCTATTCGTGGTGGCTGAGCTGGATTCGGTGAAGGAGGATGTACCTGCGTCAAAAAGGAGCAAATCCACAGTACTTTTGGGATTCAGCTCATCCAGGCTGGGCATGACGGGCACGTTCCCATTCAGAAATGGATTGGTCTGGACCCCATTCCAGAAAGGGTTATTACTGTACATTCTGCCTGGTACTTTTTTGTCATCTGTCCATCCCCCGAGCAGCTCCAGCTCCTTGGCTACCTCGTCTGGGCTGTCTGGAAGATTATCAATCATACCGCTGTCACTCAGTGTTGAGTTCCGGTAGTTCAAGGGCTGCACATAGGAGGAGGGGATGTAGCCCATTTCGGTGGTGTTGTGTGCGTACCACCACTCACCGCCAGATGTGTCCAAGACGTAGAGATGGTCGCCCTTGGAGAACTTCAGTGTGGTGAAGTTGGTGGGGCAATAGTCCTTGATCGCAATCACTTCCTTTGCATTTCCGAAAGGTGTGGGGTTGTCTACGAGCAAGGCACTGGGAGAAGGCACTGTGCAAAACACAAAGAAAACAGATGGTGAGGGCAAGGCCGGCGGGGTGTCCGGAGAGCTTCCCAAAGGAGAGAGGACGGTGGTAAACAGACAGGTGCACAATAACCCAGGCAAGTCACCAACAGAAACAAACCAAAGTGAAATTCAGTAGGTAATTTACCTGGCCAACGAACTGGTTCCTGCTACTTGGTCACCTTCAAAATCGACAGCCTATGTCCGGCAGAAAGACCACAGAGGAGCCTCTCCATCACTCACAGAAAGGCAAATCAGTGCAATGGAATATTTAACATGCCCTACGCCCTAAACATCTCATTTTGGGCAACGTTAAAATTCTTCTTAAAAGAACTGCTACTAGATACAAAGAGAAACTGAATGTGATTAACTTAGAAAACACGGTGACACGGTGAGTTAGGTGACCACTGCATGTGATCAGGGACTGGAAATGAACAGATTCCAAAAACTCCCGCAATGACATGTATGAGCTGATTCCAAGCTCTGCCTCTGGATGGAAAGCTTCCCTCAACCTGCTTCTTAAATTTCCAAACTCAACCTGTTCCTCACCAAACTGTTTCCTCAGATAAAGTAAGAATTCTGAAGTCAGTTCCTTCCAACCTCTTTTATTCTTATTTTACTTATTTATTTATTTATTTATGAGACAGTGTCTCACTCCGCCACCCAGGCTGGCATGTATTGACATGATCTCAGCTCACTGCAACCTCAGCCGCTCAGATTCAAGTGATTCTCCTGCCTCAGCCTCCAAAGTAGCTGAGATTACAGGTGTGTGCCACCATGCCTGGCTAATTTTTGTATTTTTAGTAGAAATGGGGTTTCATCATGTTGACCAGGCTGGTCTCAAACTCCTGACCTCAAGTGATCCTCCCGCCTCAGCCTCCCAAAATGATGGGATTACTGGTGTGAGCCACTGCGCCTGGCCCAACCTCTTTTAAATTATCATTCAAAATCACAACATGAAAACAGACTGTCTACATACCTTGAAAATGAGAGATTATGCCTAGTCATAGCTCATACTATCATTGAACAAGTGTTGAAGCAGTCTGAAAAATTCCAACCCTTCAAAAAGTGAATCAAGTTAATTCATGGCTCCTGCCATTGAACTCTGTATGTTACCAATGTAGACGGCAAATGAAACAGCAAAAATAAGTCAGCCAAACAAGTGGTGTGTTTTGAAAAATAATGGATATGATTAAATGAGAAGATATATTCAGAAGATGAAGAACACTCTTTCTGAAGAAAATAAGCACATATACTTCTCCCCAGGACTCCCCTCCCCCACCTCCCAAACTGCCTCACTTACGGAGTCTGCTGACATTCTGGCTTCCCGTAATAAACAATTGAAAGAAAGAAAGGAAACGTTTCTTTCTTTCTTTCTTTCTTTTTTTTTTTTAAGTTGCCAAAGCAAATGACCAAAGAAAGGAATCCGTTTTTAGTTAAACTAAACCTACATCTTTTCTAATGTGATGAAGTCCACAGTCATCGTATTCTATCAAATTGCCCCCCCGACCCCAGAAAATCACCTGCCAGTTTCCTTTTCCTTTGAAAGGAAATAATCACACTTCCTTGGGAAAGTGTTAGGAAATCAGGTAGACAGTTTCTATTCATTTACATTAACTGGGTTACAGAGATGCGCTTAGCTGGGAGCATCCCTGGGCCTTGAAGCCCCACCTACCTCCTCCTGTGAAATTACAGCAGGCCCGTCTATCTGGGTGTCTCAGAGAACCCGGCTCTGGGATCACTAAACCCAGACTCGAGTGGAGCCCTTAGAAACTGTGTGATCTCCAGAGCCTAAGACTCCACTCATGGTGGACAAAAAGTGTATTTCCTCAATGAGCTTTGGAGAGGACAAAATGCAAAGACGTAGATAAGGCACTTGTCATAATATTGCTTGACCCAACTTGAGGACACACAGGATGTTATGTGAAATAGACATCTCCTGGCCCCAATGTTATCTTTTTCCATAGCTCTTACCACCAACCACTACATCATGTACCTGATGAGGTTCAGAACATGCTACCCCAAAATATAGCACCACACATATTTTAAGCTGGAGGAATTTGAGAAACCGCAGGTGCAGGCAGGACTCCCTGCCTGCCCCCTGAAGCAGGTCATAGACCCTCAAGTGGGAGGGGCCCTCCCTATATGTGGGGGACAGAGCATCCTATCTCCAAGGACACAGGGAATCTGCAATGCCCAGGCCTTGCTGTCCTCCAGCTCATGACACTTGCTTATGCTTTTTCTTGTCCCATCTCATTTTTCCAGGACTCTCCACACCTCATCAAATCCCTCAGGTTTAATTACTTCTTTAAGTCTTCATTTCCTTATGAAGAAATTATATATCTGTAATATACATATAACATATATTAAGTAAGTTTGCATGCTTTTCTCTTATTAATGTCTTTTGTTATAGGGGCCCAAGCCAAGAACTAAGAATTTTTCCTTCTCTACATACCTCATATATATATATATATATATATATATATATATATATATATGTATATATATTATATATATATATATAAAATATATATACTATATATAATATATATATAATATATAATATATATATATAATATATATATTATATATAATATATATTATATATAATATATATTATATATAATATATATATAAAATACATATATCCTTTATATATATATTATATATATGTGTATATATATATGAAATATGTGTATGTGTGTGTGTATGTGTGTTTCTTTTGCAGGAGGAGCCTCCATCTCCCCATTAGGGTATCAGCACCATTAGAGCCTGTTTTGTTTGCTGTTGTATCCCTGGGCCTCGTACAAGGCCTGGCGCGTAGCGGGGACTCAATGAGTATTTGTGGAATGAATGATCATCGTGCATGCGTAAACGACACAGAGAAGCCATAATCTATGCTATTGGATCCTGGTGTTGGTGAAAGCAGTGTCTGAATTCCCCCTGGCTGTGCCCTTGTGCTCTAAAAAAATCATAAAACCAACAAATTATTTAATATGAGATGGGAGTGAACCAAAACCTGTGAAAGAAAATGGCTTTCATGGAGAGGTGGGAAGAATTGATGTGGGTCAGGCTGAGGCCAGAGGATACAGAAGCTCTTCTCTCTCATTTCTGTTTTGCTAGTCATGATCTCCAGGAATATAAACCATTTTATCTCCTTGACACAATCTACTGGAAATGTCACATAAAGATGAAAACTAAATGAAAATTAAATAGAGCTTGCCGGCCATCAAAATCTTGCTAGAATCCCTCAAAGGTTATGTCCTTATTATGCTCCCTCAGAATAATTCCCTTACAGTAGTTTCAAAATTAAGAAACCAAAGCAATCAAGAATGCTTTGTGCATAGCCTAGAATGTATCAATGAGAATTATCATTCAGTTTTATCCAACTGAAGAATAAGAATGGTTTTACTTAAAATTCCCAGCACTCTCCTTGGAAGAGAAATGGTCACAGATCTCACTCAAGGGATCAGGCTTAGCCAAGGGAAATCACCCCACTCTTCCTTTCCAGAACCCTAGGGAGGTGGACTGTTGTGTGATTCCCCCTTCTAGATGAGGCCCTCCATCAGTCAACTGCCACCAAGCAGCTGGGGACACTGGGGAAGGGCTTCCATCCCATCAAATGCCAGAGAATCCCTAACGAATTCTATCTTAATGAATTCTGAGGAGTGTTACCCAGATTCACAGCCACCTTGATTTTAATACAAAAATCTCCCTGGGTGTTAGGAAGTTCAATGTACTGAATAATACATTTCCTATCCGTCTGCCTACGTTCTTCTGCAGGCAAAACATTCATCAGAGTAGAAGGTTTCATGGCAGATACTTTGGCTGAAATAAATTCCCACCTTGAAGTCTGTCTATCACTGGGATGTGCGTGAAGCTTCTGGCTAGCAAACTGCCTGGGTCACATGTGGCGCCTCGGAGGTAGATTCCCCAGAATCTCTGGGCAAGGCCAGAGATCCCATGGTTCTGTCCACCTCAGATTCTCAAAACACCCTCCCCTTCATGTTTGAGGCTGTCCTCCTCCTCACGTTCAAGGCTGTCTTGTTTGTCTTCCTCCTCTAAATTAGGGATTCTTTTAGGGATAACAGCCAATATTTCCTCCAGAGCACTGTCATTATTATTATTATTATTTTTTATATAGAGTCTCAGAGTGCAGTGGTGTGATCTCGGCTCACTGCAACCTCTGCCTCCTGGGTTCAAGTGATTCTCCTGCCTCAGCCTCCTGAGTAGCTGGGATTACAGGCACGCTCCACCATGCCTGGCTAATTTTTTGTATTTTTAGTAGAGACGGGGTTTCACCATGTTGGCCAGGCTGGTCTCGAACTCCTGACCTCGTGATCCGCCTGCCTCGGCCTCCTAAAGTGCTGGGATTACAGGCGTGAGCCACCGCGCCCAGCCCACTGACATTTTTAAAAATTCACCTCACTTTAAGACTCTGCCCTCCTCACTTTAACACTCTGCCCAAATCACACAATTTATGCTCACAAGTTCCAGCTTTGACTCTGATGAGTTGGGCTATAAAGTAAAAAACAAAATGTCCATTAACAGAATCTGAAAAATAAATGCTTCAGTTATTTATGGCAACACCCAATCACTGTTGCTCTCTTACAAATAAAATCTCACACGGGCTAGACGTTTCTTTTAAAGAACATTTACAGCAATGCCCAGGGATGCCAGCATCAATCAGAGGCAGGGAGAAGATGTTTGGGATAAAGGGGAAGGAGAAGCTACTCAATTAGACAGACATAAACACAGTGCATATAATTTTTGTACATCAGGGTAGAGGATTACAACTTTATCTGGGGGATAGCAGTTTAGTTCAAGAAACATTTACTTAGCACTGACTTTAGGCTGGGGCCGAGGATACAAATGGTCAAAGTCAAGTTCCTACTTTTCAGCTGTGCTCCAGGCAAGACAGTTTCAACAGCTAAGAGAAAGCCAAGGGATGATGATATTGATGATGATGGTGCTGTCACCGCAACTGCCAAGCCCCAAAGGAGCATGTGAGAGAGACTGAACGTGGCCTAGGTTAGGGCAGATGTGCAGGAAGAAAATGACCTGCTAGTATTCACCTTGGTGTCCAAAAGATAGGTTTTCTCATGAACTCAATTTTACGAGGCCACTGGAGAAACCCAGAGACCCAGGGTTATTAAACTTTAGAACCACCTTCTAGATCAGGGGTTGGTAAAGCACGGCCCTGGGGCCAAATGGGGCTGTCTGCAAAAAAAAAGTTGTCTTGGAAACACGACTCTGGCTATTTAATGACTTAACTTCATGGATGCTTTCATGCAACGAGGCAGCAATGAATAGTTGTGACAGAGATGGTATACGGCCTGCAAAGCTTCAAATATTTCCCATCAGACTGTTTGGAGAAAAGGTTTGCTGACCTCTCCCCGAAGCTACCTTTTTTCTTCTCTAGTGGTTCTCAATATTTCATCTACTTGCCACACTCTCTGTTCCCCTGGGTTTCTGTACCACCAAGCTCCCTACCACACTGTCACCGAATTTTATCAAGTAAAAAGAAACATACCCTGTATTAAGAAGGGGTTTCACTAATAAGGGGGAACCAAAAAATAAGACAAGTGACTATGATTCCAGGGCTAAATCTATTACCATGATGAAGTTTAAAGAACTAAACTTTAACTATCTGAATGCTAAACTGGCAATCTTTAAAGCAGAAAAGTTCTTGGATCCCAACTTGAAAATCCCAACGTTCTCCCTTAGCCACAGTCCTGTTCCCCAGAAGCTCACCTTTGATGTCATTAAAGCTCGTCTCTGAAAACCCTTCGCTCAGGTCAATCAGGGTCCCCTCTGACTTGCAGCGAGGGAGGCCATTGGAGTTGGCCGCTCGGATCCGCTGAGCCGCCATCTCGAAACTCGCTTCCCGGGTAAAGCCGCTAAGGCTTCATATTTCTTCCTCCAGTTATCCCAGCAGATGCTGAAGCTTCTGCCTCAAGCAAACACGCTGCGCGGCGGCATCCACTCGGCAATATGTTTCTTCCTGAAAGTAGAGGAGGAACAAAAAAGTCCCTTAAGCAAGCGAAACATGGGTTCAATGGTAATTTTATGGGAAGTGGGAATCCTCTTTCTTCCAGGCTGTTCTAATGAGGACAGACCCATTTCATCTTTCCTGGCCCAACAGAGCAGAGCAGCGCTTGCTCCTTGGCCTCTGTGCCCACTTTGTGCTTGTCTCATTGGCACACTGGGCACACACAGCCCAAGCAGTGTTTTCTGGCCGGCTGTTTGCACCTGCTCTTCTTAGGGGCGTAAGGGTGTTTGCGAAATGTGCTCCAGCACCTGGCCAGTCCATTCATTACAGTCAAAGAGGAGGACAGCGCAGGACTGTACAGTTCATGCTGCTAGCTGCAGGGCTCGGAAAAGGAAAAATCGGCCTCTGCTTGTTCAGAGTGGCTGATCCCAGCGCAGGGGCAGTCATCATGGTGACTCGGCCCCGGGAAGCAGCCATCAATGAACACAGCCCAGCAGAGGCCCCAAGGGTGATGCTCCCTACCCAATCCGCTCCTGAAATCCCCCTGCACCCCAAATAAACAATTCTAAACACAACACAGAGCGGCCATAAGGTATTCTCAATGCAACGTATGCAGATGAAACCAGGGCATATTTACTGAACCACTGTTACTAAGCAGGAAAGATCTTTCCGTGGAAGAGACCACAAGAATCACCCCTAAGGCCTCTGCTTTTTTTTTCTGGAAGGGCGCACAGACAGGACTGAAGCATGTGGGGGGTTCTGGATATGAATGAGGTGACTGGCTCTGAGCAGGCCCTTCAGCAGGGTCCAGGGAGAAGGGACAGGAACAGCAGCGAGCCGATTTCAAAGCAGTGAATTTCATGTGCTCTCCAAGAGAAACTGGCAGACACTTTCACAGCTGGCCACAGTACTTAGAGCTCTGAGCAGGCAAATCTCACCCCTATATAACTGGGCACATATACAATGGTCTGAGGTCCCTTTTTCCTCAATTCCTCTATCCAGGGACAGCTGAGAATGTAGCTTCTGACCCAGTGTGCTGCCTTTACCATGCAGAGACCCGGAGGCCCTGACACCACCCTTTGCAACGTTTCTGCAGCAGCCGGGTGGGAGCCCTGACCATCCCCACTCTTCCCCCAGGCTCCATGTGCAGTGAGCATGGCTTGGAGAGCCCCTGTGCAGTGAGCAGAGCAAGGCGTGTGTCCACATGCTGCTATAGGGACCATCTTGTGTTCAATATTTAACCCTGCCAAGTCTCAGCCACTGTCACCACTGCATCAGAAGCTGCAATCCCAGCTCCCAGTGACCGGCGGATAGTGGCTCAAGGGAGGCGTCCTTTCCATCTCAAGGCCTCAGAAGGCTGCATTCTGCACCTGAACGCTGTCTGGAGAGAAGGCATGTGTTACGGACTGAACTGTGTTTCCCGAAACTCCTATGTTGAAGGTCTGTCCCCTAATGTGATGGCACTGGCAGGTGGGGCAGTGGGGAGTAGTTAGAGTTAGAAGAGATCATGAAGGTGGGGTCCTCATGATCAGATCAGCGCCTTTATTTGAGACACCAGAGAGCTTCCGTTCTCTCTCCCTCTACCACGTGAGGACACATGAAGCCAGGAAGAGGGCCCTCCTAGGAACAGAGTTGGCCAGAGCCTTGACTTTTGACTTCCGGCCTCTGGAACCGTGAGAGATGAGCCTCCCTTGCTGGGCCACCGGGGCTGTGGTGCTTGAATGCAGCAGGCGGCAGGAGAGGAGGGCATGGTGGCCACCTCTCTGGGGAGCGGCAGAGCTGCCCTGCTGGGGGCCCTTCCCTTAAAAAACACCTACCTGAGCCCAGCCCCGCCGTCTCTCCTACCCAGCAGTGTAAGGAGGGGCAGAGTGGAGGCCAGCACTCACCCAGGCCAGTTATTCACAGGAAGGAATGAAGCTGTTCTCCCCAAACTGGGTGGTCACAGATGTTTCCATCTTTCCCCATGAAGTTACGACGGTCAGGTCTGTGTGCTTATTCCCTATTCCCGGCCCCTGAGAACTACGCCTTGGGGAGAACCCCGGACGCCCTGGACCGAGACTCCCTGGCTGGCAGTGACGGTGCTCATGCCAGGAGGAGGCCTCCTTCCACCCCACACTCCACCCCTCTGCTGGGGTCTGGCACGCTGAGGCTCAGCGCTGACGGCACAGCACCCTCGCCCCCTACCAGAAGCAGTGACCAAGTAGCTCTGAATGCACAGCCTGCGTGTAGAGCTGGATGAAGGGGTCTTGCCGCCACGTGAGAGACCACCCTACCACAGCCAGGCAGCCCGGCAGCCCCGAAATGCAAGGGCCACGTGTGCAAGCCCCCGGGCTGCTTGGAGGCCACTGTGGAGACCCCAGTGATGGCCACCTCCAGAGCAGCCTGACTTCAATAGGCTGAGTGAGGAGTAAAAATCCTTCCCATACAAAAATGCGGGATCATTTACTGAAGAGAATCGATGCAGAAAGAAAATGAAGAGACCCATGAGTGGGTGAGGGGAGGAGCTTCAGGACAATCTCCAGCCCACAACTGGTACTTGCCATGTGGCCTTTCACGTGTGACGGTGACAGTTCCTGCCTGAGAGTCTCCATCTGACTGCACCCGAGGAGGAGGAAAAATCAGGGGGTGTCAGCTGTGAGGGCAACTGGAGCCCACCTGCCCATCCTGTCAGGGACTGGGGTGCTCCCACCCCCACCAGTCCAGAGCTACTCCGAGGACTGCGCCGGGTGAGGCTCTGGGTCACAGTGGCCAAACGAAGACTCCTGTTAATCACCAATGTGTGCTCTTCCCACTGGGCCCACAACTCTCCTGCAGAAGGGAAAGGGTTGCCTCGGCCACCTCGGCCACCGCGCCGCCTCATGACTATAGCATTGCCTGGTTTCACATTCATGCCAGGAGGAATTATTTCATGGAGGGTTAACAAAAAGTCCATCTGGGCACAAGAGGGAGGCATTCCCAAAAGCTTCCAGGCATGTCCTGGCTCTGCAAAGCTGTCAGCAGAGATGGGCATCAGGCATCTGGGGCTCCACGCAGGCTGCTCAGGGCATCGCCAGCCCTGGTGGGGCCTAGGGCGGTAACAGGAACTGTTACCTGGAGAGCACGACTGGCCACCTAGTGGGGCCCAGAGAGCTGCCCATAGAGGGTGAGATGCCAGTGAGTGTTCAGTGAGAAGGAGGAGGCCCAGAGGCCTGTGGAAGGCCTAAGAACAGGTGGGCACAGTGAAGACCTGGCCCTGCAAGTGTGGAGGGGCTAGAGGGATGGAGGGGCTGTGGTGGAGCCCACAGCAAAGGCGGGAGGCCAGGTAAGCTGGCGGAACGCGGTGGTGAAGGGTCAGTCTTGTCCAGGAGACCCTGGGAAGCCACTGCAGCTTTCCGATTGAGGAGGAGAACTCTGGCTGTAGAAAAGGGCAAGATGGAAGCAGCAATGTCGTTTTCTTTGAAAACTACTGACATATGGCCTCCAGCGCCCTGGGAGCAGAAGAAAGAAGTCACAGAACTGCACACGTGCTTTCTGGAGATGCACCAGTGTGTGTGTTTATTATTGATGATGGGGTATGGCCACTCCCCTGAACCAGTGATGAGACAAAAAGCTAAAGTGTTTGCAGTTCTAGAAAGAGATCTGCAGTCCTCTCCCCATAGAGGAAACCATTCAAGGAAGACGAGTCAACAACTGTGGACTCTGCCACCCTCTCCCCTTTTCAGGCCGAGAGAAGCCAAGCAGGGAAGTCCCACTC
This sequence comes from Homo sapiens, assembly GCF_000001405.40. Classification (NCBI taxonomy): domain Eukaryota; kingdom Metazoa; phylum Chordata; class Mammalia; order Primates; family Hominidae; genus Homo; species Homo sapiens. The sequence goes on along the minus strand of NC_000002.12, from coordinate 235,031,149 downwards.
CCAGGGCCCAGAAGCCATCATGTTCCCACGGGCACCACTGAGCTCACTCACAGGCAGCCCTCCCCTCCACATAGCAGGTGGGAGACGTGTGTCCTGTGGTCCTCAATGCTCTGTAAATCCCCAGACTGACAGCTTCCTCCCCAGGGCCAGAGGGAGGCCATCCTTGAGTGTAGCTGTAACACCCATCCAGACATTCAGGGGTGAGTAACAGAGGTGCCCCCTGTCCGCACCCTTGGGGCCGTTTTTACAGTACAGAAAGAGGGCAGCCAGCCCTGGTGTGGACTGAGTGCAGAGGGCTCTCCACTCCCAAAACCTTCCTGAGCAGGTGGAGTCACACCGAGGGCTGAAAGGGAAGCTCTGCTCCTCCAGACACCACTGCATCTACAGGGGGCTGGCACGGGATGGAGAATGCAGCCAGCATCCCAGGGCTGCCCTGTGTGCTCCTCACTGGGATGTCAGCTCTGTCCTCTTTCCTACAGCAGAATCCTCTCCCCTCCCACCCCTCCTCCTCCTCCCAGCTCAGCCTGGTGTGGCCACGCTCACTGGCCACCTCTGGGTGATAACCTCTCAATCTCCCCTGGATCACCCACTTCCCCCGATGGATTCTAACGGCATCTAACAACAGACGTGGACGCTGACGGTTATGTGTCCTCCCCTTACAGCACAGGCTGCGCTCATAGCTCCACCAGGCACCATCCCACTGCGTCCTCAAGGGCCCTAGGCAGCAGGTACCAGACTTGGCTGCACTTTACAGATTCCATGAAAACGGGCTTGGAGAGATCACTAAAGCAACTTGCCCAGGGTAACGCAGCCAAGATGTGAGCCTGACAAAACACTCTCTGCTCCCAGTCTTGCTAACTATTTCTTCCCACGCCCAGAGTTGCTCAGGCCTTCGCTGCCAGTGGCTGCTGGGCCCCTGGAGCTCCTCAAGCTCCTCACCATCCACCTCTGGTGAGCCCTTGATTTTCTCAAAGCCATGCTGCTGCCCTGCTACAACACTTCTGGACAGTGCTCACCGCTTTTAAAAAAATCAGTCTGCTCTCCCCTGGCCTGAGATGAAAAGACCCCCACTACTCAGTCTCCACCTGTACCTCCAGGGTTACATATTGCCGATCTCAACCCTTCAATCAATCACTGGCCACATTCGCTGGAACTTGCTGTGTCTCCAGCTGGCCCAACACCGTCCACCTCTGCATTGTTCCTTCAACCTCACCCAAGCTTCCAGGAAGCCCATCTTCTCTCTCCTCATCTCTTAGCTCCGCTGATTCCCAGCCCTGTGAGGTCCTAGAGTGACCCATCAGTGCATGGACTGTGGAGCACAGGTAGCCCAGAGCCCACGGCCCAGAGCCTCAGATCCGACTCGCCCATCCCGAGTGCCGCACCCGTGAACTGGTCCTTGCTTTATTAGAAAAGGAGTAAAAGGCACAATGCTGTGATTGACTTTATAATGAGCTCCCGAAGGTTCATTATGCTATCTTTCCTAAAATTATGTACTTGTATGAAAATGTGCACAATAAAACATTTTTAAGATTAGAAAATATTAGGAAACATACATTAGCTACCTTCCCAGGCACGTGCCATGAGAGAGAATGGTGTGTTTGTGGGTGTGGCTATCTCCCCTTGGCTAGGAAAACTGCTAAGGAGCCACCAACTCAAATGCCCAGGCAGCCTGAGCCCCCTCAAAGCACAGGTGGACATGGCTGCATTCCCATTCTTTTAACAAGTGGTTCCTGAACCTCAGACTCAGACACCCACCTGCCCACCAAGCGCTCCCTTCAGTACCTAAGGTGCATCTTGAATTTCCTGGATCCAAAGCCAACTCTGGAGCTTGCCCCAAACCCCTGCCCCTGGCCTCACCCATCTCAGCCATGCACGGCAGCTCCATCCAGCCATCCAAGAAGCCCAGCATCCCTCTCCGTCTTCCCTGCCCCGTCCCTCTCTCATGCACTCCTGGTGGCTCCACCTGCAGAACACAACCTCTGGCTGACCTCTCCCCAGCACATCCACACCACCGTCATCTCTCGATGCAATTACAGTCATCAGCTCCTCTCCAGCAGGCCTGCCTGCGGCCTGGAGTCCACCCCTCAATTAGCAGCCGGAACATTTTGAAAAGTCAGTCAGACACCCTCCAGACTCTGTTTGAAACCCTCCAAAGGCTCCTGGGCTCTCATCAGCAGCTTCCAGTGCCCTAGAAGCCCAACATCATCAGCCCCTGTCCCATTTCCTGCTGTTCTCTGCCTTCCTCCACTTGACTCTTCTGGTCTCCATGAAGTTCCCCAGGTACCAAGCCCCTCCCACCACGGGGCCTTTGCACATGCAGTGCTCTCAGCCCAGAAGGCCCCAGCCTAGACACGAGATGCTCTCATCCCCTCACTTCATTCAGGTCTTTGCTCAAATGTCAACACAACCGGCCCTCACCCCATCCTCTTTCTCTGCCCTTTACCACCGCTAGACACACCATGCACAGACTTGTCCCTGGCCCAATTTCTCCATGAGAATCTGAGCATTCCCAGGACATAAGACCATCTGTTTGTCTTTTTCTGCTCCTGTCATGTGCATGGTTGGCTCTCAAACCCGAATGAATGAACGAATTCGGTTTCAACAAAGATGACTGTTTCAGAGGTAACTCGGTAGGTATCTCTGGGATAATCTTTAAGGGAGCCAAATGGCTGATGTGATAGGATTATACTCAGGAGACTGAATTTAGGAATTCTACTCTGTTCCTGAAACCTAAGCCACACATTCTCAAAACACCAACAGGTTCCCTTGGTGGGCACCTCGGGTTTACCTGGACAGCCCAACAAGCTTGACCACCGTCTACTCAGCAGGTCCCAGTGGTCACTTCTCCAGGACAGCCTGCAGTTGCAGGGCCCACCCTGGGCAGGACAGCCACCACTGGATCTCAAGACCCCCTAGAAGAGCAGGCTCCATCTCACCTCTTCACCTCCCAGCCGGGGTCAGGTCTAGGAAGACAGGAAGGCGCATTTGAGCTCATAACTGATAAGTTTTTCCTTTTTCTGTGCAAAGGCTGATTCATCCAGAGACAAAAGAGGCTGCTCTTGGCTCCTCCCCAGGAACCAAGAGGGCAGCGTCTGAACAGACAACATCACTGCATACAGAAGGAATCACTGACAGATTCCGGCGGCAAACTCAAGAAGCCGCACACACCCCCTCCGCTACGGCTGCTGTCACGCCACGCATAGACTCCAGATCACAGAATATTCTCCCTGTGGCCTCTGCCAATGATCTACCCCAAGGAACAATTAGAGAACAAACCAATCCAGAAAAACCAACCTAACGAGAGCATGTCTGGGGCGGAGAAGGTCTTAGGGAAACCTCAGGCTGAGCGCACAGACTGTTCACGTTCTCCTCCGTTCTCCTGCGGCCACGAACCTGAACGCTGCAGAAGGAAAGCAGCTGGCCTGGAGGGGATCGAGGCATAAATGCTGCCCTTGCTCCTCCCCTGCCAATTCCCTGTGTGCCCTGTTTAGAATGACTCATTCTCCATGTTTGATGATAATTTCTGGAGTATCATGTTGATTTCATCAGATTTCCTCCGGGTTAGAAAACAAAAAGCGGGAGATTCCACCTGCTCTCTGTAATTTCTGTCACCAGCTCTGTCGATGGAAACTCATCACATCTGCTCATCTCCCTCCGCGAGCAAGAGTGCATTCCGGAGGACCCTAAAACCCACAGACATTCCGCCCCAGCAGGTCGGTCCTCCTGTTACTGACGGCCTGACACCCAGCACCCCGAGCTTTGGACCCCGTTGCTATAGTGGAGAAGCCTTCGGGGCCTGGGGTGGGTGGGAGGGACTCCTGGCTTTCACAGAGTCACTTGATGGGACCACGAGGAGACCACGGGGTTAACACCCCAGCCTCCTCTCTCACTCCAAAGGCAAAATCACGGAAATCTGCCTCCTAGTCCTGATCCGACTGGTCTGGGCAACAGCCCAAGTAGAGTCAACACCCGACTGGTGTCCCTCCCAGGATGCTTCTGGGCGTGGCTTGGCAGGGAATGCAAGGCTACGACTCAGGGCGAGGACCAGCCCAGGTGCAGTGAAATCCAAACCTTTCCCGCCACCTTAGCAGATGCCCCGCCTGTTACAGAAGCCTGATCAGCAGAACCTTTCCTAATGCTCCTGGAGCACTGTCTATCGTCATATCACCCTGAACGTGCCTGATCTCGCCTAATGCACCCAGGGCACAGGAGGAACATGCTGCCTGGGGCTCGGGCGGGCTGCCTCTTCCTGGGGGAGAAAACAGCAAGGCCCATCGGAAGGCATGGGCAGCCACCGACAGGCACGCCAGCCGATCAGACTCACTCACAGTGCCCCTCTGGGTGCATTTCCCTAAACAACTGAGTTCAATTTAGGAGGTAGCAGCGGTTATTCAGAGCCAAGACCACGCCACAGGGTGAAAAAATGAGGAACGAGGGCAGGACCACACGTTCCAGTCTGAGTTTGAGAAAGGTGGGCATATCCTGGGTGCCACATCTACCTGGGACTACGCACAGAGGTCACCTTAGTGAACATCTACGGAGTGCCAGGCTCTAGCAACGAGGCTCTGTGCTCAAAACTAGGGACAGAAATAAATGGAAGAGAGTTGGTTTTGAGGGAACCCGTATTGGAGACAAATCAACAAAAGAATGGAAGACCTGGAGGGGAAGGAGCGCTAAGGTTCTCTGTGCCAGACACCGGGTTATAACTTGCACACATTCAAGGCTTAACTGTGGGTGCCAAGCTGGTGACTCAGACTCCAGAGATGCGGGGAAAACAAGGGCCATGAGTCGTCACTAGGTGTTCCTTGCTTGCTCAGTTTTTATTGTAAAAAGTGAGATGGCTAGCGCGGCTGGAGTCATGATTCCAGATGTTTTCACTGGCCAGACTGAGAACATCTGAGGCTGGGGATCCCCCGACAGGTCAGGAAGAGGAGGGGAGGGCGTGTGAATCCCTCTTCAAGGCCTGAGCTTCTTACCTGGCCTCCTCCCTTTCCTGCCTCCCCTCTCCTCTGCTTCCTCTATTCCTGGCCCCATCCCTCCCCCATCCCCTCTGTAGGGTTGTTCTCAGCACACTGCACAGATCCCAGAATCTCCTTGCATTCAAAGCAACCATTACTTCAGACTCTTCAGAGGCCCCCACAGTCTGTGGGAGACATTCTAAGCTTTCCAGATTCTTCACACCTTCCTCCGTACATCCCATGCACTCACCAAACACAGCTACTGTTTCTTCCAAAACATCTCCAGACCTTGTGCCTTTCTTCCCACCCACTTTCTTGAAGACCCAACAGGGCTCCCCATTTCTATAACATCAAAACCTACCGATTGGAGAATGACCCCCTGAAACAGTGCCTTTGCCTTTGCAAATGGAAGTCCACCTCTTTTCCTAGCTCTCCTGGACACCCGTCATCATCTCTAGGCATTTACTGCTTTTATCCCAGGCATCGCACTGTTCATCGTGCTTGTTATTTTTTCTTAGTTCCCTAACTACACTCGTTTCCTTGAAAGCTGGTGACTTGGCTGCTCTGTCTTTATAATTTTCCAGCATTGAGCGCAGTGCCCAGCCCAAGCTTGGATTGTCTCCCACAGACTGCGGGGGCCTCCGAAGCTTGGTGCTTGGTGCCATCTGTGGCACGGATGACTGTTGCGCTCAGACATTAATTCAGCATCACGTGCATTCAGGACCAGTAAATACACAAGGGAAAGCAGGACCCGGACCTTCCCTCGGCTGCTTATCATTAAGCTGGAAAGACACACACATGAAACCAATGCCACAGGAGAGGGGTGGGGGCCCCCACCATGTCTTCTGGGTGTGGATGGGACTGGAAGTCCGCAGACACCTTGGCTCGCTTCCCTAGTGCGCTCCTGGGTCAAAGCTCTTCACCTACATCTTCCTTCCCCGCCCTCACCCTGCCGCTGAGAATCATGAAGAGCTCACAGACACACCAGTGTGTACCTGTCAAGTGCTCATCAAGCCTGGGGTTTAGGCAGACATTTGTGGCAATGGGCTGCTGTCAGCCCCCTTGAATCACATGGGAAGGCTGGCCCGCCCGTGTCAGATGGCTGACAGCAAACAGGCTGTGAAGCAGGACCCTGTGATCAGCCCAGACCAGAAATACTTCCAAGCTCTGGTCCCCAGCCAGTGACCAGAAATAAAAAGTGCAACTATCTCTGAAGACGTTTTAAGAGCAGCAAGCAGAGAGGCCCATTCATTTGACTGGGGCTGGCCAGAGGGTTGTACTCAGACTCCCGGCTCCCACCTGCCACTTAAGACCGCAAAGCTTCGGCACTGGAAGGATTTGTGCCCTCCAAACACTACTCACTGACTTACCATCTTCTTTAAAAAAAAATCAACTGTTATTAATACTTCTTTATCAATCAACCCGCTTTTTACAACTTGATAGATCTTTTCTAGTACACATTAACTCAAAGGAATGTTTTAAAGTGCATCTTAGGTGCCATTCTGAAAACCGCAGAGCTAGCCAGCCCCACACATACATCTTACAGATGAGAAAACTGAGGCCTCACTTTTATTGAAAGGGGCTTTCCCTGATGAAAATGCTGGATCTGAAGAGGCTGGAGAGGGGGAGGCGGCTTCTAGGGTTTAATACTGTTCCTGATTCTACCAACAGTTCTCATTAGTGACACACACATGCCATGTCTGAGGCTCAAGGAATTTCATACTGTGAGGACGTGAGTGGAGCCCTGAAGCCAAAGCAGCCATGAGGATGCCACAGTCGTTGCAAAAAGCCACAAGCAGAAAGCAAAGCCCACCCAGTGGATCTGCTGAAAAAGCGCCAACACACCCCAGGATGCCTGACCTGCCAACCCCATGCATGCAAACTGTGGATGGGCCCTCAGGGCGTCGCTTAGGAGAGATGACTTTGCAAGGTGTCACTCGTTAGTTTATTGTTTTAGCCTCTGCCTCTCAGCCAGACCTTCAGCCACAAAGAAAGGGAGCAACTGCAGTTTTAACCACCAGTTTATCAAGAATCTGGCCTCTAAGCAATGAGTACAATTTGTGAATGAATGAATGAATTTCCTTACTGAAGAGCTCACATGTCCATCAATTACTAATCGAGATATCTAGAGCAAAAAAGCAATGAAAAATCCATCCTTGACCAATATTTATTAAGAAAATGAGAGGGGACAGAATTCCTGTCCCTCCTCCCCTCCCACTGTCCCTCAATATACCCGTCTTTAGGAAATCAAAGACGTAGATAAAGTGCTTGGTGACATGGAGATGGGAGCAACCTAGTTCCTCACACAGAGCTTGAGGGCACCGAATCTCCAGAAACAGCTGTGCAGCCATTACAATTCTTCTTAGGCTATTTAATAGAATGGAAAATCCATACAACATAATATTTAAAAATTTAAATCCACAGATTGTATAATAAAATCTTCTACTTTGTTTTCAAAAAAATACCTTTTATAGAAAAAGAAGAGTAAATTCCACACTGAATGCTAACTTTATCTCTAGGTAGCAAGTGTATGGAGAGCTCTTTTCCTCTTCAAAATTTTCTTAATTTTCCTAAGATTTTTCTACAATCAAAAACGCTTTTTATAAAATGAATTTCCATTCTTCTCACCCCCCACCCCACCGCCCGAGATGGAGTCTCACTGTGTCACCCAGGCTGGAGTGCAGTGATGCGATCTCGGCTCACTGCAACCCCCACCACCCGGGTTCAGGCAATTTCCTGCCTCAGCCTCCCAAGTAGCTGGGATTACAGGTCTCCACCACCATGTCCAGTTATTTTTTTGTATTTTAAATACAGACAGGGTTTCACTATGTTGGCCAGGCTGGTCTTGAACTCCTGACCTCAGGTGATCCACCCGCCTCAGCCTCTCAAAGTGCTGAGAGTATAGGTGTGAGCCACCGTGCCCAGCCTGAATTCCCATTATTATTCTGAAATATGAGGCCTTGATTCCAGCAGGTCTTTGCAACTTTGTAAGGCCATGCTACGAGCAAGTGAAAAGGAGGCCAGCTGAGCTGATTCTGGACGCTCTCAGATACTTGACTGAGCACCTCTAATTGTGTACTAATCCTGGTGGATCTAACTCCAGGATTCCCAACTCCAGCTCTGTGATTTGGGGAAAGTCATTTTGCCGTTACATGAAAATAAAGGTACACCTATTTCTCCTGGCCTTATTACTCCACTAAGTAGGAGACATGGGCTACTGGCTAGAAAGATGTGAGGAGGGACAAGGTCAAGGAGTGGGGCCCAACCAGACCCATCAGGCCCCAACTGCAACTCTGCAGAGGGAGCACCACCCTGACCCTGCTCCTCCCAGCAAGACTGCCACATTTTTGCTAGTGTAAGTGGCACAGCAGTGATCATCTTTGTATCTAATCATACTCCATATTTTGGGTTATTTTCTTAGGACTGCTTTCAAGTAGAGTAGGAAGGGTTGCCAAAAGCAGTCCTGGAAGACTGTGACAATCCATCCTCTCAACAGCGGCGGGTGTCCAGTTCTCACCCCTAACTAGCAGGTCAAGAAAAGCCTTGCTTATCTGACAACGAGGGGATGGGCCGTCAATGTCTCGATTCACCCGCTTTCAACATTTCAATCCACCCTCCTTTGACCATTAGTCAGAAATAGTTCAAGTATCAACTACTACTTTTTTTTTTTGGAGACAGAGTCTCGCTCTGTCGCCCAGGCTGGAATGCAGTGGCACGATCTTGGCTCACTGCCGCCTCCACCTCCCTAGTAGCTGGGACCACAGGTGTGCGCCACCACACCTGGCTAATTTTTGTATTTTATTAGAGACGGGTTTTCACCATGTTGGCCAGGCTGGTCTCAAACCCCTGACCTCAAGTGATCTGCCCGCCTCGGCCTCCGAAACTGCTGGGATCACAAGTGTGAGCCACCACACCCGGCCAAGTAGCAACTACTTCTTATGTCCTACCTTGTGGATTATCATTTTGCACCTTCTGCTCAATTACATCCTAAAATCTCAGCAGGTCGGCTGCAAATATCTCCCCCACTCTGTGCTTGCTTGCACTAATCCATTTGGTAATTTGATAAAGTCTCAATTATTTAATCATATCAATCTTTCCTTTGTCATTTCCCCTTGATGCACAGAAAGGCCTCCCTTGATGACAAATTCAATAAACATTCACATCTATTTTCCTTTACTTAAAAATAAAAGGTTTGTGGACTGACATTAATGTACAAAGAATTTATTTTGCTTCTCGGGGAGGGATGTTACAAAATTAACTAGCAAACAGATGAGCAATTACTCCTGCATGAATTCCTGAACAATTTGTCCCCTTCTGACTCATGTGATGTCATCTTAATGCATTTTTAAATGTGTACAGACACTAGGGTCTGAATCGGGGCTGTTCTGTGTCATTAGTTTGCCTATATTTACCACAATATCAACCTTTATTTAACCATGATAGTTCTGCTGTGTTGGACTACATGGAAGGTCTGGCTTCTATGCACTATTCTATTTCAAAGTCCCATCAGTTATTTTTACCTTTTTTTTCTTCCAAATAAACTTTATTATTATCATTTTTTTTTTTTTTTTTGGAGACAAAGTCTCACTCTTTCACCCAGGCTAGAGCACAGTGGCATGATCTTGGCTCACTGCAACCTCTGCCTCCTAAGTTCAAGGGATTCTCCTGCCTCAGCCTCCTAACTGGGATTACAGGCATGTGCCACCATATCTGGCTAATATTTTTTGTATTTTTTTTTTTAGTAGAGACAGGGTTTCACCATGCTGGCCAGGCTGGTCTCAAACTCCTGACCTCAAGTGATCCACATGCCTCAGCCTCCCAAAATGCTGGGATTACAGGAGTGAGCCACTACACCCGGCCCTCTTCCAAATAAACTTTAGAATAATTTAATAAAATGTCTCCCACCATCTCATTTGTGCAAAAACATATTCCCACTGGGATTTCCTGGGTACTGCTTTACAAGAAGTGACATCTTTATACTATTCCATCTTTTCTTCCACAAATGTGGTTGGGTCCCCATTGATTTAGATATGAGTCCCAGAGCAGTGTAGGGCAGAGACGGCCAAACTTTTCCTGTAAAGGGACAGAGAGTAAATTAAGCTTTGTGGGGCCATATATTCTCTGTCACAAAGACTCAGCTCTGCCCTTGTGGTCCAAAAAAAGCTGTAGATGATACAAATAAATGAGTAGGATCATGTTCCAACAAAAATGTATTTATAAAAAATAGGAGGCAGACTACAGTTTGCCCCTCCCTGGTGTCAAGATTATGAGGGTGGGACACTCTGCCTAGAGTCTGGCTGATGGACTTGGGGCCTTGGCACTACCAATCACCAGCTGGGAGGCTCAGGACAAAAATCACTTGCCCTTGAAAGGACTCCTTAGCTGCAAAATGGAAACAATGAAAACACAATGAGATAATAGGTACACAAAAAGCACTTCTTCTAGGGTTGATGTTATAACTGTTGGGTAACACCAGCACTACCACCAACAACTACTAGCTGTAGTAGTAACAGCAGTAGTCGGAAGAGGACTCAAAATGTTTTCTTTGCAGAAAACATTTTTAATACATTATGATATTTTAAATTTGGGTTTGGATGTTGTCATCGCCATGAATGCCGTCTCCTTTTCCGATTATATTTTCAGGAGATTATTGCTGCAAAAGAGAAGTCACTTATTTTTTCTGCTCTTTTTTTTCCAGACAGGGTCTTGCTCTGTCACCCAGGCTAGAGTGCAGTGGTACAATTTCGGCTCACTGCAACCTCTGCTTCCTGGGTTCAAGCAATTCTCCTGCCCCTGTCTCCTGAGTAGATGGGATTACAGGCACGCGCCACCACGCCTGGCTAATTTTTGTATTTTTTGGCAGAGACAGGGTTTCACCATGCTGTCCAGGCTGATCCTGAACTCCTGACCTCAAGTGATCTGCTGCCTTGGCCTCCCAAAGTGCTGGGATTATAGGCATGAGTTACTGAACCTGGTCAAGAAGTCACTTATTTCTATATCTAGGCATTTTCAATTCAGTAACTAAAATCTTGTTTTAAAGACACCCATTCCTACAAACCTGCTTCAGGGCAAGCCAGAGTCTGCCCAGCTCAGTGGTGTCTGTTTCACTGCCTTTCCCGTTCTTTCTCTTATGTCGCAAAGAAGAATCTTCCTAGATTCGGTGGCTCTCCCTCGGGGGGTCCACAAGCTCCAGCTTGAGTTTCTTTCTCATAATCTGATCAATAATCAATTCAAATATCATTTACAAAAACATTTCCATATAGAACATGTAACTTGCTTTTGTCTCTTTTAAAGATTTTTTTTTTTTTTTTTTTTTTTAAGAATCTTTAGAGTATAGTTTGGGAACTCTGGCCTCAGATCTCTCATCTGGAAAAGGAGGAATGGAATGGACCACCTTCTAGATTGAGAAGGTAGCAGCAGCAGAAACAGTGGTGACAATAGAACTCACCCTTCCCTGGCCAGGCGTGGTGGCTCACACCTGTAATGCCAGCACTTTAAGAGGCTGAGGCGGGCAGATCACCTGAGGTCAGGAGTTCGAGACCAGACTGACCAACATGGTGAAACCCCATCTCCACTAAAAGTAAAAAATTAGCCAGGTGTGGTGGTGCATGCCTGTAATCCCAGCTACTCAGGAGGCTGAGGCAGGAGAATCGCTTGAACATAGGAGGCGGAGGTGGCAGTGAGCTGAGATCGCGCCATTGCACTCTAGCCTGGGCAACAAAATCGAAACTCCATCTCAAAAAAAAAAAAAAAAAAAATTCGCCCTTCCCACCGTCAAGCCCATCATCCTCACACAAGAGGCTTTCCCTGCATCTCTCCCTTTCTTCTGCCCCCAATCCAGCCCACTGTGTCCAGTCAGTGTGATCGCCAGTGTATTCCAGTCTGATCTCCTCTCTCTATTACCTGCTCCCGGCTGTGTGCACCATCACTCACCTGAGTGCCCTGCAGCGCCCTCCTGGGCTCCCTGGTTCCACTCCCTCCACCCACCCACCAACAAAACCATTCTCCTTAGGGCACCCTGCAAATTAAGTCTCTCCAAGGGCATCTCGCTGCATTCAGAACAAAATTTCACCTCTTGACTAGGCCCCGAGGCCCTGCCTGACTTTGCTCCTTCCTGGTGCACAACGGAACTGTTCCTGCCCCAGGACCCTTGCACTAGCTGTTCCCTCTGGCAGGCAAGCACTGCTCCAGAACGTCACTTGGCTGATAACTTTTGCCACCCAGATCTCAGGCCAGTGTCACTGCTCCAGAAAGGTCTATCTGACCACTCGCCACTGCAGCCCTGCTCAGCGGGTTTTGCTGTTTTCTTGAGGGCACATGACTTACCTCAATCAGCTTTGTCTTTAGGTCTTGTCTATTTCCTGGCTCCCTCTGGAAGGTAAGCTCCGTGAACAAACTCCGTTCCCAGATGTGCCCCGATTCCCAGAACAACACCAGGTATGACTCAGTCACTCAGGAAAATGGGTTTAAAAAAGTAACTGGAACCCAAAGGCAGCATTGCACACCAAAGGGGACCCCCAGAGCACCCCAGTCCTGCCTCCCTTTCTCCCAGAAGTACTTCACTGTGGAAACAACAGTCATCTAAATTACTCGTAATAATACCTATCTTTTTTGCTCAAAACTTTCAGGAATGTTTGCTTGCAAAGATCATGGAGGGGTGGAAGAATGATTTACCTATTCAATAAAGCCTCCCTGAAGGCAAGCTTATGCCAGAAGCATGCTAGATGCTGTGGTAACTAACATTGGTGTTTAAGAGGGAAGTGGCAGCTTTTCCTATTCACCTGCCCAGAGGCCTGAACCTGGCTATTGCACACTGGCCTGGGAGGGACAGCCTGTACCCGTACCCCACGAGACTAAAATAGGCACAGGGACTGCTGTTTTGTTTGATTTATTGCTCTACCAAGCCCCCTGCCCAATCCCCTGGCTTCTGGAACTGCACCTCACTCCCAGCAAGCACCCAGACTCTGTAGAATGAACTCAGGGCCATGGTCTGATACAAGTTACATGGAAACAATCACCTCATCCAACTTTCTTCCTCCTGCAACCTCCCTGCCCCACACCAAGGGTTTGGCTACACCATAAGCCACTTAGACCCTTGAACACAGGTAATCCAAGACCCTGTAAGCTCTCGTCTGCCCCCGCTCACCCTGGGCCATGGAGATCTGCCAGGGCCCCAGAATTAGGGCCTGTGTCTCACTTCCGTACAGAATGTTTATGTAGGTGGTGTTGATAGGACCCAAGACACTAGGTACCTACAGTGCTTTCTGCTCCAGTGGACCCACCAAGAGTCTTGCTGCGTTTCAGGAAGAACCAAAAAAACTGGTTGAATATCAACCATTTGATGTCGTTCAACCTAAAACCAACATTCTAAAATAATTCATTACAGATTTAATGTGGCACTGCCTCTAATTTCCTGAGAGGGATTTTAATGCTGATAACACTACACCCATATGAAAAAGCAGGGGAGGGGGCCTGACACACGGCACCCAGTGAATGACACTGGGCCCCTGGAGGGCAGGAGAGATAAGCACGTGTGCAGAAATATCAATGCTCACTCATGTCGATAAAGCAACTTATGCCCAGTCACTCATCCTGAGAAGACAGATGGGAAGCCAGACACAAAAGCTCAAGATAACCCCACAGATGACGGTGAAACTGATTAATTAAAGTCTGATCTATGGATGACAGAATGCCAAGCAGCCATTAATATGGCTTAGGAAAGGATTTCTTTTTTTTTTTTTTTTTTGAGACTGAGTCTCGCTCTGTTGCCCAGGTTGGAGTGCAGTGGCACGATCTCAGCTCACTGCAACCTCTGCCTCTTGGGTTCAAGCAATTCTCTGGCTCAGCCTCCCAAGTAGCTGGGATTACAGGTGCCCACCACCACACTTGGCTAATTTTTGTATTTTTAGTAGAGACAGGTTTCACCATCTTGGCCAGGCTGGTCTTGAACTCCTGACCTCGTGATCCACCCACCTTGGCCTCCTAAAGTGCTGGATCTCACCCAGCCAGGAGAGGATTTTAAAATACGAGAAATGTGAATATATTAAGTCTTAAAGTATTTTACCAAACAATAGTATAGCATAGTCTCAATTTTCTTTGGGTACATGAGAAGGCTATATACCAAAAAAAAAAAAAAAAAAAAAAAAGAAAGGCAAACAGAAACTCGCTGCCGAAAGTGAGATCTGGGTGATTTATGTTGTTGCTTGTAATTTTCTCTGTGTTCCCTGTATCTTCTGAAGTCAACGTGTTTTGCTCTCAAGGGAAGTGTCAAGTGGCATCCCCATCCCCCATAGACAGAAACCCGCATCTCTGCATTAGCTCGGAAGGGATGGATGGATGGATGGATGGTTGGATGCACAGACAGATAGAAGGGTGAATGAAAAGATGAGTTGAGGTGGCTCACACCTGTTATCCCAGCACTTCGGGAGGCCGAGGTGGGTGGATCATGAAGTCAGAAGATCGAGACCATCCTGGCCAACATGGTGAAACCCCATCTCTAATAAAAATACAAAAAAATTAGCTGAGCATGGTGGTGTGCGCCTGTAGTCCCAGCTACTTGGGAGGCTGAGGCAGGAGAATCGCTTGAACTCACGAGGGCAGAGGTTGCAGTGAGCCGAGATTACGCCACTGTACTCCAGCCTGGTGACAGAGTGAGACTCTGTCTCAAAAAGAAAAAAAAGAAAAGAAAAGAAAGGACGAGTGAATGGGCGGTGGTGCTGAGGGCGGTCAACTCCCCAGGCCCAGCTTAGCATTCAGCATCACCAGACACTTCCAGTCACAGAGGAAAGTGTTCCCTTTCTAAGTACAACACCGCAGCACACCCAGTACAACACATGCTCAGGTGACTTACAGGAAAATTGCCTGGCCTTCCAAATCCCTTCTTACACAGAAGCAGCAGAAAACAAAGCACCTCTTACTTTCATTCCTCAGATGTGCCTCGTGTTTTTGGCCCAGGTCTCTGTCCATGTGGTTACGTCCATCACAGCAAGCTCCCCTGGGCCCAGTGCAGTGGCCACCTTAACTACCCCTCTCCCCTCACTTCTCCTCCCCCCACCCCCCACCCCTTGCTGTGACATCTAAAGATGTCTCCAGACATTATTTAATATCCCTGGGTGGGGAAGCAACTCTCCCAGAACTATCGCTTTAATCTGAGCTTCTTAATCCCAGCCAAATGTGTGTCCCCCAAATCTCTGCCACGTACCCCCATGTGACTGATGCTGATGAGCACAGGGGACCCCACGAGGCCCATCGTTTGCACCTTTCTCATACTGACCCAGCTCAGCCACTCTCAAGATCAACTAGCAAGGCGCCCATGGCTGTGGTCTCTTTCTGGCAATACCATGCAGGAGGACACCTGAGAGGGAGCTTCCCTGGATGACGTGTTACTCTTGAGACAGGCTGGGCACCACATTAAATAACCAGCCTCCCAGATGGTTCACACCTTTATCTGTTCTCAGCCAGCCCCATCCTCTGGCCAACCCCACCACTCAGATCTTCAAGAACCTGCCCACAGCCTCTTTCTTCCCAACCTTCCTCTACCCGCCTGGGAAACGCTGGCTCACCAGAGTGAGCTGTACCCATCACAGTCACTGAAACCCTCTCACTGCTGGTCCTTCAGGCTAACACTGGACTCAAACCATCCTTGCATTCCCCACAGAGCCCTGCAGTCATGCCTAAGCACTGCAGTTATCAGTCACATGATCTGGGGAAGTCGCTGACCTCTGTGCCTCACTGTCCCCATCGACCATAGGGAGGGACAACAGCAGCGAGGGCTCCCATGTGAGATAATGTGGCACAGGCCTGGGGCATGCTCTGCAGAGGTTAGAAGTTGAGCCTTCTGCAGAGGTTCATCGTGACCCAGCTCACACCCAGGCCCTACATTTTTCCTCAATAATAGCTCAAAGTCTGTGAAAGTTTGTTTGACATACTCTTATTTTTACTCAGCCTTGCTGCTTCCCAAGTGTTCCACTGTGGTCTGGAATGCAAAGAATTACACCAGATTGGGTTAACAGGTGCTTCATTAAATTGGGTAGTATGATTTCTTTATTAACTACTGATCAATTACTAAATTTTACCTCCACTGACAGCTGTGGCAACTATGGGCTGCGCATAGTGAAGGTTTAGCAATATTCACTGCACCTTATTTGCATTTGTTTGAGCCATTTAAGGCCCAAACAAGGGGTTAAAGGATAACACAGAAATGCTTGTGAGCAAGCACCTTTTGGCTAAAACCTAAATGCCACCAGGTCAGGGAGAGGATAATACTGAGAAGTCACTATGTTCCCATTGTTTTATTACACTTTGTCCCTTCTAAAGATGCTGAAGTCCTCATCCCCAGTAGCTGTAAATGTGACTGTCTTTGGAAAGAAGGTCTTTGCAGATGATCAAGTTAAGATGAAGTGACTGGGGGGCCCTAATCCAATAGGACTGGCATCCTCATTTATACAAAGAGGAAATGTGGACACAGAGAGATGCAAACAAGGAAAGGTGATGTGAAGACCCGGTGAGAAGGTGACCAACCGCAAGCCAAGAAGGGATGCCAAGGAGTGGAAGCCAGGAGCGGAGAATGGGACAGATTCTC
Source organism: Homo sapiens (assembly GCF_000001405.40). NCBI lineage: Eukaryota > Metazoa > Chordata > Mammalia > Primates > Hominidae > Homo > Homo sapiens. The sequence goes on along the minus strand of NC_000002.12, from coordinate 235,014,610 downwards.
CCTCACAGCCTCGGGAGGAACAGCTCTGCTGACACTTGATTGTGGACATCAGGCTTCCCGAACTGAGAATAGATGTCCACGGGGAAGACACCTGGCTGGTGGTGCTTTGTTATGGTGGCCCCAGGAAACAAACATTTCCCTAAAGGCTAAAACTGAGAAGGCTGGGACACACCCCTATTCTCAGAACTCATTTCCCCCAATGCCATGTGGGCACTTCTTCCCCAGCGCCTCCAACATCTAACACAATGCAGACTCCAAGAGCACACAGAGGGTAAGCTCCCCAAAAAGAGGGACGAGGCCTCCACCACAAAACTCGGCCAGCCTCCACGCTCGCTGAGTGGACTTTCCTAAGAGCCCAAAGTATCCGGCATCGCCCGATCCTGCTCGCCAAACATTCCTGAAGGATCAGGCTGATGTCGGCAGGCAACGGGTAATTACACCTCTATATCCACCGTGCAATTTATAAAATCCTGCTATGTCACCGTAAGAGCCACGCAAAGGCATTTCTTTTTTTTTTAAGTTGATTAACATATACTTTAATAGCTAATAATATTATGATAAACCTTTTAGTAAATAACAATTTTATAGAAAACAATAGTACATAATACACATATATTCTATAAGTACATTGTTTATATATGGTAGATAGTAGTAATCATTTGCATCTGAAATCAATCCTAGGAGGGGGTTAATATTATCATTCTGTTTTATAGCTGAGGAAACTGAGGCACAAAGAGGTTAATCTTCACACTCCGCTTACTCACCAGGTGACCCTGGGCAAAGGCATTTCTTGATGGCAACCAAATCACTGGGGCTTTCACACTAACTTTCACTAAGATACTGGAACTATCTGAACATTGCAATTAACTAGGAATGCGCTCAAACCATTAGAAAATGGGGGGAGAGGCTTGGGAATAAAAGGACAGAGCAGAACGGAGACCCTGGAAGCGACTGCAGGCAAAACCCCCTTACCCTCAGTCCAACAGTTACATTGGGAGCTCTTGAGGCAGTGTTGATCTCCCCAGAAAATCAAGTTCCTCCTGGTGGGGCCCAACTCGTCTGCAGCGGTATATGCACCAACTAACAAAATAATTACTAATGCAAATGAGTGCCCATCCCTAGTCACAGCTCTAAGATCAAACTCCAAGGAGAAATTTCCAGCAGCTGGTAGGAGCTGAGTGAAAACCAGCCAAGGGCGGGAGACCCCAGCCTGCAGGAGTGCTGGGAAGCACATGGACTGCCCAGACACCGGAGACAACTGGAGAAGGGGGAACAGCTCCATACACAAGGTTCCTGCGTGATTGTGGGGAACACGGGCTGGACCTTCTGCACAGAAGGGAGGAAGGGCTGGCAGCGAACCACACAGGCCAGGGAGAAAGCCACTCGGACAGCGGAGGCCTGAAGACCTCCTCCCTTCCCACGCTGGCCAGATGTGCCTTGCGAGTCAGCACTTAGGGTTTTAATGTGTCTTCTCTCACAACTGAATCTCACCTCTGCTGATGCAAGATTCATTCTGGGAAAAGACCAGGGAACAGAAAGGCTGTTTTGGAAACATTTCTTTTTATTGTGAGTGGGCTGAAATTTCCACAGCCTGGGAGAAAAGCTGTGTCACCATCTGCATTTAGGGAGCGTGCACATTCGGCGTCCGGCCTCCAGCCCCACAGCCTAGGCGCAGAAAGGCCAGCCCTGCTCCTGGAGGCCTGTGCACTCATCTGGTGTGGTCCTTGGCTTTCTCACCTGATCCTTGGTAAAATATTAAAAACTCATCCCTGTCTCCTTCCTCCTGCTCCTTGGACCACAGTGGGGACTAAGTTGGGACAATGGCACGGCATGAGTTGGAAATGCATGTTGGGGTTAGAAGTGCGTAATGCACTCCGAGATGGAAACGCATTTTAGGGTTAGATGTGCGTAATGCACTCCGAGGAGTAAGGTGGGTGATAGCAAGAGCTGTTGCACCCTGCAGGCACTGCAGCCCAGCCGGCCAGGCAGGTGAAAGGAGGGAACTATGAGCGAGGCTTGGGGTCAGGCCAGGCCTGCAGGCACACAGGTCACCCGGCAGTAAAAGGAAGAGCCCTCCCTTGCGGTGCGGCTGGTTATTGTCCCCACTCAGACACAGGGTGTGCTTTCTTTAGGTGGGATGTACAATGATCCAAACATGACAACCAGGAAGAAAACTTGGCAGACAACTCAGGCGTCCCCTCGGCTCCCATTTATAGAACGTTACAGGACACATTTGTAGCCACCACCCTTCTCAACCTGTGTAAGTGGAGCCTGGTCAGCAATGACCTGTCTGTGGGGTGAAGACGCTGGGTCACTGGCTGTGGCTGTCAATCACTGAACTGTGCTGTGTGCAGCAGGGACCCCAGGGATGGTCTGCCGAGGTCAGGGCGCTTCCCATCCCAGTTGCCGTTCTTGTGTCTCCTCTGGGCTGGCTGTCCCTGCCAGTACCCTGAGCCACTGTCAGCGCCCCGTAACATTCATGAGCAGCTGGAGGGAAGATGCCAGAGTGTTTAAACCAATAAGCTGCTCCCTGCATCCACACTGAGTGTGCGGGCACCAGCCCCATGCTTTCCCTATAATAGGACCTAATCACTTTATTGTAACAGCTTATTGAATTGTGTGTCTCTCCAGCCAAGCTGTGTGCTCCGGGTCAGCAAGGGCTATGCCTGTCTCTCAGAATCCCATCCCCCACCCAGAGCCTGGAATGCAGCAGCAACCGCTCAACGGACACTAATCAACTGCAAGGAGGGCTTCAGGGTGGCTCCCATCCATCTCCTTGTATATGAATGGGGCTGCTTCCCAAAAGCAAGACTTCTTATGCTCATATCCTTCTCATTTCCAGCTGGTACAGGCATATGTTCTGACAAACAGAGAGTTATCAGAACTGGAGTCTTCCTTAATGTAAGTCGAGAGGAAGGACATTCACTAAATACACAGGTACTGAGCCTTTGCCAGGAATACAAAGAAAAGCAAGACTGTCGCTGTTCTCAGCAGGTTTACGGAAATGACAAAGACACAGATGAGAGCTATCATAGAGACTACGATCCAGGGAAGACAGCGAGAGCCACTGTTATGGGTGGAACTGAGTCACCCCAAAAGATGTGTTCAAGTCCTAACTCCTGGTACCTGTACATTTTACCATATTTGGAAATACAGTCTTTGCAGATGTGACGAAGTTAAGATGAGGTCATACGGAATTAGGATGGGCTCTAACTCCAATCACTGGTGTCCTTATAAGAGGGAAATTTAAATCCAGTACAGAGACACAGACAGAAGAGGGCCACATAACAATGAAGGCAGATATTTTTTGAAGGAACGTGGCTTTAAGCTAACGAAGACTGCCAAAAACCACCAGAAGCTAGGAGAGAGAGGAAGGGTTCTCCTAGGAGAGAGAGGAAGGGTTCTAGGAGAGGGAGGAAGGGTTCTCCTAGGAGAGGGAGGAAGGGTTCTCCTAGGAGAGGGAGGAAGGGTTCTCCTAGGAGAGGGAGGAAGGGTTCTCCTAGGAGAGTAAGGAAGGGTTCTAGAAGAGGGAGGAAGGGTTCTCCTAGGAGAGGGAGGAAGGTTTCTCCTAGAAGAGGGAGGAAGGGTTTCAGGAGAGGGAGGAAGGGTTCTAGGAGAGACAGGAAGGGTTCTCCTAGAAGAGGGAAGAAGGGTTCTAGGAGAGAGAGAAAGGGTTCTCCTAGAAGAGGGAGGAAGGGCTCTCCTAGGAGAGGGAGGAAGGGTTCTAGAAGAGGGAGGAAGGTTTCTCCTAGGAGAGGGAGGAAGGGTTCTCCTAGGAGAGGGAGGAAGGGTTCTAGAAGAGGGAGGAAGGTTTCTCCTAGGAGAGGGAGGAAGGGTTCTCCTAGGAGAGGGAGGAAGGGTTGTCCTTGGAGAGCGGGGAAGGGTTCTCCTAGAGTCTTTGGAGAGACACAGTACTGCCAACATCTTGCTTTCAGGCTCCAGCCTCCAGACTGTGAGAATGTGTTTCTGCTTTAAGGCACGCAGTCCTTGGCACTGTGTTACAGCAGCCCTAGGGAACCAGTATGCCCTGCAACATTCATTGGCTGCTGGGTGTGTGTCAGGCACCATTCTAAAAGCTTTCAATGTGTTAATTCATTTGTGTATCACAAGTGCCCTATGAGACAGATAAGGATTATGACCTCTATTTCACAAATGAGGAAACCGAGATGCAGAGAAGCCAAGCCTCTTGTCCAAGGTTTTCCAGCCACCAAACAGCTGGACCGAGTAGTTCTGGGGCCTACTGTGTGCATCTTGCCCTGCGGGCCTCCCCATGAAGCAGGCTGGGCCCAGCACGGGAGGTCAGTGCCACAGGACTCAGACAGGCAACTGGAGATGAAGTGGGGTGGGCCCAGGGACAGAGCAAAGGGGGCTCACAGAAACACCCATCATTTCTGGTGCATGAAGGTATACTGGCTCAAGGTTTATGGAGAAAACCTGGGGTGGGAGCCATAGGGGCCGTGTGCACCATGGGGAGGGGTCTCTAATCTGCAAGTCAGGCTGCCAAGGAGGGGATGATACACCCTCAGTAGTTTGGGGGATCCCGGGGATGGGACGAAGGGTAGACAAGCAGGAGGTAACCCTGAAAAAAGACCCTCCAGGAAGCTCCAGCACTCACCAGAAGGAGGTGACTGAGCATCTATACCACGGCAGGGAAGGTTTGAGGAGAGGAGAGACTAACACACTTTCCCAGGAGCAAGAGGAAGGTCCTGGGGGTGACATGGAGGTGGCGAGCGGAAACCACAAAGACGCTCTTAGCTGGGATCTCCAAAATAGGCTGAATGTGGGCAGCATGGAGAAAAAGGAAGGTAGAGGGTTTTCTCCTGGACATGCCAACATAGGGTACCCACGTGAGGAGCAAACACATGGCTCTGGCAGTGAGAGGTAAATCTTGATTAGATCTGGAATAGACATTTGGGGAGAGATCCATAGAGAGATCCAGATCAAGGATATGGGAAGGAGGCAAGAGTCAAGGGCAAGACCCCAGAGAACAGTTACCACCAAAGGCAGGCCGGCTAGCAAAGAGCAGACACAGATGCAGAAAGAGGCCAAGGAGAGAGAGAAGAGACACAACAGAGAAGCCAAGAAATAATGGAGGCCAACGGAAGGAGCTGAATCCCCAAAGCACTCTTAGACACAATGACCTAGGAGCTCCGTCCTCCAGGGTCCCAGGCACACCACACCACGGCCCCTCTCCCAAACTCTCCTTTAAGATCCTCTTATCTCTGGCTCATTCAGTGACACTTTGGTCCTTTCAACCATCCCACCATACTGGAGCGAGCCTCTGAGTTTTGTTCCTTGGAAGTGGAGGGGACAACTGCCTTTGCAGAGTGGAGGCCCACGGCAGACAGACACACACTGCAGGCCGGATGGCACCTGCAGAGCTCAGAGGGGAGCTGGGCAGCAGGAGGGCCCAGAGAGCACTCTGGGAAGCCTGGTTATCCCAAGTAATAGTCCTTCAGGTGCTAGGAGGCAAGTATATTCTACCCGGAACCATCTCTATTTCAACAAACTCACCAATGGGTCAGTGATGAACATTAAGCTCTCAGCTATGGGGAAACATTCTTATGCAAATCAGCTGATTTCTAGACAATCCCAGAGAACACAAGCTGTCCGTCCACCTGTCCCTTGGGCAAATGTCAGCCCAGCCCCTGTAAGCCAGCTGGAACCCCGGTGTTGTGCTGGTGTGGTAGAGCTTACAGGACAGTCAGACAAAAACAGGCAGGCAGCAGCCAGCTGCTCCCATTGCTTTCTTTTTTAAAGCAAAGCATAAATGAGCAAAGTGTGTGAATCACCCCGTTTTTCAGTAGGGCCTCTGCTACAAGCCCATACCAGGTGGAGATAAAATAGAACAAAACCTACCCAACAGGTTTCCTAGCGGGAGAATGAGTTCACCAGAGGCCGGTGGCCTTTTGATAATTCACAGCTTGTTTGCCTTGGAGTTTTTACAGCGAGTAGGGAGAGGTGCTTGGAAAGGGCACCAAGAGTGATCCAGAGCCAGAGGACACTGCCAGAACCAAGGGGAGCTTGGAGAAGCTTCTTTCTTGTCTCCAACTAGAAAGTACCTAAGGAGCATTATTCTACACAAAGGGTACCAAAAAGAGAATGAGGAGAAAATAACCACCTACAAGGAGAAGCGGTACAAGAGGTAGCACCTCAAGCGTTCTCCGCCTCCTGCTTTATTTCGCCATGGTTCCTGAGTAGGCCTCGGCTGGTTCTTCCTGGCGTTTTCTCTCTGGCCCTCCTGGGCCCTGCAGGGAGGCTGCAGCCCAGAGCTCATGCCAGGCGACCACAGAGCCCCAGCTGCATCAAAGGGCCTCCCTCCCACCAAGGGGCTGTCCCAACCCAGGGCTTCAGGCTGGCTGAGCTGGGAGGTCAGGGTGGCAAACAGGCCTCCTTCCTTTCAGCTTATACACATCCTGCGGTGGCCCCTCAAGCTGTGCCACACCTCTCCGGGCACCAGATCCCACCTAATGGCTCACGACACTGTTCCCACCCAGTCTGGAGAGGAAGGCCACACAGAGGGCCAAGTCCCAGGGCAGCTTTCCTGACAGCTCTGAAACCTCCAAGCCACCCAGCTGCGACTCTCCCTTTCCCACAGGGGTGCAGCTCACGCGGCATCCTCCACCCCCAACGGCTGGTCCTTCTTGGCCTCCTTCAGAGGGTCTCCTCCCCTGACTGCCCTTGACGTCCAACCTCTCCGGTGCCCATCCCTGCTCTGCTGGTCTCCTCGCTGGCGCATTCTCCTCGGGTGCCTGAGTCCACCCTGGGCATGGCTAGGGGCATCTCTGCTGATGGCCAAACCGTGTCTCTACCCTGCCTCCTCAGCACTACCCATAACTGCCCCCACGGGCTCAGGATGGCCGCAGCCCGGGCTCAGGATGGCCGCAGCCTCTCAAGCACTGCACGCCTGGTCTCTTCTTCCCCACTTAGCAACTGGCAGCGCCCAGAAATCCCTCATCCTAAATTCCTCCTTCCTCCAAAACCAGTCAATCAATTCTCTAGGTGAAACAGCAAACTCTCTGGAAAACCATTTCTCCACCTTATCACTGCTGACATTTGGGGCCGGATCCATCTTTGTGTGGGCTGTCCTGGGCACTGCACGATCTGCAGCAGCGTCCTCAGGCTCTACCCACTCCATGCCGGTTGGAACCTCCTCCCTCCTCCCTGCGTGGTGACAATCACAAATCTCCAGACATTGCCAAGTGTCCCTGGGGGGCTGGGAGAGGCAAGGTCGCCCCAGGTGAGAAGCTCTGTGGTAAAGGATCAGAGAGTCAGTATCTGGGGCTTTTCAGGCCATTTGGTCTCCACTGCAACCTGGAGGAAGCAGGGAGGAGCTGCTCTGGACCCCACCTGCCATCTCTCCATCTCTGACATCTCTGACCAGCTCCCCTCTGTGCCTCCTGCTCCTGCCTTCCTGCAGGGACTCACCTGTCTCACCTGGACTCTCCCACTCAACTGCCTCCACTCCCTCCCCTCCCTCCCCTCTACTTGATTTCACAGGTGTGGGCTCACCCGACCCTAGGAAATGGAATTCATTTCCATTCTGACCGGGGGAAGATGACATCCTTTACCCGTGGCCAGGCCCTGTGCTAAATGTTCCGTCAGCTCGTTTAAGTCTCTGAAGCAGATCCGATGAGTAGAGGAAATGGAATGGATTTGGGGAATGAACTTGTCTAAGGACACACAGATGCGGCGTGGCACCCCCAATCTTCTTCACTAAACACCAGGTGCATCAGCCATGTTGCTGCTGTCACGGAGGTCCTGCCCTAGTCCCCCTCCCTTTATCTCCCCTAACCCAGCCCCTCTTTGAATCCCCAGGCAAAACCCAGATGGAGGGTCAGAGCTGGAGGGTCTTGGCAGCCGTGCAGTAGTACAGACGGACGCTTCCATTTGGGAACAGGCCTCACATGCTTGGCCTTGCCAGTCTCATCGGAGAGCCCAAGGGGTGCTGGCCCAGCAGAAATCTAGGCTGGGTGGCCCCTGGCAAAGCAGAGCGAGGGGGGCCCCTGAGTCCACAGACTCCTGAGAGCACAGGCCCCTGAGAGCACAGGCCCTTGGGAGCACAGGCCCTCTGCTTCTGAGAGTCCTGTGGTCCCGCCTGCAGCCAGCCCAGCACCATCGGGACCTTCATCCGCTGGCTTCTTTCCGGGAGTGCTTTTATATCACAGCTAAAAATCCATTAGGAATAAAAGGCACTATGCTTCGTTTCCTAAAAAATGCTACCCCACAGATTTTTGATGGATCCACTCTTGACCAAACCCATGATGCGTATGATACCCCCTGGGGCAGCAAGTGGCCGCTCTGAGATTTTCTGAACACACTCACGCTCAGCCCAAAGGAAAAGGGCAGGAAAGAAAAAATCCTCGCGGAACAAAGCCCGCAAAGACAAAGGAGACCAAGGCTGACTCCCATCTCCCACCTGCTGGCCTTTTCCCGTCCTGCTCGCTAGGTCGTAAAAGCCGTGGCCGGCGTGTGCTCTGGGTACAAAGCAGGCCCCATTCTCAGGTCACTCCACTCCAGCCAGCCCAGCACCATGCCAGGACAGGCGGCTCCTGCCCAGGATTAGTGGCTGGGGCCAGACAGCTGCAGGGGCTGGGCCGGCTTCCTACTCCCCCAGGGATCAAAACCTCCCTCTGGCGCCTCCCACAGCCAGGAACACAGGCGGGCACGCAAGAGCGGGATTCCAATTGCAGGAGCTAAGAGTGCTTGGCTGTGTGTAGACCCAACCAAGCCAGCCTGCCTGGGACCCTGGGACGGCCAGGGCTGGCTTGTTTACAATGGGCCACCCCTCCCAAAGCCAGCATGCTCTGGCTCTCCTCTCGTTCTGCCCCCACTGCATTTTGTAAGATGTGTGTGAAACCTGCAAAGCCTGGATCCCTGGGAGGGTTCAGCAAACATGTGCTTCCTTTGAAGCTCTGAAAGGCAGAAGCACAAGAGAGGTCAGCCTGTAGCCTGGACACGAGGAAGCCAAGATCAACAACTAAGCAGGGTGGCGGAGGCGGGGGTTCAGCAGCTCTGAGGGGCTCAAGGTGTCAGGGGAAGATTTGTTAAAATGCAGGTTCTGGGCCTGCCTTGGAGATCTTCACTCAGTAGGGCTGAGACATCACTCAAGGCCCCAACAGGAAAGGGACAATTTACAACAGTGAAGGGACCCCTGGGGGAAGTGACGCCAGGGAAGTGGGGAAGGGGGAAGCCTCCACTGGAACCTGGGGGAGACAGGGACCCCCAGTCAGGGGAGCCGGAGTGAGCCCCAGGCGAGGGGCTCCCCTGACACCTCCCTCTCCACCGCAAGCCAGAAGTCAGGGGAGCCCCCTGGGGTACAGCCAATTCAGACCACTCCCTGGGCCAACAGCACAGCAGGGCTGGGAGGGACAGACAGACAGACAGACAGACATGGCCAGCACAGGGCATGCCCAGGAAGCTGCCTTTCCACAGCAAGCCTCCTGTGTGACACCTGGGCAAACACCTGGCCTAGGTCTGTTGTTGACTATCCTGCTCTCCACAAGCAGTGCTTCCTCGCAGTCCTGTGTTAACACCCAGGGGGATCTGCAGGCGGATGGCACCTAACACAGGCCTTTATGTGACAGCGACCCTTGCTGGTCCATGCCAACAGTGAGTTCAACAACATACCAAGCCCTACCTCCTGGGAGATTCATAAAATCCTGGGGATAGGCATGGGGTGGAGGAGAAGGAATCAAAAGCCAGGGATCTCTCCAAGAACTTGGAAATGAGAGAAGACAGCTCTTAGAACAGAATTAGACCATCAAATACATGAATCCTAGTAGCACCAGTCACAACAGCCAGAAGGTGGCAACGACCCAAATGTCCATCAACGAATGAAAGTGTAAACAAAATGTAACATAGCCATACAATGGAATATTATGCAGCCATAAAAAGGAATGGGATTTTGACACATGCTGCCACGTGGATGAACCCTGGAAACAGTCTGCAGTGAAAACAAGACAGTCACCAAAGGCCACCTATTGTATGGTTCCATTTATAAGTCATGTCCAGGATACACAAATCCATAGGAATCCATAGAAACCGAAAGCAGAGCAGTGGTTGTCAGGGGCGGGAAGGAGGGGCAGCGACTGCTAATGGGTGCCCTTTAGGGTTGAAAAAATGTTCTGGAGATGTGATAAGAGGTGGTGGTTGCACAACTTTGTGAATATTCTATACAGCACAGAATTGTGACATTTCAAAATGGTAAATTATATGTTATGTGAACTTCATTTCAATAAAACTTTTTAAAAAAAATAATGAAACCCTGTAAAGAAGCAAAGCCACTCTAAAGAGGTCCAGTGCCACCGAGGCGACTACAGGCAATGACACCTTAAGAAGGTGCCCATGAGGAACCCATCTGAGGCTAAAATATTATGCACATGCACAGAGAACAGTCTGGAAAGATACATTTATTAAAAATAACTGTGACACTGAGAGCATATTTTTGTTATGAGAAATAACTACTAAAGCATAGAAAAAGAAAACCTATGTTTAGTTAGGAGTTAGGAGGGTACCTAGTCAGTCAGGCACAGGAAAAACGCCACCAACAGGGGAAGCCGTGGCAAACTTCACCGAGTGACAGCCAGGAGCCGGGAGCAGTTGGGGTGCTAACGGGGAGCCCCAAAGCCTGCAGTCCCACTGGAGCAATGTACCCCACAGAGGGCAGGTACCTAGGGCCATCTTGGGTGGGTTTTAGGACTCTCAAAACCCAACTCAAACCAGCTAAGAAAAAACAGGAACAGACTGTGGCCCCTAAAATCACACCGAGGTGAGGACAGGGGTGGGGCCATCCCTGGAGCCAACTGGATACAGACACTGCAAGCCCCCCAGCCTCCAGCCTCTGTCACCATCACTGTGAGTTCAGCTTCTGTATGCCAGAGCCACATCTCCCTGCATAGGAGCGTGACTGGGAAGGTGTCACACGCCCATAACTGCAACTTCTCACTCCCGTTTTACAGATGAGCAAACTAAGGCCCAACAGAGGTCAGTGAGCAGAGCCATGCAACTGTTCCTCACCAAGATTTGACCCCCTCCACCCCTCAGACCAGAGAGTTTAGTTCCAGAGTCCAGGCTACACACAGGTGCTGGCAAAATGGGAATCTGCTTCTCAGCAGATAAAACAGTAAACAGACACTCTATCCTTCGAATGACCCTCATTCTGCTCTCATGCCCCGACCTGTACAGTGAGGATGCATTATCTGCACCTCCAAAGTATCCCCTTTTTTCCTGTCAAATGAATACATTGGTACCCTGGCCTCAGTGGCCTGCGTTTGTAGGATCTAAGTCCACCCCAGAATCTGGTGTTTGAGAGCTAGGCCCTGGCCAGGGGAGAGTTCTCCTCGGTCACGCTGGTTCCAGCCCTTGGGTACTGCTTCCTGGGTCCCTGCCACAGAGGACCAAAAGGACAGGGCCACGCTGGCCCTGCTGCCAGCCATGCCCCATCCACCGAAGCCCTGGGCTTATTCGATCAGAAGCCTATTCACGTGTGATAGCTTGAAGATTTTCTAAAGAAACGTAGCATCCAAGTTGGGCAAACTATTTCATAGCAACTAAGAGGCAGACCTGCCTCCTGGCACACATCTATGCCTGGGCAGATGGCAGCCAGGTTCAAGTTACTTCAAGTTCTTTTGAAATCAGGAGATCAAAGGCAGAACGGAATCAGCATTCCTGTTGGAGGTTCATCCGGGCCCTCCCTGGAATCTGCTGCTGTCAGGCAACTCCTCCCTCTGCTGACAATTCTAGAATCTTGTGTGGCCTTCCGTTATCTGAACCCAGCCCATCTGCTCTGGGGACCCTATGTCACGGCACTGGGATCAGAAGATTCTACTGGGGTCCATCCCTGCCAAATGCCTGACCCTTTTTGTTTTACTTGTTTTGTTTTTGAGACAGGGTCTCGCTCTGTCATGCAGGCTGCAGTGCAGTGGCGTGATCACAGCTCACTGCAGCCTTGACCTGCTGGGCTCAATCAATCCTCCCACCTCAGCCTCCTGAGTAGTTGGGGATACAAGTGTCACCAGCACGACTGGCTAATTTTTTGTATTTTTTATAGAGACCAGGTTTTGCTATGTTGCCCAGGCTGGACTTGAACTCCTGGACTCAAGTGATCCGCCCGCTTCAGCCTCCCTTGGATTACAGTCATGAGCCACCGCATCCAGCTTGACCTTGGTTTGATGACTTCAGCTTCTCTGAGGCACAAGTTTCCTCATCTGTAAAACGAGGCTGCTAATGAATATTTGGCTCAACCCACCTGTCCTTCAGAAGATTACGCAACATAACAAACCCAAGACAGCTTGGCAAACTATAAACCACTGTGCACAATTTAAATATAAAATAAGCCTGCAGGAGAGTTCTTCAAATCCTGTATAGTAACAGTTCTCTCCCGCAGCTTCCTCTTCGCCAAATCTGACGATGGCCCCAGAATTGCATCGTTTAAAAATGTACCCTCCAGCCCAGCATGGTGGCTCACACCTGTAATCCCAGCACTCTGGGGAGGCCGAGGCGGGCGGGTCGCCTGAGGTCAGGAGTTTGAGATCAGCCTGGCCAACGTGGTGAAACGCTGTCTCTGCTAAAAATACAAAAATTAGCCAGGTGTGGTGGCGCACACCTGTAATCCCAGCTACTCTGGAGTCTGAGGCAGGAGAATCACTTGAACCCGGGAGGCGGAGGTTGCAGTGAGGTGAGATTGCGCCACCGCACTCCAGCCTGGACAACAGAGTAAGACTCCATGTCAAAAAAAATAAAAAACAAAAAACAAAACACCTCACCCTCCTTTGAGAGCCAATTCATAATTCCTCTTCAAATGCAGCACTGAAATGTCCAGGCCGGAACACCAAGTTGCCCGAACGGTCCGTGAGAACTCATCTCTCCAGTCACCTGTACACAGGCTTCCCGGATGCGGCCTCTTGCCCTGGACTGTGGGTTTCTATTAACCTATCTAGGGGAGCACCTTCGACGTTCAGGCATTGTTCAGAATAAGACCAAATTCAATGAAAAACCTAAAGATAATTTTCAGAAGCCAGGTCTTCCCTGTTCTGTAAGCAAGCAAAGAGTATCTGTACTTAATGAAAAGCACAAGAAATAAAAGCTAAATAAAGGGAAGGAGAGTTTTACACTGGTTTCTGTCAAGTGTCATCTCCGTTTCAGCTGTGCACTCTGGCCAAGACATTGAGGCCCCATTAGGTCCCGCCTCGGCTTATCTTATCTCCAAGTGCGATAGGCTTGTCTTAGGCCTTCCTCCAGCTCAGAGGTTGTTAACGTTTTTTGAGGGTGCAAATCCTCTAAGGAATCTGACAAAGTCTCTGGACCCTCTCTTTAGAAAACTACCTCCACCCGTAAAGTTTAGCATGCAGTTTCAGGGGTTTCACAGACCCCCTCAAAGGGCCACGCCAAGGGCCCGGGAGCCCAGGATAAACACATCTGTTCTGTTACTGATAACAGCTACCTTCAGAAGACCAAGGCCGGGAAGAGCAGCAGATGCCCCAAGTCAAGCCAGAGCCTCTGTCAACACTGTTTATAATTAATTTCTCAAAAACTGGAGGCAGAGACGAGGTTGTACGTCCCAGCTCAGACACAAAAGTGGGCACCGTGTAAACGGGATTTATGGGCAATGATAAGGTAAGAAGGAAAAGAATCAAGTTGTGTTTACTGAGAGCAAAGTCCAGAGCTGCCTGGGGGAAGGAAAGAGGTCAGAACAAGGTGACGCCTGCCCACAAGCAGCTGGGGCGATGGGGAGACACCACCAGTGCAGAAAAAGGCAGAACCCACACAGAGGCTGCTGGCAGTGGGGACAGGCCCCAGTGTGTGGGGCACCAGATAGCGGGTAGGACCCGGCACAAGTCCCTGGCCTTTATGTCTCTGCTTTCTCTTCTGCCAAATGCGAGGCTGGGCTCTGTGATCTTTCAAGTCCCTCTGACCCTCCAACAGAGTGGAAAGGAGATTCAGAGCACACCACATGTGGGACTACAGGACCCACCTCTACGCAATGGGGACATGAACATCGCGGCTTGACGTCCTCCATGTCAGCGGCTCAGAGACAAAGCATCAGAGCCCGAGCCCAAGATCCAGGCTTCCCCTTCTGGCTAAGCCCCTCTTGGAAGGAGGGGCCCCGTGTTATTGACTCTGGCCAGTGGATCATGCTAATCCCTCCTCTGACCTTCATATCCCCTGGAACCAAAGGGCGGGGCCCAGATCAGGAGAGCAACCTGCATGGGAGAACGGCATGAATGAAACGTCAGGCACAGGGGCAACCCCCCAGTCACATCAATAACATGTTAACAGTGAAGCCACACAGCCCAGGCTCGGGGGCCCTCCATAAGCAGGTAGGAGAAGTGAGGCCCAGAGAGGCTACAGGACTTGCTTAACGTGATAGGGTTGTAGGGAGTTCCGAAAGGAAGGAAGAAGGGAAGGAGGGAGGGAGCCTGCAGAGAAGCCCAGCCGAGGATAAGTGAGTGCCACTTCCCCTATTGCCTGGGGTTCCCAGTGGCTGTCGCTGCCTGGCCCAGGCACACCCCCAGCCTGGAAACCCCTGTGGCCTCACCCCTCTCCAGATGGATCAGTGGTGGAGACCAGGTACAGGTGAATCAATCCACAGCGGACCCAGAGCTTGAGCTGGCCCAACCAGCTGCTTCTGAGACTTGGATGCTCAGAAACTCAAAAGCAGCCCAAGGGCAGGTCCTGCAAAGGGCTGCTGCGCATTGACTGGCAGCCACTCCTGGGCCAGGTATGTGCTGGTGGTGAGCAGCAGAGGCCGCGTGACAGAGCCAGCTGCACAGGTGAGAGGAAAGTCTAATTTTTGATGACCAATTCATTTCTCAAAGTTTGAGAAGATTCACTGTGCTCTCTTTCTGGATCATTCCAATAATCCTGCCCTGTTTTCTTCTTGAGCAAGTCTGAGGGTGTCTTAGATTCCTTTTTAGTCTTTGAGAACCTTCAGAGACCCAGGTTCCATCTTTACCAAGGAGAAAACTGAGGCCCAAGGAAATTGATTTATGTAACATGCTATTGTGCCAATAATTGAAATCTGTCTATGCTTGGTCAGAAGCTCTTTGCATAGGTATTTTTCTGACCCAAGAATGAAACGCATCCAGGTGCCCTTCCGAAATTGCAGTCTGCCCAGACAACTTTAAGGAATGAACTAACAACAGGGTGGGGGACAATTCCAAACACAGAGACAGGAAAATCAGGGCTTTTCTGATTTGATGGGAAGCTTCTTCAAAATGGGAGCAGATTTCAGCAAGAGATTCAAAGGCTCTTGAAATAAATAATAGCGGAATCTTTCTTTGACTGATGTCTTTTGTCCCCAAAGCCTCAAGTATGTTAAAAATCCCTCCTGTGAACTCACAACATGCTTGCTTTAAGAAAGGTGTAAGGCAGGCTAGTTATGACACCACAAAACAAGCCTCTCAAGAAGGCAGGCGCCGTTCTTAGTCCAATGTGTCGCCGGGAGTGCAGCTCACGTTTCTTTCTCCTCCGTCCAGATTCCCCAGCTTCCCTTCGGCAGCTGATGGCCTCACCAACGTGCATTTGCAGCGGTTTATTCACTGAGGCCCTGCGGACGTTGTCACTGGAATGCAGAGGCTTGGAGAGACGCTGAGCACAGCTTCCCGTTCAGCCGCTGCATGGCCTCAAGTGCCCTTCTCCTCTATTGGATTATCTGCTGATTACGGGGAGGTCAGGCCTTGGCAGGTGCAGAATCAGTGCCTGCAGGACACCTCAAAGGACAGTCCAAGCAGACCTGGTCATGCTATTAAGGACGCTGGCCTTAGTTTCTCTGTCCCAAGGATGTATGAAAGCCAGGATCTCTGTCACAGATCGAAGGCCATGGGGACATAGCCCAATGCAAACCTCAAAAGTAAACCAATTAGTGGTAGCCAGAGGCGGGGGCAGGGGCAACGGGTGTGGTCATGTAGTGAGTACAGGGTGCTCTTCCAGGGTGATGACGAAGTTTTGAAACGAGAGAGAGGCGGTGGTGACACAGGACCAAGAATGTACTCAATGCCCACTGCAGCGGTCAGCTGGAGGTTATGTGACTTTCACCTCGAAACCAAAACCAACAAACAAAAAGCTCACCAAACACACAAAGGGATAGGAACTTTGGAGAACCTCAGTCTGACGTGACCCCTGAAGACTTTCCACATGGTCCAGGCAGGAGGTGTGCAGGCAGAGCCTGCGTGGCCAGTCGCCCTGCGAAGAGTGGGTGACTCCGCTACCACCCATTTCTTCACTGCACCTTCAACTGTCGTGTGAATTTACAATCCCAAGAAAAAAAATTATGTTTACCTGTTCATTTTTACGTCTCCTGTTTGTGGCTCATGATTTATTCCCATTGGCCAGTCTAGAGGGGGTGTGGTACCAGCCCACGTGGTTCACGTGCCCCCCCAGGCACCCAGCTAAGCTAAAGGAACAGAGGAGTGGTTTAGGGGACACACAAATGCAGCCGGTCTGCAGGCTGGGCTCCGAGACTTTTTTATTTTTTATTTTTTTTTGGAGATGGAGTCTCGCTCTGTCGCCCAGGCTGGAGTGCAGTGGTGCAATCTCAGCTCACTGCAATCTCCGCCTCCTGGGTTCAGGTGATTCTCCTGCCTCAGCCTCCCAAGTAGCTGGGACTATAGGCGCCCACCACCACGCCCGGCTAATTTTTTTGTATTTTTAGTAGAGACAGGGTTTCACCGTGTTAGACAGGATGGTCTTGATCTCCTGATCTCGTGATCCGCCCACCTCGGCCTCCCAAAGTGCTGGGATTACAGGCATGAGCCACCGCACCCAGTCTTCTGATTCTTCTTAATCACCCTCTGAACTTGAACTTGAATGAAGTATTCTGGGTTTCTGAGTACTCTGAGATGAGTTTCTCATCTGTGAAACAGGCAGGGTGTTCCCAGGCCTTGAGCAGACACAACTACAGAGGGTGTTCAAGCCACCGGGGGCTGGAGCTCACCCTTCCCAGCCATCAGTGGGACAGTGGGAACAACCACAGGGGCAGGCCTTGTGGGGCCTCGATCTCCGCACCGGCTCCGTCCCCTAGCTGACACTCCCCGGAGGAGCAATCGGCCGTGCTCTGCTGCAGGCCTCCTGTTTCCTCAGTCATTCTGGTCTCAGGAACTGAGTCAGGGAGCATTTCTGCTGCCTCCTTCATCCTGAAGGACACCAGGCACCAGGATAAACTACCTCTGATGGTGATGACAGTGGGAGCAGGATCAGGTTAACAACTTGAACCCATGAGGTGGGAACTATGTGCAAATCACGAAATTTGCCACGGACAAAACTCGGGGCCTGGAAATGGAAACCCTGGGTAGCCGTGTCTCTCACTGACCCCCAGGCAAATCAGACTGTGACTATTCAGAGGCACCAAGAAAACACTACATGTATGCCTCTGGGAAAACAAGGCAAAACGAAAATCAGCTTAAAGTGTGGTGGCCTGTGGATGGTCTCTAACTGCTGTGGGGACCCACGCCCCCAAGCACCCCTACACCCCACCCAGAGGCACATGCAACGCTCTGCCCGCTGTATCCAGGGCAAGTCTGGGTGCACCTCCCTCACCGGGCTCCCGGAAGCCTGTGTGCCCGCCACGGAGACAAGCGGGCACCGCTGTGGGATGGCGGCACCCGTCCCACCCTCCCGTTCCTCTTCCCAGATGTCTTGCTGCCCCAGTAACTCTGGCACAGGGTCAGAAAAAGCAAACCACATGCGTGCCGCCCAAGGAACTGCTGGAGCCCGAGAGGGACCCCCATTAACCTCCTCCTGCTTTGCTCAGGATGGGGCCTGCTCTGGCGATGCCCCAAATGCAAAGTCCAGCGAGGCCAGTCCATGTGGGGGCCCAAAGAGAACCATGCCGCACAACCCCCTGGTGTCTCTCCAGTTTATCTACAGACAAGAACCAAGCTGCAGTGCTCGCCTTTGATTTTAGAAACCCCCGCTTTCTGACCAATGCCAGGCAGAAAGAATGCCAGGAATGTGGATGCCTTTCAGGAGGGTTCACCGCAGCCCAAAGAGACCACAGCCTCCAGGGCCAGGGGCTGCACTTATAAGGAAAGGCCTGCTGGTGGCCTCTGCCTGGGCTGAAGTGTTTCAAGTCGCTGAGGCCCCAGTGGGCGGAGGACTGACCCTGGGACCAGAGAACTCCTGAATTCCTCACGTCACTATGAAAAGCCCTGAGCCTCCTCCTGAACATCTCAAACCTTCTCTCCATCCTAAGGCACAGGCAGATACTGGAAAACAAAGAGACAGGACAGAAAGGGTGGGGGGAGAAGTTGAAATAAAATCCAATCAGCTACCCTCAGTTTACAGGATTTAAAGAAAAACCTGAAACAGTGCAAGTAGCTGCCTGCTTTATTTAGAAGGGCTTTTAAAATTCCAACGTGGCCCAGAAAGGAATCCCACTGTGAGCTGCGGCTTCTCAACTCCCCCTTTGGCCTTGAGCATCCAAACGTAGCGTTTACTTAGATCCAATCCTTTCTACTTGGTGGGGAAAGACTTGTATGTTGCTTTTCTAAAAAACTGGAGGCTGTGCCCGCCCTATGAGGTAGGTGATCCTATCCAACCGACTTTACAAAGGAGGGTGTTCCTTCTATTGCCAACCAGGAGTATAAAAGCCAAGAACAGCCAAGAAAACCTCCAGGAACATTTTACCAGAACACCATTTAATCCAGCTCTTCCTCACAAACACCAGCTGAGGCTTCCTTGGAACATTTTTTGCCAGCGTGTTTCAAGGACAAATGCTCCCCTGACGCCCCAGGGAGGGTGACCTCTAACCGCGGGTCCATCCCCATCTCGTCGCAGGGCGACGTGAGAACAATCCCTCCTTTGTGTACACACCACCCAACCTGGGCTCTGTCCCGCGGCTGCTGGGGTGGGGGAGCTGCTAGCCTGGCTTCTTGGAAGAGTGAGAACGTTCCACGGGTGGCAACAGAAAGTGGATTCGCTGAAAAGAGAAACACGGGGCTGTTCTGGGAATGCGCCGGGGCCGGGCTTCTGGATGCCAGGATGACAAATGACCTTCCCACACTGGGGACAACACTGTGGGCTTCGAGGACAGGAGGAGAGCGCCATGAGGGACAGGCCTGCAGTGCCTGAGAAAGGTCAAGTGTCACCAGAAGCTTCCAGAAGCATTCTCCCTCCTGCAGCTGCTCTGCACACGTTTGGGGCCTGTGTCCCCATGAGTCCGGCACCTTGGTCATGACATGGTAAAGCGGGTCCAGGTATGGCAACCCACTCACACCATGCCTGCACTGCCTACCTGGTACAGCCGCAGCCTCTCGCCATCAGAGAAGTCCCAGGACACGGCCTTCTGTCCAGGAGAGAAGGGAGACGCTGCAAGACAAGAAGGAAACACGAGTGAGCTTCAGTCCTGTCCAGCGCAGAACTCAGGCCTGCTTCCCGCCAGGGCCCCTTCACATCCTGGAGGACAGACGGGCTCTGCAGTGCATTTCCACAGCAGGTGAGGATGGTGGTGGACGCTGCCACGCGGCCCCCAGGTCCCCTTCTGAAGCCAACTCTGGAGAGTGGCCAGCGGAAGGACCTTCACCGGGGGCCACCCAGAACTGTCTCACTGGAAAGAGCCCTTTTGAGGCCACATCAGCCCCCTTCCTGGGCCAGCCTGCACCCAATGACCAGGCCAGTGACTAGCGCGGGGTAACAAAGCCTGCCCCTCACCCTACTCCTGAATCAGGGTGACTCGGCAGTCTGGCCCAGGCCAGAGCTCCTGTGGAGAAAGCGACAGGCTGCATGGAGGCTGCATCCCAGCCTCACTGTCCTCTTCCCCTGCTGCTGTGCTCCCCAGCAAACCTAAACGTCCTGCCCAGTGGCCTCTGCATCACGTTCCGCTTCACAGGGAGCCCTGCCTGTGACAATAGCTTATTGTGCCTTTTCTCACCCCAACAATGAGTCTCCCATCACCTGCCATTACTTCTGCTGCAATGACTGGCATTGTGAGCGCAACAGAAGCATCTTATCAGCTGCGCCCTGAAGATGAACCCCAGACACACCGCAGCAGTGGGGTCTCCTCCTCAAGTCACACGGCGCTGACATCACTACAGAGCCGGCGCCTTTGAGAGCAGAACCAGCCAACATCAATGCGACAGACGGAACTGCAGGTGCCACCACGACGCCCTCCCCCTCAGGCTGACTTCCTCCACAGGAATAACAGAGTGGGCCCCGGGGCCTTCAGAGGAATCCAGGACCTCATCAGACTGTGAAAGAAGGAGTGGGAACTTCCTTCTGGACACCTTCCCTCAATCATGGCCACTCATCCTCTGCAGGAACCAGACAGCCCAGAACAGACCTCCATCCATGTAAATATTTAACATGCAATTAAAAGGAGCGTCACAATCACCCAAGAAGGAAAGAATCATTCCCTGTGATGCTAGGACAACTGGCTGGTGTTCAGAGCACAGATCCCCCCTCTCAGGGCTTCAACTCACACCCAAAGACAAAATGAATTCCAGATCAATAGAAGGGTGTGGAGGGGAAGAGGGAGGGAGGAAAGGAAACCGCCCAATAGGTAATAGAAAATCTGGTTGTATAGTTGATCTCTACGTAGACACGGACCTTCTAAGGGTACAAGCGATGTGCAAAATCACACAGGCAAAATGAAAAGAATCAATGAACGCTACGAAAAAGGCCGCAACAATGTGACAAAATATATGCACAAACACAAAAGATCTGAAACCAGAGAAGACAAAAACAAAGGGTGGGAAGAGACAGGCGGGACTGCAGGTGCCACCACAGCTCCAACACAGCCACCTGCACCCAAGCTGATTTTCTGGACAGGAATCACAAGGCGGCCCCATTCTCGGCAGAGAAGGCAGGACGCCGCCATCCGTCCATCCCTCTCCTTTGAAATGGGTCTACCATGTTGCTCAGAGCTCTTCAGAATGTCTCTCAAAGTACTCGTTCTCCAAAGAGTCATGTCAAGACAGAACAGTTGAAAATCTCATCATCTTAAAAGACATAAAAGGGCACTGAAAAAAACCTGGGGGAAGTGAAACTACGAATGAGGCTGGCTTCATGGTATATGTCCCTGCCTTTTTCAGACTTCCGCAACTTCTCCCATTTCCTCTACCGTGAGCGTGCATTTCCCATTTTTTCTTTCTGATTCTAAAAGCCACTGCACCAGCATCTCTGAGAACCTAGTGCCTCTTCTTTCCTTTGTACCCCAAGCCCCTATGCCGTGGTCAGGGTTCTCAGAATCTCCATCCTGAATTCTAGGCAGGCACCGGCACTGCTGGGCCCCTTCATCAGGCGGGTCCATCGCAAGCCGTCATAAAGGACAGATGGGAACAGCCTCAGTGGGTATCCGCCTCCAGTGGCTGCAGTTACTACTGGGCCAGTGAGGAAATGAGGCGGGGGGCGAGTCCAGTGACACAGAACGGATCACCCCAAGAGAACGTGTGGCCCGAACATCAGCTCTGACGGGGGCTTCGAGAAACCGACCCCCGGGGCTCATCTCAGCCTCCTCACTCTGCCGGGGGCACTTCCTGAGACAAGCCCAAGGCAGGGACAACAAGCCCCACCGGGCGCTCCCCAGAAGGACCCAGCTCCCTTCACAGGAACTCCCCAGCCTCCCAGGCTGTGGGCAAGGCCTACTCCAAAGCCTGCCAGGTGCTGCCCAGACCCAGAGCCCACATGGCAGGAACACATCCATCTCCAGGTGCTGCCCAGACCCAGAGCCACATGGCAGGAATGTGTCCATCTCCAGGGGCTCCAGACCCAGAGCCACGTGGCAGGAACGCGTCCATCTCCTGGTGCTGCCCAGACCCAGAGCCACACGGCAGGAACGTGTCCATCTCTAGGGGCTCCTGATGCAGAGCCACACGGCAGGAATGTGTCCATCTCCAGGTGCTGCCCAGACCCAGAGCCACATGGCAGGAATGCATCCATCTCCAGGTGCTGCCCAGACCCAGAGCCACGCAGCAGGAATGCGTCCATCTCCAGGGTCTCCAGACCCAGAGCCACGCAGCAGGAATGCGTCCATCTCCAGGGGCTCCAGACCCAGAGCCACACGGCAGGAATGCGTCCATCTCCAGGTGCTGCCCAGACCCAGAGACACGCAGCAGGAACGTGTCCATCTCCAGGGGCTCCAGACCTAGAGCCACACAGCAGGAATGCATCCATCTCCAGGGGCTCCAGACCCAGAGCTACATGGCAGGAACGCATCCATCTCCAGGGGCCCACAATGCCTTCCTCCTTGTGACACTCCTCCCCCAGCTCACTTCACTCCACTTGGTCATGGGGGCTACTGAGGCCATGGAGCTGCCTGGAGAGCCGCCCTCCAGCCACCCCGAAGAAAACGACCTGCATGTGGTCCAGGGCCTCAGCCTCGCCATCCTCGCTGCTGCCCAGCCCTCCCCAGGCTGCCCAGCTCCTGCCCCCCAAGGCACAAAATAAATCTTCGCTGGAAACTCCAGATGCCACCTCGCCCCAACTCCAAAAAGCTGCTGTGCTCCTTTCTCTATTTAAAGAGAGGCTGCGCTGACAACACCCTCCGTCACTGTGGCTTTCAGCACTGATTATTTTCACATTTTTGGATAAGGGCCCTGCAAGCCCTCTGGAGCTTTCCTTCTGGCAGGTTCTTTAGGCAGCGTCTTTACTTAACAGCCTTGTGGTCCTGAAGCTGAGCCCGGCAGGCTCCCTGGACAGGGGGATGATTGGGTAAACTCATACCTCATGCCTAAGTATGGGGGGACCCAGCTGCCCTGACAGGGGGCTCAGAGACGCCAGAACTGGACCCTGGGCAGGGACAGGTGCACATGTGGCACCACTAGCCCCTCAGTGCTGGAGTGGAGGGAGGAGAGAATCTGGCTTGTCATGTCCGGGAGGTCCCAGTGGATGGATTCAGTGGACAAGACCGCTGGCCCCTTTCCACTTCCCCAACTCCTGATCAACCTCTCCAGAGGCCCAAGGCCTCTGGACAAGGACCGCCTTGCTGAGAAGAGGGGGGTACGATCTTTCAGTCAAGCACTGTTCTCCTGTGGGCACCACCAGACACCAGTGTGGACCCGTCAGTCTTCAGGGGCCCCAAGAAAACCACACGGTTTAGCGTGGGTGGATGGAATTAGCAGAAAGTCTAGAGGATGCCTTATTCTCCAGTTGTTTCAAGAAACATCAGTGTTGTCATTAACCATGATTTGGGGCAAATCTCCAAAAACCACAATGCCAAGAAGACAAGATTCTGTTGTCTTCAGCAGCTCAAAACACAAGTGTCTTCTCCCACGGTGCAGAGAGAAGGGCAGTTATGTCACTCTGTCCATCTGAGTAGCTGTTTTAACAATGGTTGACAGTCTCAGCTGATGACAAATCTGCAGAGAGTTGATCCCACCTCAGAGGGTCTGGGAGGGTGAGTGGATAAATGATATGAGGCTCATGGTCCTCACCCTACCACATCCAAACAGGAAGCTATATTCACACACAGAGATGACCACTGTGTCCTAAATCCTCATTCCAGGACAGTCACCAAGACAGCTATTCACCCCATTTCCCAATGGTATAGATGGAATTGCATCCCCCCAAATTTGTATGCATCACCAGTACCTCAGAAAGTGACCTTATTTGGAGACAGAGTGTTCAAGGTGCAATCAAGCTAAAGTGAGATTACCAGGGTGGGCCCCAGTCCAATATGACCCAGTGACTTTATAAAAGGGGGGAGTTTCAACAGACATGCACACAGAGAGGGACAGGTGACAGGATGACTAAGATGGGGGGTGAGGCTTCTACAAGCCAACAGCTACCTGCAAACCCCCAGATGCTAAGGGAGAAAGGGCTGGAACTGATTCTCCCTCAGCCTCAGAAGGAACCAGCCCTGCTGACACTCATCTTGGACTTCCAGCCTCCTGACCTGTAAGACAATCCTTTTCCACTGTGCAAACCACCCAGCAGTTTGTGGTTCATTGACAACAGCCCCGTCAAAGTAATTCTCACGGCTCTGCCCATCTCAGAGGTTGCTGAGGGAGTGACAGATCTGAAAATGCTCCGTGAACTCTTCACCCAACTCAACCTACAGGCTGGCCTGTGCTGACCACACCAAGAGCTGGTCCACGCTGCAGAGCTGAGTCTTTCAGGGCCAGACCCGCATGAGTTCCCAGGGAATATGCAGGAACACACAAAACTAATTTTGTTCCAACAACTTCAGGTATGGGCCCAAAAGTCCAACCCACTTAGTTATGGGACACATTCTTGAAGGGTTGAGGTGAAGCAATGTTAGGCTGGTGTTGAGTAAACTGGAAAACGTGTAAGCCTATTTCTTAGATTTTTTAAGCCTCCACAGTGGACATCAATGGAGCCATCGGCCAGAAGAGCCTCTACAGCCTGCATCCCCGACAGCTGGATGACTGGGGTCGCTCCAGCCTCACCCACCACCATACATCAGAGCCAGTCAGTAGAACCAAACTACAAAGTAGAACTAAATACACGCTGAGTACCATTTATCCAAAATCCCTGGGACGAGAAGTGCTTTGGATTTCAGATTTTGGAACATCTGCACATACACAATGAGATATCTTGCAGATGGGACCCCAGTCTAAACACTAAATTCATTTATGTTTCATCCGTACCTTATACACATAGTCCAAAGGTGATTTTATACAACATTTTACATAATTTTGTTCTGGAGTTTTGACTGCAACCTGTCATGTGAGATTAGGTGAGAAATTTTCCACTTGTGGCATCACGTTGGTGCTGAAAAAGTTTCAGAGTTTGCAGCATTTTGGATTTCAAATTTTTGGATGAGGGGTGTTCACCCTGAAAATTCTTGTCCAACCCAGAGGCAAACTACAGCCCGCGGGCCAAATCCAACCTGGCCACCTATCTTTGTATGGCCCATGAACAAAGAACGTCTTTCTATTTTTAAACAGTTGGGGGGAAAATAAAAAGAGTAATATTTCACGACGTGAAAATGATAAGAAATTTAAGTCGCAGTGTCCTTACCTAAGTTGCACAGAGCCCAGCCCCACCAGTTTATCAATAGCTCTTCTGTGCAACCAAAACAGTGGAGCTGTGACACAGACCTTATGGCCCACAAGGTGGAAAATAGTTACTCTCTGGCTTTTTACAGAGAAAAGTGTGCCAAGCCCTGTTCTCTACCCTTCCTACTTACGCAGTGGGCAAAGGGCCAGGCGGGATGTAGGCTCAGGCCAAACGGAAGTGGGCATTCACCCGGGTACATGGCTGCATGCCAGGAGTGTTTGCCAAGAGACCAGCTAGGGTAGGAGATGGCAAGAGGGAAGGAAAGAAAAGCAGACGTAGGTGTGGTCAGAAAGGGAGACGGGAACGGGCCCAACATCCATTTCAAGGTTTCTTTCTAGAGCTGGCTCCAACCTCAAAAAGAGGGGAGGCATCTCTGGCCCCGCTCTGGCAGCACAGTGACGCCATCCTCCTACAGCTTCGGGTTCGCACAATCAGTCCTCATGCACGGCACGTCCAAGACTACACAGAGACTTCATGGCCTGGCCATGGACCCAACCCCAGGTTTTTCATTCTCTATGAGGGCAGATCATTCCACTCCGAGACAACCAATTTACAGAACTGAGAAAGCGACACTCTGATAGATGGACAAAAGCCTTTCTACTTCATGCTATCAAAATCAACACTATTAAAACTTACACACTGACAACGTATTTGGGCAACAGATGGATGAAGCAGCCAAGTGAGAGGGCCTGAAATCTCACCTGATGGATGTTACATTTTCTTATGCAGAACACAGAACTGCTTCACTTACCCTTCCTGTAATTACATAAAATTTCCAATTTTACAGAGAATGTGATACGGAATGGGATATAACCTTCCTCTCTCCTGTGTTAAACCTAGAATGAATACTAAGCATAAAAATGGAGGAGGGGCGTTGAGACAACCACCCACCCAGCACCCGCAACGGCTTTGTTCACCTGTTCATGCGTCCCCCCTACACACCGTGAGCTCCTCCTGGCACCCGCGCAGCACCGAGTGGCTGCCTTCTCTGAACGCCCTCCCTCCCTGGCAGGGCGGTGGAGGAGGCGGAGGCCCCCTGCCTTTGAGTGTGAAGACGGGAGGACAATGAGACACAGGGCCCACTACACCTGTGTGGCCGGAAGACTACTTTCTCATTCCCCTTTGGGCTCTGCTCCCCTGGCTGGAGCTGGGGTCCTTGTTGTGGAAATTTTACATATTTAATTACTACATAAACTGATGGCCAGGGGTGAGACAAGGGCAGCTCCCTTGGCAATTCAAGTGAAATGTTTCAGAAAGACTCGCTAAAGGTGAATCACTTAAAAACGTGGCTGGCGGGCCGGGTGTGGTGGCTCACGCCTGTAATCCCAGCACTTTGGGAGGCCAAGGTGGGCAGATCATGAGGTCAGGAGATCAAGACTATCCTGGCTAACACGGTGAAACCCTGTCTCTACTAAAAATACAAAAAATTAGCCAGGCGTGGTGGTGGGCGCCCATAGTCCCAGCTACTTGGGAGGCTGAGGCAGGAGAATTGCTTGAACCCGGGAGGCGAAGGATGCAGTGAGGCGGGATTACACCACCGCACTCCAGCCTGGGCGACAGAGTGAGACTCTGACTCAAAGAAAAAAAAATGTGGCTGGCAAGCTAAATGACATTAAACACCTGAGGAAAATGCAGTCAACTCTAGGAGAACTCTGGGCATGGATGGCTTCACCAGTGTCCCTGTGTCATGGCGCCATCTTGGACTGGAAATCAATGATGTCATCATGCATGTGGGTTACACAGGAGACACCATGGCCAAACCCACACTCAGAAAAGACCTGCACCCAACAGAAAGACTGGAAGACCCATGCACACTCGGCTTTTCCTTGTATTTTTAATGATTCTTCTAGACTTTGACTTTTTCAACTCACTGCCCAATCACTTCTGGAGCCTCACAAGATCTAGTTCATCATTCTGGACTCTACTGTGGCTGTGGGGGGTGAAGGTTTTAATCCAAGGTTTCGAAAATCACCACCTAAAAGCAAGCCAAGGAGAGTGTCTCAAGGAAGGCGTCCTAGGCTTTGATTCTGACCTCGGAACTCTCTCGCATGAATAAGTGGGGGGACACCATGAGCCGCCCATGTTGGGGGGAGGCGGCCTGGGGAATGAAGGGTCTGGAGATTGTCATAAGTCAAACATGTGGGTTCACGTTTCTCACACCAGCTCCACGACCTTTGCTAAATGACTCATCTTTCCTGGGCCTCGTTTTCCTCAACTGTAACATGGGGCTCTAACGTACATCAAGTTCATGTGGGTTTCTCTTGCTTTAATTTTTCTTCCAGCCTGTAGACCATGTTGAGGGCAGGGACCCTGTCTTTTTTTTTTTTCTTTGAAATATACCAGACACTGAGTGCCAAATACATAGTAGAAATTGCATACAACACCCGTGAAATTCTGTGACTAAGGCAGTAGTTCTCAAACGCCAGCATTCACTGGAATTACCTGGAGGGCTGATTACAACACAGGTTGCTGGGCCCAACAACGCTCAGTTTCTGATTCTGTAGGTCTGGGGTGGGCCTGAGAATGTGCATTTCTAACATGCTCCCAGCTGATGTTGATGCTGCCTCTGAAAACCATTAGCAGGCCGGGCGGGGTGGCTCATGCCTGTAATCCAAGCAATTTGG
Organism: Homo sapiens; assembly: GCF_000001405.40. Classification (NCBI taxonomy): domain Eukaryota; kingdom Metazoa; phylum Chordata; class Mammalia; order Primates; family Hominidae; genus Homo; species Homo sapiens. Next base: position 234,987,029 of record NC_000002.12, on the reverse strand, counting down.
GAGGCCAAGACGGGTGGATCCCTTGAGGTCAGGAGTTAGAGACCAGCCTGACCAACATGGTGAAACCTCATCTCTACTAAATACAAAAAATTAGCCGGGCATGGAGGCACATGCCTGTAATCCCAGCTACTTGGGGGGCTGAGGTTGCAGCAAGCCAAGATTGAGCCATTGCACTCCAGCCTGGACAACAAGAGTGAAACTTCATCAAAAAAAAAAAAAATAAAATCATTAGCATAATGTATCCTAGTTGATAACATACTTTCCCATCTGGCCTCTCGGTCGCTTTTCACAACCCTATGAGGTAGGCCAGACAGGTATCATCATGCCATCATTTAGCAGATAAGAGAACTGAGGCTGACCAGGTTTCAAAGACTCACCCGAGATCAGGAAGTGAAAAGCTGGGATCCTAACCCAAAGCCACCAGCCATGATATGCAGAGTAACGACAAACACAAACAGAACAATCCCAAGACCACACAGGCTGCAGTAAGACAGGACGTGGACAAGTGAGGGTGTAAGATTCCAGACCAGGCTCCAATCCTGCATTTCCTTTTCCCATGGCAGGTTATAAAATCACAAGTCTTTGAAAGTAGAAGTTAACATTCCTGCCTGAATCAGACTACGAATGTTTGTGACGGAGTCTTGAAAGAGTTTTGTCCCCCTAATAAACCTTTAGGAGGCTGAAAATATCTGGGAAACATCAGTATGTTGAAGACTTGGACCTTATTTAAATATGGACTCAAATCCTGGCTCTGCCACTAAATGCTGGGACCACAGTTAAGTCTTATCCTTCCTCCTCAACTCAGGGTAGGGAGGGAATGACTGGGCCTCCTCATGAATAAGAGAGATAACGCCTGCACCATGGTCTCTGTGCTCATAGGTGTGAGTGGAGGGCTGGTTCACCTGCACATGGACCCTGAGCTCATAGGTTTGTGTCAAGGGCTGGTTCACCTGCACATGGACCCTGAGCTCATAGGTGTATATCAAGGGCTGGTACACCTGCACGTGGACCCTATTCTCGTAGATGAGTGTCAGAGGCTGGTTCACCTGCACTGTGGTCTCTGCGCTCATAGATGTATATCAAGGGCTGGTTCACCTGCACATGGTCCCTGTTCTCGTAGGTGTGTGTCGAGGGCTGGTTCACCTGCACATGGACCCTGAGCTCATAGGCGTGTATCCAGGGCTGGTTCACCTGCATCATGCTCCTTGAGCTCGTAGGCGTGTGTCACAGGCTGGTTCACCTGCACCGTGCTCCTTGAGCTCGTAGGCGTGTGTCACAGGCTGGTTCACCTGCGCACAGTCCCTGAGCTCATAGGTGTGCATCGAGGGCTGCTTCACCCGAACATACATCAAGGGAGGATGCTACAAACAGACAGTCAAAACACCTGTGCGCAGAGGGTCAAAAATATCTGTGCGCAGAGGGTCAAAAATACCTGTGCGCGGAGAGTCAAAATGCCTGCACACAGAAGGTCAAAAACACCTGTGCACAGAGAGTGAAAAACGACTGTGTGCATTGGGTCTAAAATGCTTATGCACAAGTGTCAAAAACAGCTGTGCACAGAGGGTCAAAAATGCTTGTGCACAAGAGTCAAAAATGTGTATGCAGGTGAGATGCGTTTTCCCACTTCATTCCCCTTCATTCACGCACACTTTTGACTTTCTCCCATATTCTTCTAAACAGCTTCCGCCACAATGACTGTCTGTGAAGTCATTAAGGCAGATGTTGGCAGGTGACTCAAATCTTGGTGGATGGAGCTAAACTATGTGCCTTTCTTATGACTCCCAGGGGACAGCCACAAAGTGAGGACTTCGTGGAAGTGAAGGCCAGCTATAGTAGATCTTTGTACACTCACTACTCTGTTGCTGCGCTGTCAAGATATTCTCCAAATAGGGGGTGTGATCTGCAGGTGCTCCGCTATCCCAGCACACCACAGCCCCAAGCCCGGGTCAGCCTGCAGGATGGAGGATGCGCTGCAGACATATAGCCCCCAGGGCTGCCCTGGGGTCGACGCCCCCGCCTCCTGGCCTCCAGAAAGACAATTCTAGGGCATAGTCTCATGGCTCCTCAAATGCGTCTCCAGCATGATGGAGCCCTAATAGTTGGTTAACAGTGGCCACTAGCTCAGTAGCTGACCCCCGATTAGCTTTTCCTCTTCCCTCTTCTCACCCTCTTCTATTTGGATGGACTGCTGGGACCAGTCATCTCCCCGAAAACATCAGCACCCAAGTCCTTGTCTCAGGCTCTGCTTTCAGGGGTTGTAAACCAGGACAGATGGTAAATGGTGCTAGACCACTGGGTTTTCTGTCCACGACACAGGCACTCAGCTGAGTGATGTAACTGAGGACTCGGTCGGTTCTGGTCCTGAGCACTCAGTCGGTTCTGGTCAAAGCCAGTGGGCTGTTACGGATTGTTAGAAATTCCCAATTTAGAAAGCCAAGCAAATATTTTCTTCTGTTAATAAGATACACTTATACTCAGCAAAGGGGATTGATTCCTCATCTGACATTTTTACACTGAAAAGGACAGGGCTTAGTGGCTCATGCCTGTAATTTCTACACCTTGGACAGCCAAAGCAGGGGGATTGCTTGAGCCCAGGAGTTTGAGACCAGCCCGGGCAATACAGCAAGACTTCGTCTCTACAAAAAGTTAAAAAAAAAAAAATTAGCCAGGCATGGTGATGTGTGCCTGCAGTCCCAGCTACTCAGGAGGCTGGGGTGGGAGGATCACTTGAGCCCAGAGGTCGAGGTTGCAGTGAGCCATGATTGCACCACTGCACTCCAGCCTGGAGACAGAATGAGACCCTGCCCCGCACCAAACAAACAAACAAACGAAAACTCATACACGTGTATATGCCCTGTGGGTCACTTCCAGGCTGAGGACAACTGCCAGAGCAGGGATTCCTGACCCTTAGCTAGGCCTGGATCCTGGTTCAGGCTCTGTGGCCCCAGCCCACGTGTCAGCAGGGAAGCCCAGCCCCAACCTCAGATGGCTCTGCTCAAACGTAACTCCCTCAAAGCCGCAGAACCCTGCGTGACTTTCCTATCGATGTTGTAACAAACTACCACAAACTTAGTGGCTTAAAACACACATTGACTCTCCAACAGTTCTGGAGGCTGGAAATCTGAAACCAGGCCCACTGGGCTGACGACAGGGCCAGTGCCTTCTGGAGGCTCCGAGGGGGTGAGCTGCTTCTGTGGCCCTGCCCTTTCCTGCATCCCGTGGCTGCCTGGATTCCTGGCTCAGGGCCCCTCCACCATCTTCAAAGCTCGGGACTCCAGTCTCTGCTCCCACCATTCCAGGGCCTCCTGCTGTGGTAAGATCTCCATTTCCCTCTTAAAAGACCCGTGATAACATTTAGGGTCCATCTGGGTAATCCAGGGTATCTCACCATCTCAAGAGCCTTCAATGAATCACACCTGCAAAGTCCCTTTTGCCAAATAAGGTAACACCTACAGGTTCTGAGCATTAGGATAGAAATATGTTTTTTGTGGAAGGGATTACTCAGCCGACCACACCGTATCAAAAACACAAGCACACCATTGCTGCCCACTCCCTCCCCTGGTCTCGTCCACCGCTCTTGACATTCTTGTATCTGTCATTTACTTCTCTCCTTTTTCTCCCACCAGAACAGGCTCCATGAATGCAAGGACTTTGTCCTGTTCACCAGGAACAACCTGGAACATAGCAGGTGCAGTCAGCCAATGTTTGAATGGATGGATGATTTATAGAGTACCCATATGCCAATGCAGGTGGACAGACGGGAACTCAGAGCTTCTCAAGCACAAATCTGGGGACAAAAACAAGAAGCACCTTGAACGGGCTGTGTGGAGTGCCCTGGGTAATTGGCACCCGGGTGTTTCGCAAGTTGGCCTGTATGGCCTGCGGGCAGGAACCCACCTGTCCTGCTCACTTCTGTATCCCCACCCAGCCCCTAGGCCTGCACTAGTGCTCAGCAGCAGCTGCATCAATAGCACCTGCTGCCTGAACAGAAAAGGAAGCTTCCCAAGCACCTGTAATCGGCAGTTTGGTCTCAGGTCCACCGATCCACCACCTCCCCGCTGGTCTCAGCTGCATCTCTCCACCAAATTTACAGCCCCACTGCCTCATCATCATTGTATTATCCCCGGCTCAAGAGCACAGGGTGCCTGCTCCTTCCTGCCTCTTCCTCCCTTGGAGCCAGGCTTCCCTGCCCCATTTCGGGGTTCTCTGCAGTTTGCCCTACCCCACGTGGACAGACTCCATGGCATCCACTGGTCACTCCAGCCAGGTCAGCGGCCCCACCCTCAAACTCCCCTATACATATCCCACCTCCTCCCATTTGCCCACTGCCCCTGTGACTAGGGAATGCCTCCTTGGTCCCCTCCCTGCCTGTGCAAAAACTGCCTCTCCCTCAAGCCCCACACTGAGGCTTCCCCGCAGCCTGTGTTCCCAGGTCTCGGGGATAGCCCACCTGCCACCCAGACTCTCAGCCCCACAGCACTTCCTCCCTGTGCGTGAGTTTCTGACCATCTTTTTTTGCTCCCCAGGGAAGAAGATGGTTTAATTTCTCCTGTGCCCTCCAGCTGCTGGGCTTTGAGACCTATAGACTAACAGTTCCATTTACGAGCTGCACACTACTGGACAGGCTGGTAACCCTCCGGCCTCTCCATTCCGCCTCCATAAAGTGGGCACACGACCCCAGCCCAGCACCAGCAGGCGGAGGGCACCAACACAGAAGTGGACAAAACCCTGCAAAGCCACAGGTGTGCCCACTGGTGCCAATAGCCCACCTGGTGCCAGCGATGCCCCGCTCAGCTGGGAGAGGCCCAGGCACCACCAGAGACCAGGACAGAGCGGGCTTCAAAGTGTAGCTGGGCCGGGAGAGGTCTCTAGACAAAACCCAGAACAGCCGGTTACATCGAATTTTCAGGTGCACAACTAATAATGTTTTAGTGTACATTACCCCGGATATTCAAATGGACCCGGGTATTCTGCATTTGTATTTGCTCAACCTGGACCCCACTGCCTGTGCCAGTCAGAGGGAGTTTCCCAAAAAGCCCAGCCTCAGGAGGCGACATCAGAGGTGGCCACCCAGGAAGGAGGCGGGGACGGGAAAATGGCAGCCGAGCTTACAAAGAGATGCGCTCCACGATATTTGCTTCCCACTAAAGAGCTGTTTTCTAGAATAAATAAAATAATCTTCTTGCTAACTATCAACAAGGGATTGTTTCGGTAATATTTTTCCACTCCGGTATGATTCTGCAACAACTCGGAAAACAAAGCAGTCACTCCCACAACAAAGATCCCTGTGGAAACCGCTCACCTCCATCCCGAAAGTCAGTCGTGACTTCACCTCACATTCCGCCAGAAACCGACTGCAGATTGTTACCAAAGAATCCTTGTGCAAACAAACACCAGCCAACTGCGACTGAATGGCAGGAAATGTAGCAGCTTTTTCTAATTTTAACTTTCTCCAGGAATGCATTCCTTCTAAACACGCTGGGCAAATTCTCCCCAGACCCGTGCATTCCTCTGCGGTCAAGCAATCACCTTCAGGGGCCTAAGACAAACTGCAGATTCCAAGTGTGCACTGGCCTGGCTGTGAGGGGTCCCCGAGCTCCAGGTCCCGTGCTGACTCACTGAACGAGGCTCTCCAAAGTGACTAAGAGGTTGGAATGAGCTATCTGAACAGGAAAGCACTCCCAGACTAGAGGGGGAGCCACAGACGGGAACAGAGCCCAGCAGTCTCCACCTCAGGAAGGCAGCATCAAGCAAGAGCGATAAACAGGGGCCGAGTCCACAGGCACCAGTCCATGACCCAAAGACCAGGACACACAGGCCAGGACTAGGAATGCCGCAAAAGTGTAATTCTGCAAATTATCCTCCCGGGACAGAAAAATTCAGAATTGTGCCTGATTTGATTTTAAAAGCCCATGAGGGCAAGGGACAAACCGGGATGCAGTGTCTGCAATGCTCGTAACTAAGAGAGGCTTATTTTCCAGAAAATTCAAAGCACTCCTACAATTAGCCAGGCATGGTGGCACAAGGCTGTAATCCCAGCTACCCAGGAGGCGGAGGTTGCAGTGGGCAGAGCTTGTGCGCCACTGCACTCCAGCCTGGGCGACACAGTGAGACCCTGTCTCAAAAAAACAAAAACGAAAAGCACTCCTACAATTCAGTAAGAAAAACGGGCAAAAACCACAAAAAGGATTTCCGCATGGGAGGAAATCAGAATGGTCAGTGAACATTAGCTTCTGGCAGAACATAAAAACACTCAGATACCATCTCACACCCATCAGACCATCCCCCCAAGTGAAAAAAAGGCGGACAATATTGAGGGAGGGGAGCATGCGGAGGAGCCTGGGCGAACCTGAAGGCTGCTGTGGGAAGTGGAGCTGGACTGGCAGCCAAGGCCCAGCCGCACTCCCTAGATAAACATTTGCACGCTGAGCTGGAAGTCATGTACAAAGACCTTCACAGCAAGTGTGGTTTTTGATAGCAAAGGCTGTAAACAACCTATTGTCCTTTAGGAGCAGAAAGAATAATTAAGCTAAGGCATTAACATACAGCAGTCCCCCCTCACCCCAAGTTTCCATGGTTTCAGTTACCCCTGGCCAACTGTGGTCCCAAAACAGGTGCTACAGTACAATAAGATATTCTGGCAGGGAGAAAACACATTCACACAACTTTTATTACAATATAGTGCTATAATTGTTCTATTTTATTATTCATTATTGTTCATCTCTCAGTGTGCCTAATTTACAAACTAAACTTTCTCATAGGCATGTATACATAGGAAAAAATAAATAGTACATACAGGGTTTGGTACTATCTGAAGTTTCAGGCACCTTCTGGGGGCCCTGTATCCCCTGCAGATAAGGGGGGGACTACTTACAGGGGAAAGGCACATAGTAATGAAAACAGATGAACTACAACTACAGGTATCAACACAGATGAACCTCAAGAACATAATGCTCAGCCAAAAAACGAACTCTTGCAAGACTATGTATTAGCTACCTAATGCTGTGTAACAAATCGCCCCAAACAACAGACTTCTATTATCACACAGTTTCTGTAGGTTAGGAATCCAGATGTGGCTTAACTGGTAAAGAAGAGACTCTCTTCTTCAGGGCCTCTCACAGAGCTGCCATCAAAGTCTTGGCCCAGGCTGGGGTGTCATCTCAAGGCTAGACTGGGGAGGGGTCCTCCAGGGTCATCTGGGGGAGGGGTCCTCCAGGGTCATCTGCTTGTTGTAGCATCCAGTTACTTGTGGCCATGGGACTGAGGCTTCAACTGCATGCTGGCTGCCGGGGGAGGCCACCCTCAGTTCCTTGCCACATGGCCTCTCTATATGGCAGCCTGCTCCACCACAGCCAGCAGGGGAGACCATCTGTTGTCAAGGAAGAAGTTCTAAGCCCACATAATGTAATCACGGGAGGAAGGCACAGCATCAACTTGGATGCATCCTACTGGTTAGAAGCAAGTTGCTAGCTCGGCTCACGCCAAAGGGAGGGGACTTCACAGGATGTGAACACCAGGAGGTGTGGATCACTGAAGGCCATCTCAGAGTCTGCCAGCCACAAAAGATACTGCATGATTCCATGTACATAAAAGTTAAAAACAAAAACAAACGATGTTGCTTAGAAACACAACCCCATGTGATAAAACTAAAAAACAGCAGAGAATGACAACTGCGAAATTCAGGACAGGGACTCCCTCAAATGCTTCAGGTTTATCTGATAAACACATTTTTGCAGGAAGGGGAGAGGATCGGGAGCTGGAAGCTGGGATTGGGAGGGGCAAAGGGAATTTCAAAGTTAAGTTCCATTTCTTGGCCTGAGTAGTGGCTACACAAGTGTTCATTGTTTTTGTGATTGTGTAAACATTCCCAAATATTTTCAAATATTACCTGTATCTACTCAAAGTTCAGGGACCACATGGCTTGCTCCCTTAGCACCCCACAGAACAGTGAGGACAGGGGCTCTGCACCCTGTGAAACCTCAAGAAATGCAGCAGATGCCTCCCTGGCATCCCCGCCTCCACCTTGCCCTGCAAAGAAACGCACCAGCTCTGACCGAGAAGCATGTCCGGCACCCAGAAATCCTGCTGTCTCTCCTCGCCAAACCAAATGCAAAAGCCTCCAGCCTGACCTGGAGGTAGAGCCGTTCCTCCAGAGGTTCAGCATGTTCCTCCACGCAGCGGCATGACTCTCGGATCTCACCAGCCTCTTGCCCTTCAGTTTCAAATGCAGGCCACGGACGCTGCACGACTCGGTCTCTCTCCACAGGGCCAGGGCTCCCCTCCAGGACCTCGAAGCACCCTACTGTTGGGGTGCTTGTCTCTGTTTCAGTTGTCCCTCTTAAGGTAACTGAAAACAACCACGGATTTGCTGGAAGTTGGGAGTCGCCCAGAACCACATCCTGTTTGGCTCTGGCACTGATTCAATCATGCCAATGTCACCCGGACAAAAGAACTTTCTACACAGGCTTAAGAAAGAGACGCGGCACCTGCAGCAGGAAAGGAGCCCAGCCGGAGAGTTCACCGCACCAGTCAGCGAGCACAGAGTGCTGGACGGATGACCAGTGGGGCCTTGGGGCAGTGTGGGGCGCAGGAAAAGAGTACCTGGTCCCGCAGTGACTGCAGTGAGGAGGACCCTGCATTTTTACCCACCCTCCTCACCTGGCACCACTGCTGTACAGGCTGTCAGGTACTTGTTGAATGAATGAATGAATGGATGAATTAATGAATGAAGCTCTTCTCCAGGTGCAGTGAGGAAATGCCAAAATAGAAACAGACTGCCAGCATGGTGGCTCACGCCTGTAATCCCAGCACTTTGGGAGGCTGAGGCAGGCGGATCACCTGAGGTCGGGAGTTCGATTCCAGCCTGGCCAACATGGTGAAACCCCTTCTCTACTAAAAAATACAAAAATTAGCCGGCATGGTGGCGCATGCCTGTAATCCCAGCTACTCGGGAGGCTGAGGCAGGAGAATTGCTTAAACCCAGGAGGCAGAGGTTGCAGTGAGCAGAGATGGCGCCACTGCACTCCAGCCTGGCCAACAAGAGCCAAACTCTGTCTCAAAAAAAGTAAAAAATAAAATAAAATAGAAACAGACCATCCAAGTGGGACAGACTGGCCACTAGCAGCTGCAGGACACAACCTCGGTGACACCCTTCTTGCTTAAGACTAGAAACTCAAGTGCAGGGTCTCAGGGTCTGCGTGTGTGTGCACGCATGTGTGTGTGTGCCCATGTGTGTGCATATGCGTGTGCGTGTCTTTCCCAGCGCAGGGCTCACTCTGTGCACTAACTGCATAAGCAAAAAAAAATCATCTACGGAGCAGGTGCCTCGGTGTGGCTGTGAATATTCATACTTGAACCAGCCCTCTTTGGGGGAGAGACACTCTCATCCTGTTTTCCATCCACTCACCCCTAAGTCGCTAATGGGATTAGTGGGGGCTGGCACCACGGCCACAGGTCCAACACCTGCCAGTCGCCCCAGAGCTGGGTGCTCTGGGCTCTGAGTTTCAGAGCAGTTTAATAATGCACCATTGTCCCTGCAGCTCTGCTCCGGTTCTCAAGTTCACTCGGCAAAAAGCTGATCTGCCTCCGTGTTTAGAAGCTCCTCACTGGCCAGGAGGGTGGCTCACCTCTACACGTCTGGGCTGGAGAGAACAAAGGATGTGCTGTTGGGAAAAGAGATGGGCCTCGGCCCAACTGGGAGGCCTGGGCCCAGCTGCCATGGCGCACCAAGCGAGGGTCTGTAGGAAAGGGAAGTTCCCGGCCAGGAAATGGGGACCCTGAGCTTCTCCCCGGCAGGAGGTGCCCAGTGTCACCTGCCTGAAGCAGACACGGGTGCAGAGGGTCAGGCCTGGAACCCCAGCCTCCAACCAGCCTTCCTAACCACTCTTACCTATTTTCTTAAATAAGCTTTTTCTTTTAGGATAGATTTAAATTCATAGAAAAGTCGTGGAGATAATACAGAGAATTCCCACAGGCCTCCCGCCACCCGGCTTCCCTGTGAGTGTCTTACAGGAGGACGGCACCTTTGTCACAATGGATGTCGGTGCACTATCATCAAACAATAAAGCCTGTCCTTCATCCGGGTCTCCTATGTTTGTCCCTGAGGTCCTTTTTTTCTGTTCCAGGATCCCATCCAGATCACCACATGACATTAGGTGTCGTGTCTCTTTAAGCTCCTCTTGGCTAGGGCATCTCCCCAGACATTGTGTGTTTTGGGTGACCTTGACAGTAGAGGAGGCCTGGTTAGGTATTCTGTAAGACGCCCCTCGGCTGGGGGTTTTTCTCCCAGTTAGACTGGGTTGTGTGTTACTGAGAGGAAGACCAGAGGCAGGTGTCCTTCTTGCCACACAATGCCATCAGCGTGACTTATCCCTGCCATGGTGACCTTGGTCACCTGCCCAGCCCCTCTTAACCCCTTCCGCAGGCCCCTGCTTGCTCTGCTCAGAGATGCCCCTATGTCCGCTACCAGAGGCGGGTAAACATCGGCTTCTGTATTTATCATGAAACAAGAAGCCCCGGGCCGAGAGACGGTAGCCCTGCTTAACTGCAGGCAGCCACCCACAAAATGCAAGAGAGACCTTAACCTGGTACACACCGGCCCTGTCACCCCCTAAGGATCTAACTTAACTACTCAGAACTATCAGTTGACTATAAGGTCAACACAAGTTTAAAATCTAAGTGACTGAATGAATAAATAAATAAAGGTGACAGCCTGGCCTGCATTTATAAAAAGGCAATTTTTAGGAGAAGGGCCCAGATACCACCTGTCCTGCCCAAGCCCTTCAAACCTGGCCAGGTGGGCTGCTGCTGGGGTAACCCGGGCCACCCCGCAGGAGCCGCTCTTCATGGGTAGATGGGGAATCCGCAGGAGTCCTCCACAGGGGTCACTAGATGAAAGCCAGGGCCCCTGTCCCTAGAAGATACAACCACACACATCATCCCTGGTGCCAAACTCGGCACAGACTCCCGTGTTCTGGGGTCCTCGTTCAATTTGGAGAGCTCAGTTTCTATGGGGCTGACGAGACAGGAAACTGAGGCTGGAGAAAAGAAATAGCTTCTTTTAGGCAGAGAAGTGGGGAAGCCACTAGAGGTTAGAGAGAAGCTAAGGTTGAATGTTCCTGGTCAAACTACTTTTATTTATTTTTTATTTTTTTTGAGAGAGGGTCTTGCTCTGTTGCCCAGGCTGGAGTACAATGGCATGACTGCAGCTCACTGCAGCCTCAATCTCCTGGGCTCAGGTGATCTTCACACCTCAGCCTCCCGGGTAGCTGAGTCTACAGGCATGCACCACCATGCCCAGCTAATTTTCATGTTTTTTGCAGAGATGGGGTTTCACCATGTTGCTCAGGCTGGATTTGAACTCCTGGACTCAAGGAATCCTCCTGTTTCAGTCTCCTGAAGTGTTGGGATTACAGACATGAACCACGGCGCCCAGCCTCAAACAACTTTCATTCAATTTTTGACCCTCAAAGCTTGAGCGAACTGCTCGGTGCCTCAGTTTCCCCATATATGAAATGAAGCCACTTACAGTGCTTGTCTTGCAGGTAGGATTCTAGAATTAGGCCCGATCCTGAGGTTAAAGCCACATTAGACGATGGGACTCAGATGCTGGAGGTAAGGGACACTGTGCTTAGGTGCAGACAGAGTTCTGGGCTCCAGTCTGGCCGCCGTGACCTCAGCAAGTGCCTGCACCTCGCCAGGCCTGGCTTCCCCACGAGTGATAGGGAGAACAGCAGCAGCTCCAGCCATAGCACCCTGCACCCTCAGTGACACGTCTGTCGTCCTGCAACTGCTGCTGTCCCCGATGTTACTGCCATTTCCTGGAGGCAAGAAACCAATTCCCTGTGGGATAACAATGCAACCAACCACAAAATGCCTGTCTCCCCAGGAGCTCTCCAACAACTGTCTCACCAGAAATACTCAATCCCGGCACCAAACGAACCCAGAGAAATACATCGCAAGCCAACCTTCCCCTGTCCAGTTCCTGAAACTCCGAGAATTGCAAGGCAGCTGCCTGCCGCCCGAGCTTGGCCTGCTCCGAGGGACGGGACTGAGACGTGTGCTGGGCATGCTTCCCACATGCCTCTAATCAGGCTAAGTTTTATTATGATCCCCATCACAAATCGCCACGTAACGGGGCAGGCAGGGCGTGCCAGGGTGAAACGCGACCTGCAGCACCCCCAGTGTGGGCACACTGACTGGCTCAGATTCCTTCCCCTCCCCTCACCCTTGTCCAGAAAGCACCCCAACACCAGCCAGGGAACAAAGAGGAGGCAGACAGGAGCCAGAGAAGCTGGCAAGGAACCCCTCGATTTTTCGGAACTAAGAGAGCTTGTGAACGCCCTGGGCCGCGGGCTGCATGAAGCCCTTGTTAGTGTAAAATGAGACCAGGGAACGGGGGCCCTGAGCACCAGAAGGCCCGCGCCAGCCTAACACTAAGGCAAGAAACTGAAGGGCTAAACACAGAAGCTTTTTCTGGGCTTCCAAGTGGACTCAGCACATCCTGTGGTGGGATGCAGGATACTCCTGTTAGCTCCAGGGCTGCCTGTCCACAGAGCAACTCATCCTGCCCATTTCACCAACGTAGCATTTTATGGAGCAGTGAAATGGGCTGGAACTCATGACCTTCACAAATCTCTCTTTCTCTTTTATTTATTTATTTTTTTTTAGACAGAGTTTCGCTCTTTGCCCAGGCTGGAGTGCAATAGTGCGATCTTGGCTCACTGCAACCCCAGCCTCCCGGGTTCAAGTGATTCTCCTGCTTCAGCCTCCTGAGTAGTTGGGATTACAGGTGTGCGCCACCATGCCCGGCTAATTTTGTATTTTTATTAGAGATGGGGCTTCACCACGTTGGCCAGGCTGGTCTCGAACTCCTGACCTCAGGTGATCCACCTGCCTCGGCCTCCCAAAGTGCTGGGATTACAGGGGTGAGCCACTGCGCCAGGTCCTTCACAAATCGCTAAATGAGTTTTCCCAGAGCCAGTGAGGAGCTGCTGAGTTCTGAAAGCCTCCCCTGTTGACTTACTAGACCCGGAGCACTTGGAGACTGGCTCATGTTGGCAGTGCAGCCTCACAGCCCCCCAAAAATCCAGGCTTGGCCAGGTGCAGTGGCTCACATCTATAGTCCCAGCACTTTGGGAAGCTGAGGCAGGAGGATCCCTTGACCCCAGGAGTTTGAGACTAGCCTGGGCAACATAGGGAAACTCTCTACAAAAACAGTTGTAAAACTTAGCTGGGTGTGGTAGCACACGCCTGTGGGCCCAGCTACTCAGGAGGCTGAGGCAGGAGGATCCCTTGAGCCCAGAAGTCACTCATCCTTGTGCCCTCCACTCCAGCCTGGGCAACAGAGCAAGACGGTGCCTAAAAAAAAAAAAAAATCCAGGCTTTACACAGAAGGGCTTCTGGGAGCCTACAGCTGAATTAAGTGAGAAAGGGCAGGTACTGTCTGTTCAGGGGGGTACGTATTGCATACGACTGCCTCAGAAAGTCAAATTGCTTTGGGACTGGTGCCTCCTGCATAAGAGGTGGTCAACAAATCCTCGATGACTTGATTTCAGGACAGAGCACTGGAATGACTTCTGCAAAGTGAGGCTGTACATACTGCTTAGAAATGCTGCAAAGATGCCAATCTTAGCAAGGAAGATTGGAAGGGAAATGTTAAAACCGGGAGGGCACAGGGGTAGGTGAACCACTGTGTTCCATCAGCGAGGGGTCACGAAACAGCACTGAAAATAATTTCCCCGGAAGATGGCCTTCCACCTCCCACCAGGGATGGCTCACAGGTGGATGGTGTGTGGGCGACGTCAGCACTGCCAGTGAAACCACCCAGTGAAAGAAGCAGGGTGCAGATATGAACACAAATGACCCCATCTAAAAAGAATGTCTCTGTGATTTAGCTCACAGTAATGGAGTTAAGGGAAGTCGGGTGATTTTTAATTTCTTTCCGAGGCTCTATTTTCTACATCTTCTATGATACACATGTAACTCACCAACAGACAAAAGGACAATGGCTGGCCATACTTTAGAGTCACCAGGAGGCTTGAGTCTCAGCCCTCAGGTCTGCGGTGATGTCTGTGTTCTGCACGTGTTTTTCAACACAACCTACTTCAACTACATTCACTCTCAACAATCTGCAAAGGTAAAGGTGGCTTTGGAAGAGTGAAGCCGGGAAAAAGGCTTGTTCCCACTTTTTACGGAAGGAACTTCTCTCTGCAGTCTGTTCAGAAATAAGCTCCCCAAGCAAACGTGCAATGAAAGAAAACACACACTATCTAAAACAATTCACTTGAGCTTTATTTATTTTTTTTTAACAAGGTCTTGCTCTGTACCCAGGCTGGAGTGCAGCAGCATGATCACAGCTCACTGCAGGCTTGACCTCCTGGGCTCAGCCATCCTCCTGCCTCAGTCTTCCCAGTAGCTGGGACTACAGGTACATGCCACCATGCCCAGCTAATTTTTTGTATTTTTTTGTAGAGACAGGGTTTCACTATGTTGCCCATGCTGGTCTCAGACTGATGGGCTCAAGCGATCCTCCTGCCTCAGCTTCCCTCCTCCCTCCTCCATCTCTACCAAAAAAAGAAAAAATACAAAAAAACTGAAGGGATTACAGGTATGAGCCACCATGCTTCCCAGCACTTTGGGAAGCCTAGGCAGGTGGATTACCTGAGGTCAGGAGTCCGAGACCAACCTGGCCACATGGTAAAGCCCTGTCTCTACTAAAAAAATACAAAAATTAGCCGGGCATGGTGGTGCGTGCCTATAATCCCAGCTACTCAGGAGGCTGAGGCATGAGAATCACTTGAACCCAGGAGGCAGAGGTTGCAGTGAGCCAAGATGGCGCCACTGCCCTCCAGCCTGGGCGACAGATTGAGACACTGTCTCAAAACAAAAAAAAAACAAAAAACAAAAAAAAAAAAGGCCGGGCACGGTGGCTCACACCTGTAATCCCAGCACTTTGGGAGGCTGAGACGGGTGGATCATGAGGTCAAGAGATGGAGACCATCCTGGCCAACATGGTGAAACCCCGTCTCTACTAAAAATACAAAAATTAGCTGGGCATGGTGGCACACGCCTGTAGTCTCAGCTACTCTGGAGGCGGAGGCAGGAGAATCGCTTGAACCTGGGAGGCAGAGGTTGCAGTGAGCCAAAATCACGCCATTGCACTCCAGCCTAGCGACAGAGCAAGACTCCGTCTCAAAAAAAAAGAAAAGAAAAAAAGAAAAAGGAAAACTTTACAGAAAATTTAAGTTAATAAATGCAGTTTAAAGAAGGGAAGCTGGCCAACATCATGAGTCATCAGAGAGATGCAAATCAAAAACACTGTGGGAGACCACCACACACCTGCTGAGACAGCTACTGTCAAAAAACCAGAAAATAACAAACGCTGGTGAGGATGTGAAGGAACCGGAACCCTTGTACACTGTCGACGGAAATGCCAAATGGAGTGACTGCTAAGGAAAACAATATGGAAGTGCCTCAAAAAATTAAAAATAGAATTACCATATAATCCAGCAATTCCACCTCTGGGAATATACCCAAAAGAGCTGAGAGCAGGGTCTCAAAGAGATATCTGCACACCCAGGTTCACAGCAGCATTATTCGCAATAGCCACGAGGTACAACTCAAATGTCCATGGACAGATGAATGGATAAATAAAATATAACATATACATATAATGGAATATTATGCAGCCTTCAACTGTAACATGATAGGCCACAGCATGGATGAACCTTGAAGACACTATGCTAAGTGAAATATGCCAATCACAAAAAGACAAATATTGTATGATTCCACCTACGTGAGGTACCTGTAGTAATCAAATTCATAGCAACAGAAAGTGGAATGGTGGGTGCCAAGAGCTGGGGGAGGAGGAAACGGGTACAGAATTTTCATTCTGCAAGATGAAAAAGGTGTGAAGATTCTGCTGTACAACACTAAGGCAACTGAACTGTATGCTCCAGATGGTTAGGATGATAACATTTATATTATGTCTTTTACCACAATTTTAGAATTTTTTTAAAGGCAGTGGGGGAAGGCCATAATGAGTAGCCTATTTTGTTGTCTTCATGTAGTCTCTGAAGAAATTTGTGTCCGGTAACTCACGCTGCAGCCATCCCCACATCTACCTTCTTTCAATCTGGGCGTGATAACCTACAGAACAATTCCAACGCAGTTAAAAAAAAAAAGTCAACCCTCTCTCCAATTGCTTTTACGAGGCAAAAAGTGATCCTGATCCCCAGCGCTAATAAACAAAAAAGAAAACGACACATAAATCCCATCTGGGAATACAGACATGGAAACCTACGCAACAGAAGTCAGCTGAAGAGTGCACCCCAATTAGCTGGAATTAGCGGCGGAATGCAAGGCGGGCGCCCCGAGGGAAGGCGCTCCAGGAAAGGAGGGTGACTCACTGTTCACTTTCTATGTGTCTGTAATGTTTGGAATGACTACAAAGGCTTTTATTATTCCTACAATAAAAAGAGTTATGCACACCCGAAGTTTTGTAAAACCATGATCTCAGAAATGATACCACTCAAGACACGTATTCCAAAGGAGGTAACTGTCTAAACTGCTCATTTTCAATCCCAGTTGGGCCTATCGAGTCACCTAGGATGCTTTTAAAATTAAAAAGCCAGAGGTCCCAGTTCCAGGCCAATGGAATCTCTAGGGGAAGGACCTGAGCAGTATCTTTAACCTTCACAGTTGATTCTGATGCACAAAGGAGAAGTCCCGCCAAGGTTTACAGAGGGGTTAAGGCTTCTCTACATTTAAGATTCCATCCGGCCAGTCCTTCGGCATCAGCGTTCCCAAATGTTTTGAGTTCTGACCAATACGGCTACAACTAAAGCAGAAGCGCTCTAGAAACAAAGGGGGAGTGTGAGTGAGTGTGAGAGTGTGTGTGTAAGAGTGTGAGAGTGTGTGTGAGTGAGTGTATTTGTGAGTGTGTGTGAGTGACAGTGTGAGTGTGTGTATGAGTGTGTGTGAGTAAGTGTATTTGTGAGTGTGTGACAGTGTGTGTGTGTGAGACAGCGAGTGTGTGTATGTGGGAGTGTGTGTGAGAGTGTGTGTGTGTGAGAGACAGGGAGTGTGTGTGTATGCAAATGTGTGTGTGTGACAGAGTGTGTGTAAGTGTGTGTGTGAGAGACAGCGAGAGTGTGTGAGAGAGACAGAGAAAGAGGGGGTGTGTGTGTGCGCGCAAGCACGCGTCTCAGCCTGAAAGCTGAGAAGGAAGGTCCCACTGGGCAGAGGCAGTAAGGGAAAGGCTGGGGTACACACATGCTTCCCTGAGAGGACCCACAGGCATCCTAGGGGCCCACCAGAGGAGGCAGGGCAGGAGCAGGCTCGGGATAAAACCCTCCAAGTCCAGCCTGCCAGGCTCCGTGTGCTGTGTGGAAAAGCGGAGGCTTATTCTGTACAACCACGAAGCCCTTGGAAGTCTGCAGGCCAGGAAGAGGCACGATCAGATCTGTGTTTTCAGTCCTTGGAATAGCTGGAAGGCGACAACTGGCGCTGAAGGCAGCCTGTGCGTGTCTGCTGAGAGAATCAACGAATGAATGGGCAGGAGGAACAAGGGTGGCCTCCCAGTCAGAGGCCAGGGTCACAGAGCCACCTACTCAGAGCCAGCACACACTGGGACGTCCCAGGGCTGCACGTGATGACATGCAACTTCCAAACTTCAGGGGAGGGGACTTGACCATGAGGAAGGAGCATAGACCCAGACTCTACCGTTCCCCAAAGCCACCCGCAGATCAGAGCACCGAACGTACAAAACCAAAACCACCCACAAAATTCTGCAAAAAGCCAATAAGTGAGATAGCCTAAGCTGTCAGTCTGCCTAACAAGACTGGCAACTTCAACAACACAAAATTAGAACCTCTCAAATGAAAGCTCCCCTGTGGCTACGGGGAAGAGGCGCCCTGGGGGAAGTAGCCCTGGGCTGAGACTAGCTTGAATGCTCTCCTTTCTAAAGCTAACAGCAAAGTCGCCTGGAACCAGGGTGGCTGGTCTCGCTTCCAAATCATAAAGGAAGAAAGAGCTCTAGAAGACAGCATCTTCAAAGAAGAGGGCAGTGATCAACTGTGTGAGTTACAACACCAAATATGAAAACTGGCAGAAAGAATCACTTGCACACTGTTTGCATAAAATAAAACCACAATGAAATGACCTAGAAAGGGAGGCAATAAAAGGGTATCAGGAAAAGTATGAAATACACACACACAGGATTTCTCTACTGGTAAAATTGCAAAGCAACGGAAACATCCAATTATGCCGAAAGAACGACTAAAACATATGGTAAAAGCCGTGAGTGTGGATCGGGGAAGGGGCAAGGCAGCAGCCACACAGGGAAACCCAAGCCCGTCTCTTGAGACCTGACAGTCCAACAGACAAGACACATGGCATGCGACGTGAAATACGATATAATCAAGCTTCATTTAACTGATCTATCTGAAACCCCGTGTCCCAGAGAAAATACAATCGATTTGCAAGTATCCAAGGAATAACCACAAACACTGAAGGCATTCTCAGCCAAAGAAAATTTCAATAAATTCTCCAAAGTAAAAAACTGTACTAGACACCACCTGGCCCCAATGCAATAATTCTAGAGGGTAACTAGAAAATAAGAGTAAACAACTTGAAAAAAAAAAAAAAAAAAGAACAACTCTGTTGAGTTAAAGACTCCTTAGAAGGTACACGGAGAACACCCCAAGGTCCATCCGGTTCTACAAACTCACTGGGCATCAGGTGGCCGTGTTTCTGCAACCCCTCATGGAAACACAAGCCCCCAGTCCCCACCTCATAAGTCTACTGATGTTGCTACTAACAAATATTCCCTGAATAGAGTTCAGATTTCCAAAGGGGAAAACCTAGAACACTCCATCTATTATCATTGCTACCACCGAGCTGACCAGATCCCTAACTACCTGGCTACAGCCCAGCTGCTCCCTTCATTCCATCAGCTACGGACTGGTTGGTGGAACCAGGTGGACCTGGGTGTGGTCGCCCTCACCTGAGCAAGGGAAGGAGCGGGCTTCTCCACAGGTGGCAGGAAACCCAGCAGGTGCCTTCACCATCTGGGTGGGAGCTTCCGGTCCTGCACTAACTCTTAGATGAACACACAATGGCCAATCAGAGAAGCCCCACAAAGTACAGATACCTGAGGGCAAGCTTCTCAGGTATAAAGAGTTGTCTCTGCAGCATCCGCCACTCAGGGTGGCAGGGATCCTGGCTCTGATCCTCTCCACCAAGGGTCCACTGTGGCTGCCCCTGTGCCACACCTCCCAAAGCGGGACTCAGCATCACTGGGTCACTGGGTGAGGGGCTTCAGTGACACCTGTCTGTGCAGAGGTGAGCACCAAGAACCAAGAACCCAGGGAGCCAGGGAGGCACGGGAAGGAGGTAACCTGACGCGGATATGGAGCCATGAGAATAATTCCTTATTGCAATGAGCGCAGCTCCAATACCACTTAGGGAAGTGCAAGGCTGCTGCAGAAGCTGCAGGGCTGGAAGGTCGAGGACTGCTGCAGGAGACTCCAAGCAGGCAGGGAAGATGGAGAGCCCACGTGTCAGGGTGTAGTGGTGAGACCGCAGCTCCACACCCTCTTGGTGTTAGGGCCTTCCCCTCATCCTCCAAGGAGTGCTCCTGCTGTAGGTCTGAACTCATCCTCCTGATTACCCACCTGGCAACCTCCCGCCCACCCTCACACGTCATCTGCGACCTCAGGTTCCCTACCTCCCACAACACAGCCCCATCCTGCTCCCCAGTCTGGTCCCGGTTAAGCACCTTGTTCACCCTGGAATTGAGACCTGGCCCCCCGTGTAGGGGAGAACAGTATCATGGTTGAGACAGCCTGGACTTAACTCCTGGCTTCTGCACTTCCCAGCTCACACAAGTCCCTAAACCCCATGGTTCCTCAGTTTCCCGATCTGTTAAACAGAGACAGTAAGAGTCCCTCCCCTCCTATGGTTGTAAGGTTGTAAAGCGCTGAAAACACAGGATGGCATGCAGCCCTATTCTATTACTATTATTACTATAAGCACAATATATGTGTTATGCATGAACACCAAACAAGAATCAGAAAGAGGGAATACATAAATGTGATTAGTTAGCGAAGTAGGATTATGTATTTTTAATATTTCTACTATCAAGAATAATGTTACCTTAATTAAGCAAAGCTTTTTTTACATTTTCTGCCAGACAGGCAACGTTCACATTAGTTTGACACCAGGTCCATTTGCCGCCAATGAAAATAACTATTTCCAAAGTTTCAAAAGACCCTTATAATTCAAAGGAATATTAGAGAGTCAAAATGATGTCCAAGTCACAGGCATCCTCAAATGCAGAATGTGAAATAGAGTTTGCAGAAAATTAAAATCAACATGCCGGTGCCTTGTGTCTCCAATTCCCCTCGGTTAATATCCAGACCTAAGTGCCACACACAAGATTTACTGCGTGGTATTTCAGATACTTGCTATGTTCACGGACACATTAATTATCCTCTTGGCTTTAGTTTCATCATAAAATGGAAACAAAACCATTTACTCCACTGAGTTTTCCTGAGGATTAAGAAAGTGAAATAACCTAGTACAGTGACTGCCTGTAGCTGCTCTACAAATTTTAGCCACCACCTCCCTTCCTCCTCTTTTTTTAATTATCATTTTTTTAAACCGAGTTTCGCTCTGGTTGCCCAGGCTGGAGTGCAATGGCGCAATCTCGGCTCACTGCAACTTCGACCTCCTGGGCTCAAGCGATTCTCCTGCCTTAGCCTCCCAAGTAGCTGGGATTACAGGCCAGGCCTGGTTAATTTTGTATTTTTAGTAAAGATGGGGATTCACCATGTTGGCCAGGCTGGTCTGGAACTCTTGACCTCAAGTGATCCACCTGCCTCGGCCTCCCAAAGTGTTGGGATTACAGGTGTGAGCCACCGTGCCCAGCCTCTTTCTCCTCTTTCTCCCGAAGTTTACTTTGTTTCCTTAAAGACAACGGGAGGGGTCAGGTGTAGTGAGCAGGAGATGACCATCCTCAACCTCGCCAGGCCAAATCTCAACCCAAACAACAATTGTTATTTTTGTACATTCCCTTCCAGACCCCATTTGCGAGCTCTACTGCATTGCCTATTTGCAAATCCTAGTAGCACAAGAGGACAACCACAAACAACCTGACATTCGAAGTCACACAAGCGCAAGTTTTTCCCATCATGCCTAGTTGGCAATCATCGGCTGAGCAGTAAATCAGAATTTTGTCCCGAATGTTACTCACCTGTTAGTCGCAGCCCTCCAACACAGGTTCGCTGTGGAAATCACTGCCATTTTACCCATCTTCTTGAGCATGAAAAAAACCCCCATCTTCCCAGAATAACGATCCCACTCCCAATTTA
The DNA here is from genome assembly GCF_000001405.40 of Homo sapiens. Classification (NCBI taxonomy): domain Eukaryota; kingdom Metazoa; phylum Chordata; class Mammalia; order Primates; family Hominidae; genus Homo; species Homo sapiens. Next base: position 234,965,655 of record NC_000002.12, on the reverse strand, counting down.
GCAAGCAGCCAATTTCTAGACAATTTGACTAATGACAAAAAAATCAGTGTTTATGACATCATCTCCCAGCTTTTCACTATTTCCTTTTCACCTTGAAAAGCTAATGGTTTTCCTCTGAGCCAGTTGAGGACAGCCGGTTTTCCTATTGCAAAAGGTTGTATTCAAGTTTTCACAGAAGAGATGGGATTAGCCAGGTTAATGTGGGTTCAACACAGAAGTCTCTCTGGATGGCCAGTAAACTCAGCAGCTCACGGGGGTGCAGAGACAGTGGCTGTCAGAAGTCTGACTACCCAGCCTGGTGAGTTTCAGAAACTGACAATTAAAGCCAGGACACAGCCTGTCCGCTGACCTTCCCTGAGGGGGAACTGCCGAGGAGTTCAAGGACTCAGCTGACCAGAGAGAGGTGCATTGATGCTGGGTGCCTCTCATGTGGTTTTCACTGGACAGTCTCCTCTTCTTCATTACCTTTTTTCTCTCTGGGATGAAAGAATGCTGTGACTCCTTCAATGATTCAACCGTCAGCTTAGTTTCTGAAGTGTTGTTTTGGGTAATAAAAGTAACTTTTAAAAGCTGTACAGGGTGATTAATCAGAGACAATTTTATAAGAATCTCACAGCAGGCCGGGAGGGAGAAGTACCACATGTGGGTCACGGGAGCACTGGGCTGGGAGACCGACTCTGCTACACGTAGTGCCAGGGCTGTGAAGATGGGGGTCTGGAACAGGATGTGGTGCACAGGGTAGCCTCCCTGCCAGGCGTCGATGATGGATGGGTCACCCCCTGTGCCAGGGAACCCCAGGCAGGTCACCCGGCCCCTTTCAAGTCACGCTTACACGTCTAATCGCGTCTTCTTGGTGCCCTTAGATACAAGTTCAAAGCGAGGGAAGTGCAGAAGGACCTGTCCGATCCAGCCACCTGCCCCGGAATCCCTCCCAGGTGCTCTTGGGAAGGGGGTCTCACTATGGCCCTCTTTTGGTTCCTTGGACTCACCAAGCCACCCTGCCCAGAACCCACCAGTCCACTGCCCCCCTAAATCACCATGCACTTCCTGGCCTGCTCATTCTTCAGGTCCCCCTACTTAGTGGGGCTTCTTTAGGGATCCTGTCCTGACCCCCAGTACAACTACAACCTCATGAACCCTGACCTTTCCCCTGGTGCACTTGAATGCCCCTTCTCCCCTGCTGGGCAGTGAACTCCCTGTGGGCAGACGCTGCATCTGGTGGGCTCCCCATTTATCTCCCCCACCCGGAATGCAGAGGGGCTCAGCAGTGAGTCAAGGAATTAAAAGGCATTAAAGCGTGAACAAGAAGAGGGAAAGAGCCAGGACCATGTCCCAGAGAGTTAGAAAAGGGGTCAGCTCTCAGGCTTGATGTCAGGGCCCCTCCCCAGCCTCCTGAAGGTGTCCTCCACACTCAGAACAAAAAACCAGAACTCATGGACAGTTTCCTGCTTCTAAGCAGCCCCTGGGGCGTGCTGGGAATGCTGGCCAGTCCCTTATCCCCATAGCTGGGGTTTCACGAAGCCCCAAAGTGCTGCCTCATGTTACCTATAGGTGGATGACTCACAAATACTGCGGTGCCAAGACCTGAGGAGGCAGCCAGGCCCCTGTGCAAAACTACAGGAGACAGGCCAAAAAATATTCCGCCCATAAATTAGTTTTCCTCTCTTGCCAGAAAGAAGGCTTGCGACACCAGACCGCAGTCAAGATCCAAATTACAGTCTTGCGATCAGCAGGAGCCATGACAAACTCTCCCCTTAGTGAACCCAGAGGTCCTGAAAACCAAGTCTGTGCTTTTACCAGATGCCAGATCCAACTGCAGTCCATCTTGTCACAGCTGATCAAGTGACACAGCCACAAAATCACTCTGGACACCCATGACGACATGACCCTGGAGAAGCTTACAACAACAGCTCCGAAGCTGAATGCATGAAAACCATCACTCATCCCCTTCTAGGAGGGAGTGGGCCCTGAAGACCTCCCAACGGAAACACCTCCTGGACTCTAGAACATACAGTTACTCCCAGATGTTAATGCTTCTGAAGCTGGCATGTATGTGTGCATCCTAAAACTGAAGTATGCGTTTAAGGCATCAACATTACTCTGTTGACCCACCCTCCCACTCCAAAAGCGCAGAACGCAAAGCACGTCAGGATCTGGAGAAACAGAAAGCATTCCCCCAAAAAGGATGGGAACAAGTACGGCCGCTCTTAAAGTTCACCAAGTTTTATACAACAGATTCTGGAACTCTTCCCAACGTCACTCCCTTTTGAGGTGCTTTTCTGTATAGTAATTATACAGTCACCCAACAATTAATATAATTATAAGTTCTTCATAGATTTTAAGCACAATAAAAGTAAAAGATTCATTCAAATGAGAAACTTAACATGCATGGAAAAATCTATATATCAAAGATGTTCATTGCAGTGTTGTTTATAATTTCAAAATAACTGGGAAGTGTCTATTCACAAACACTTATTAAACAAACAGGGTACTGTACCTGTACCTATACAAACCTGACATGAAAAATGAGGATGCAAATCTGTATTTATTGATCTGAAAATATGTCAACAATTTTAGATAAAAAGCTATTTTTAAAAGCATAGCATTGCCGGGCGTGGTGGCTCACGCCTGTAATCCCAGCACTTTGGGAGGCTGAGGCAGTTGGATCGCTTGGGATCAGGAGTTTGAGAACAGCCTGGCCAGCCTGGTGAAACTGTGTCTCTACTAAAATATTAAAATTAGTAGAAACTGTGTCTCTACTAAAATATTAAAATTACAGGCAAGTGCCTGTAATCCCAGCTACTAGGGAGGCTGAGGCGGGAGAATCGCTTGAACCTAGGAGGCGGAGGTTGCAGTCAACTGAGATTACATCACTGCACTCCAGCCTAAAAAGTCTCAAAAAAAAAAAGCATAGTATTCATTCAATAAATACTTATTGAAAAATTGCTATGTGCCAGGTACAAAGGCAAGACCACTCACTGTCTCAGCCTGTTTTTGTTTGGAAGCTCTATACTTCAAGCGAAAATATCTGAAAGACGCATATGAAAGTGTCCAGAGTGGTCATCATGGGTGGTAGAATTCCACTGATGTGATTTTTTTTCTTTTTACATTTTCTAGTGTTTCTAAAACAAACATGTACAAACATGTAATTTATTCAGTAATTTAAAATACATAAGCAGAAAAGGTTTTTTTATTATTATTTTTTTTGGAAAAGAAGAGGCCAGGCACAGTAGCTCACACCTGTAATCCCAGCACTTTGGGAGGCCAAGGCGGGCAGATCACTTGAGGTCAGGAGTTCAAGACCAGCCTGGCCAACACAGTGAAACCCCCATCTCTACTACAAATACAAAAATTACCCGAGCGTGGTGGCATGCACCTCTAATCCCAGCTACTAGGGAGGCTGAGGCACAAGAATCACTTGAACCTGGGAGGCGGAGGTTGTGGTGAGCTGACATTGGGCCACCGCACTCCAGTCTGGGTGAGAGAGGGAGACACTGTCTCCAAAAAAACCAAAAGCTGAAAGAAAATCACAAGGAACAATTCTGAAAACAACTCATATGTCTACAAAGTACTTACAGTGAACAAAAGATGTTATCACCTCCCCACCCCACCCAAGAAGTCAGGGCAGGTAAAGACCTCTTGCAAACAAAGGCACAGGGGCCTCCGGCACTTGCTGCTGGTCCTTCTATGCTACCTGCCAGAGCCACACTCCACCCCAGGTCTGGGGACCTGTAGCCTCATCAAACACATCCCCCTCCTCACCCCCACCCCCACCCCCACCACCCCACCTCCTCCAGGAACTTCAGGAACTGGGCAAAGTTGGCATGGATGAGCCCTAAACCTTATTTAGACACTTAGGACTGCATCGAGCCCCTGGTCCACACCTACGAGCTTTTTAAAGGTCAAGTTGAGCATCAGAAGAATATCAAACCCTTACACTCTGTTCAACTCAGATGCTGGAACATCACAGAAATTCTATTAACTCAGTATCTAAGAATAAACTATGGTACATGTACACAAGACAAAAGAAGCAAGGCATGATGAACTGCACGCTGACAAGCATGGGGCTCAAAACCAACATGGAGGCCGGGCGCAGTGGCTCACACCTGTAATCCCAGCACCCGGGGAGGCTGAGGCAGGTGGATCACCTGAGGTCGGGAGTTCGAGACCAGCCTGGCCAACATGGTAAAACCCCGTCTCTACTAAAAATACAAAAATTAGCTGGGCATGGTGGCGCACACTTGTAATCCCAGCTACTTGGGAGGCTGAAGCAGGAGAATCACTTCAACTCAGTGGGTGGAGATTTCAGTGAGCCAAGATCGCACCACTGCACTCCAGCCTGGGCGACAGAGCAAAACTCCATCTCAAAAACAAACAACAAACAAACAAAAACCACAGGGACAATGATGGAGCCAAATCCACAGCTAGCAGTACAGTGGCATTGAGTGTGATCTCATTTAAACTGCCCAACTCCAGGAGCGAAGTACGATGGTCATCATTTTAGAGATCAGAAGGCTGAGCCTCAAAGATGTCCAAAAATGTGACCGAGGTCATAACAGGAAGAGAAGCCAAATATTCGGACACAGACAGGTGTGTGGGGCTCAGACACCCCCTGCTCTTTCCCACTGTGATGTCCCCGCAATGAACCAGGTCCCAACAAAGAGCCATGGAGCTGCCACTGGAAAAAGGAACTTCTCATATTGCAGTCTGTGAAAACGTCATTCCAGCTATTGTTCCCTGACAATGGCTGGGAAACAAAAAACAATGTAAGAAGAACATGATACGTGAGCCATGTAATTCTTACCAAGGATCTTCCTCCATACAACAACTTTCAGTTTTGCAAATCAGGCTGTTTCAAATTTGATTGATTTCGAAGAAACAGCTGTGTACAGAAGTGTCTCAGTGCGTAACACAGGGAAAAGGCCAACAAAAATGGGAAGAATCCAAAACCACGGAAAAATCCTACATTACACAGTGCAACTGAGCATTTCAAGTGTGTGCGCACGTGGCCCCAAACAGTTGCGTCTGCTTTCCCCCAATTCAGCAGTTCTGAAAATCACAGGTGGCTCCAATAAGATACACATATAAGCAAAAATGGGCACTAAGTGAACTCTTGGGATTCTGTTTGTGATGACTAGCCAGTGCCTGATCTCCTGATGTCACCCAGAGTCAGCACCCCCTCACACAGGCCTGAAATGAGACCAAAATTCAAAATTGTGTTGATGTCCTAGTCCCACACTGTAAAGGAGAGAACCAATGGCTGCTGCTCTGTACTGAACCGGAACAGAGCATTCCTCTTACAAACATTTGAAATATCGATTCCTCAAACCACAAGATAAAAACAAAAACCCAACTTGCTAGAGGGGATATTTGGGACAGGGGTAAGGAAACGTGAGACCAGACCACAGCAGGAAGAACCACAACCATATCTGTATTCACCACTTTGCAATGGGGCATAGGCCCTGGGCCTAGCATTCTACATGAATTATGTGTAAGTATTACATCAGCTCCAATCATTATTTTCAGTTAGATCTGAATACCGTACCCTTATTTCCCATTTATGCACAGGACACATACAAATATTTGACGGCACTTGTACATCAACTATGATTGTTAGCAGGATTTAAAAATGCTTAAATGTACATGCATTTTAATAATACTCCATTTATCTCTTAATCTTAAAGCTTTTAAAAAATCAAATCCTCGCCGGGCAAGGTGGCTCATGCCTGTAATCCCAGCACTTTGGGAGGCCGAGGTGGGCAGATAAACTGAGGTCAGGAGTTCAAGACCAGCCTGGCCAACATGGTAAAACCCCACCTCTACTGAAAACACAAAAATTAGCCAGGCATGGTGGCATGCGCCTGTAATCCCAGCTACTTGGGGGGCTGAGGCAGGAGAATCACTTGAACCCAGGAGGCGGAGGTTGCAATCAGCCGAGATCGTGCCATTGCACTCCAGCGTGGGCAAGAGTGAGATTCCGTCTCAAAAAAAAAAAAAAAAAAGTCAAATCCTCTTACAAAGGGCAACAGTGGAAAATGGGTAAACAAAGGCAAGGTAAACCTACCTGAATTAAAAATTAAATTGCACAGAACTACGGGGATGGCCACTGGACAGTATTTATAAGTAAGCCGTTTATTATTCATAGGGAGGAATTACTTCTATCATATATTGTAAGTTTTACTGCCAAGATGTCAAGAAGAGAATATTGGAGTTGTCACTACATGGCTGTATGAAGTCACCACCCTAAGTTTTCACCTTGTCCAGGCTCTCTCTCTCTCTCTGCCAGCTCTTTCATGCACTGGGCATGGTGTCTGAGGGGCTCCTGTGTATGGAGGATGCAGAGATAATAAAATGCAACTGCCCCCAAGCAGCGCCCTGCCTAGGGGGACAACAGACAGGTAAGAAAGCTAGGACACAGGCAGACCCAGGTGCAGGTTCCTCGGGTGTGTCTGAGAAGGCAGTGTGAACTGGGCCTGGAAGAGCAAGTGAGTCTGCTGAATTGAGTCTTAAGGACAAATGGGCCCCCCAGCCAGCCCTCCACAAAGGCTAGTGGGAAAAAGTTGCAGATGTTATGATCTGAGAAAGCATTTGGGGAAGGTCTTTTAACCAGCTGCTCCTGGTGATCAGCTATTCACACCCAATGCTTCCCTCTCAGCATCTGCGGCCACTCCCCACCGCACGGGTACCCCAAGGAGAATTTTCCGCCCCTGCTAGAATCCCAGTCCCTCTGACCCAACCCTGGCTCCCTCCTGCCCTGTCTCCACACCATCAAATACGGTCCAATTTCTTTTATCACCAACATTCTTCTGCGTGGCCTCCACTCTGTGCTATTTCTTCTATTATAGGAGTTTCTCCACTACCACAGTGACAGGGTTCCAGTCCTCCCGTTCATAAATCCTCCGCACATGATAGACTCAGAACTGTCCCGTCTGCTTTGAGCTCTCAACCCCCTCTCCCCCTACCCCCATCTTTCTCCTCCTTGACTTCAGGGCCCCGCAGGGCACTTGTTCTCCCATCCCAGCTGCTCCTCCACTGGCTCCCCCTTAGCCTTCCTGCCCCTTCTGGGGGTGATCCAGCAGTGTGATCCTGGCCCCTGCTCTTCACTCTAGGTTCCCATGTATGAGCTCTTCCACACTCACTGCCCAACTCTAAGGAAGTGAGCCCAGGACCGCCCTCTCTCAAACAGCCCTCCTCTGGCCAGCAGGACAGACCCTTCCCCAGACACCCCCCCAGGGCGAGCACCTCCTTGAATCCTGCACCCCAGGGGCCTCGTGTGCCTCTCCCCAGTCCCAGCCCCGCTCACCATGGCTGGCTCTGAAGTTGAATGACTTTTCCCTCCCACATGCTTACTGCCTCCAAGGAAAGCTCTCACATTTTAAAATAATTTTACTGGTAATTATGATGGAGAAAAAATAATCAGCTTATGTGCGCACCCAAGCTCAAGGACTCTTACAAAGTGTTCAGCTATGGTCCTTGGGCGGTAGGGTTTCTCTTTCCTTCATCTGGGTGGTCCCAGTAAGCCCCTCTGCTTTAATATCTGAGAACAGCTCATCACACCCACCCAGGGGGTCTGCCTGGCTTCATCCTGACCCCCTGACTTCCTGGAAGGAAGACTCTTTTCCTTTCTAGACCAGCAGAAGCAACCAAAGCCAAACAAGTATGTGGACCTCATCAGTGTAGGACACGTGCCCCTGGAGGAGGACAGACCTGTTGGGGGGAAGATGGGCTCCGCCTGCCTCTCCTAGCCCAGCACTTCCTCACCCTCTACGAGGCCTTAAGGAAAAACATTCCCTGCTCTGCAAGGGAGATCTCACCTCCTTGGGCTCAAATACACAGGGTCTGCCACGCCCTGCCCCAAACTGCACCCCCTCAGCTTTCTTCTTGAACAAATTCATCACCACATCCCTGGTGTTCAACGTGGATATACATTACAGTCACCCGGGAAGCTTTCCAAATCTACAGAGGTCTGGACCCACACCCAGACATTCTGATTCAACTGGGGATGGGCCTGGAACATGGATTGTTGTTTTTTTAAGCTCCCGGGTGATTTTAAAATGCAGCCTGAGTTTTGAAGCCTTCTACTCTTGCTGGCCAAATTCGGTTACTCAGTAGTACCCAAATCCTTTTTCAGTACTGCTCCTAGGCAGACATGGACCAAGCAGAAGTGAGGCCACAATTTCTTCCATTAAAGTGATGGGGGTGACGGAAGGGGAAGCAGGGGTGTCGTGTGGGTGGGCTCAGTGCAATGAATGGTGAGCAGGACCCAGCTCTTCTTGGCTCACACAGATTGTTAACTATTTAGTAATGTTCCCAGCCCAAACTGGCAGTTTGAAATCAGGCTGGGCATGGTGGCTTGCATCTGTAATCCCAGCACTTTGGGAGGCCAAGCTGGGCCGTTCACCTGAGGTCAGGAGTTCAAGACCAGCCTAGCCAACATGGGGAAGCCGGTCTCTACTAAAAATACAAAAACTTCTGGGCGTGGTGGCACATGCCTGTTGTCCCAGCTACTCAGGAGGCTGAGGTAGGAGAACAGCTTGAATCTGGGAGGTGGAGGTTGCAGTGAGCCGAGATTGCACCACTGCACTCCAGCCAGCCTGGGTGACAGAGTGAGACTCAAAAAAAAGAAAAAGAAATTAGCCATGGTGGGAATATTTACGTCACAGAAATTGGCAGATACTGCAATCGAAGCTCTGCTTTCTCCTCAGAGAGCAGGTTTACCGGCACACTATGAGCTCAGGGACCTCCTACATTGGAGGGGCTAGAAAAGCTTCCTGCCTGCTCATAAAAATGGGGCAAGGGCAGGGCAACATACCTCACACCTGTAAGCCCAGTGCTTTGGGAGACCAAGGCTGGAGGATCACTTGAAACCAGGAGTTCAAGACCAGCCTGGACAACATAGCGAAACCCCATTTCTACAAGAATTTAAAAAAAAAAACTACCCGGGCGTGCTGGTGTGCACCTGTAGTTCCAGCTACTCAGGAGGCTGAGGAAGAAGGATTGCTTGAGCCCAGGAGTTGAAGGCTGCAGTGAGCTATGATTGAGCCACTGCACTCCAGCCTGGGCAACAGAGAAATCTCAACTCAAAAAAAAAAAAAAAAGAGGCAGGGTTGTCCTCAGTTATGCAGATTTAATAAAAACTTGGAACCATAAAATCCTTTCAAAGGAAGTATTCTTCTCAATCTCTACAGAAGAGTTGGGCTAACAGGCTTCAGCAAAGAGAGCTCCCCTGAGATAAGCTTTTATTGCGCAGATAAGAATAATCTCATTAGTATGTCATTTATTTGATTGTAAAGAGGAAGGTGGAACCCTTATTGTACATTTACTTAACCGCCTTCCTATAATCTTAATCTCATTCTAGTGACCCCATGTGCCCAAACACCCTCTTTTCACGGGACAAGGAAAGACATCGTACCAAATCCTGGGTTATCCCAACTTCAAAGTCACAATCTTCCAAATAAACCTTGCTTCGCCCTGGTGACGGGGTGAGGGTTTCACGAACAAAGGTGCAAAATGGCTGCCTTCCATTTAGGCTGAGAAAGCGTCACATGTTTTAAAGATTTCATCACCTTCAGAGTACAAGCTATTTTCTAATTGTGTGAGGGAGGCTGGCACTCCGCTATTTGCATGCCTGTATCTTCAGGCTCCAATGTGTGACTGAGAGCCGTTTGTTTCTTTAATTTCAGCACCCCGGGAGATGTGATGACGAGCTCTGGACTTGGACAGATCCAGGTTCAAATCCCAACTCAAGCACTCATTAAAGTCTAAGGTTGGAGGAGTTTCTTAAATTCTCGTAGCTTCCCTGTAAAATGAAACCCCTGGTAGTTTTCGTGAGGATTCAAAAGGGCACACATGCAGCCTAGCATATGGTAAGCCCTCAACGAGTGGTACCTATTTCCATCCCTCAAAATACCCCAAACCTTAAATTAGAGGAATTCCATACAGCAATTCTACTTCCTCAAATCCATATGCTTCCTGATGACTTCAGGAGGCACTGTTCACCTGGAAGATGGGAGGCTGTGATGTTCTACATGGGATTTTACCCTTCTTAAAACACGGCACACAGCCTCTTTCTAAAGCATATTCTGCACTCCCTCGCCCTCTGAAGACTGATTATTGAGACTTTTTCCCTTTAGCGAGGTCACGGTGGGATCAGGTGCTGGGTTATGTAACACGTGGACGCCCTCAGGGCCCACCGAGGAGCTGGTTTCGGCTTCCTGGAGGATACTGAATCAAGTAGCTGGATTGTTCCCTGGGTATTTGGGGGCTAGATGAATTGTTTTTCTGTCACTGCTCCACAGGGTGGTGGCAGAATGTGAGGCTTCTTTCGTGCAAATAGCTGGGGAGCCCAGAGACCTAGCCCAGCTCCCCAGAAGCTGAGTGTAAACGTTGCTTGGCCTGAGGCTCGCTCCTGGCCAGGAGCAAAGCTGACCCGCGCACTGAGAGTGCTCTGAGAACTCTATTTAGTGATCGGTGACCTTTTCGGATTCCTGGTTGTCAGGCGGCTACCTCGCAACAGAGAAGACCTGATGCCCACCTCCAGGGCCTTGGGAAATGTCCCAGGGGCCTGAGTCCAATTTGCAGAAGAAAAATCACAACACAGCCCAATTTAGGTGTGCAATTTGAAAATAATAAAGCTAAGGGAAATCCACATGGCTGGCCAGTTGTAAACAGCAGCTCCTACTCGGTCAAAACAAGGCTGGTACCTGAAACGAGGCTGGAACTGGGAGGTCTGCCTGGAGCCAGGGTCCAGGGACGAGGTCTGCCAGGGCCGCACTCTGGAGCTCTCAACCTTGTTTGGGTCAAGGGCTCTGTAAGAAGCTCCCCAGGAAAAGAAAGCACACACACCTCCCACGCAATTTCAGGGGAGCCAGGGGCTCTTAACTGGCCAGGATCCCAGGATTTAAAACCAGGAACACCTCCCAGGATTCAAGGGCGTAAACCACATTCACCATTCGCATATCTTATGATCAGACTAGAATCCAGCATTAGAATAAGAAGAAAGTCTATTCAAGCAGCCCAGAGGGAAATAATTCCAGGCTGCCGGATTAGCAAACAAGAGCAAGGGAGAAAAGCCAGGAAGGTCCTCCCTCCACAGAGAAAAGTAAGAGCACAATACATGAACAGACAAGGCACCCGGTGAAGGATACTTTATCAGCATTTTTTTCAGCCCACTTTCTGGGTCTTTCCAAAACCCCCTCTTGAGCTGTGATCTGCAACTAGACAGACCCTGATCAGATCCACGTGCTGGTGGAAAGGACAATTTAAAAAATGAAACTATCAAACGACAGACGGTTACAGAAAGAGGATCTTCTACCCTGATTACTTTGTTGTTGTGGGGGTGGCATGGGTGCTTGGGGACAAAAGGCATGCTGTGAAGTACCTCTCCCCACCTGGGCCTTTGGTACCCAGAATTAACAAATGGCATGGGTTCTTATTTATTGTTTTATAAGATCACTAAAATGTAGTCTTGGGACAACAGGAAAAAAATAATAATAAAGCTCACAGAAGTGTCCTGGGCTTCTCCGCAGCCGGTCATTGTTCATTTAGTAAACAAGTGAGCCATACAAATCTCTAGGAAGCCAGGTTTGTTCAGTTTATGCGTCCTCCCAGAACTAACTGTTCTTTTGGATAAGCACGGCCCGGGCATTCCACAGACCCACAAACATCAGGCAGTGGGCAATCTGGGGTCCCGCCTAAATATCACTGCCCCCTTACTTTAAGAAATCCGCCTACAAGCAGAAAGCAGAGGTGGAGGAGGGGGATTGGAGAGCGCTGCCTCTTCCCAAGCTTCCCACTCTGAGGGATTTGGCCGAGTCCCGAGGGCACTGAGCAAGGAACCAGGAATATTGTCCTCAGGGCTCCACTGGACATTCCTGGAGTCTGTTTCCTGGGCAGGACGGCCAGGTGAGAGGCAGCCTATTACACTGCATGACCACTGCAATGAGGAACAGTAGAATGTTCCCCAGCGCCTTAAAGTACAGCCGCTGTCCATCCACGGATGTCAAAACGCTCTGCAAACCACCCATTAATTTTTATGGTGGCTTGAGAAGCAGATTGAGAATCATTACCTTCATTTTTACAAGGCAAGGAACCAAAACCACAGAGGGCGGTGAGGATCCAGGCCTCTCCCATCATTTCATCTGGGCCACGGATCTCAAGGAAAGCCCCCAGCCCACTGGGAAGGGGACTCGTGGCCAGCAGAGATTCTGCCCGGGTAGGGAGCAAGGAAAAAACCCAAACTTTGGAGCTCAGAGACGGTCACAAGGGTGAGAAGGGGCGGCTGCATTCAGGGATTCTCTGGTTTAGGCAAGAATGGCTCCAGTTCTAACTTAATGTTCAAATCTGCCAGGCTGTGACAAGGCTGGTAAAAAATGTGGGATTGGGGATGGTTTCCTGTTTGCTGTTTATATTTCTCTTTATCTCTAGCTTTCTGTCCTGAGCATACATTGTTTCTGTAATCAGAACAAAAGTTATGCGAACTTTATTATTATCACGGATAAATTCTATAGTTCCAATCTGCCTACTAACTTGGAAAGAATAAGCAGGAATACAATCTCGCACAGTGTTCTTTTTCAGATCTCATCGATCCATCAGGCTCCACGACCCTCTGCTCGCTGAGTCCGGCGGCTCTCCCGCGGCTCCTCCCGCGCGGCATCTCTGGGCGCCCGACACCCGGTCAGGGCCAGCTGGGCCTGTCCCCAACCCCCGTCTACACCGCAGGCCCCGGGCTAGGAGCCGCGGGACCCAGGGTTGGGGTCCCAACTGACACCCGCCCGTGCCGCGGAGCGGGCTTCTCGGTAAACATCGCTCAGAGAACAACGCGCCTCTATCCCAGCCGGTCCCCGCCCGCGGGCCGCCGGCGCTGTCACCTCGCGGCTGCTCGGTCACCCGATCGCCAAGCCAGAAACCGGAGTTTTCAATTTCATCCTCACAGGAGGGATCTCCGAAGAAGTTGAAATATGCATTGTCACCAACAAGTTTAACCGGAGACCGCGCGTCCTTCCCTCCTCCCCAGCGCCGCTCGAGGGGGGCGCCCCGACCCCTCCACGCCCTCCCGTGGCCCCCACGGCCCCCGTGAGCCGAGCGCGCCCCCCGATTTGCGCCCGAGGACGCGTCCGGTTGCCCAGGGAGGCCACCCCGCAGGGCCGCCCGCCGGGAAGTGGCCAGAGCCGGGGTTGGGGGGCGGCCCGAGCGCACGCGGAGGGCTGCGGCTCGGCGCCCGGAACCCCGGGCCGGGTCCCTGCCCACCAGCACCAGGGAGACCCGAGCGCCCGGGGGAGCGGCGAGGGGCGCGCGAGGCTTCCCCGAAGCCGCCCCACGCCCAGGCACCCGCGCAGCCCCGAACTCAGGCGGCGGTGGCACGATCGGCGCCCGCGGCACGATCTGCGCCCGCAAGGGAGTGCAAAGCCCCCGAGCACGACCCCGCGCCCCCGCCGGCCCCCAGGGCCCTGCCGCCCGAGGCGCTCCCCGCCGCCGCCTGCCTACCTGGCTCGCATGGCGTCCCCGCCGGCTCCTGAGGCTCCGCTCGTCGGCCAGCGGCTCGGCCCAGCCGGGGGCGCGCGCGGCTCCGCGGGACTCACGGCGGCGGCGGCGGCGGTAGTGGCGAGGGGCCCGGACCGCCGAGAGTGCCGGGCGCGCTGGGCCCCCGCCTCGGCGGGCGGAGGGTGGTCCCGCGCCTGGGCGGGGGCGGGGGCGGGGGCGGGGGCGGGGGCGCGGGGGGCGGGGCCAGGACCGGAGCTGAGGCCGCGGAGGGGGTGGTCCCGCGCCGGGGCGGGGCTTCGGGAGAGGGGCGGGGCGGGGCGCGGCCGTCTGAGGCTGGCGAGCGTGGGGCGGGCTGGGGGTGGTGCCGCGGCTCCGGGTCCAGGCGGGTATCCAGTCTGGGCGCCTCCTCTTCTTCCTCCGCCCGGAGCCGGCCAGGGTAGCGGGGCCTTGGCCGCCCGGCATCCTCGGGTCTGGGTCCCCGGTACCGAGCAGGTCTGGGTGCTGGCCCGCGCTCCTGTGCCCCCCCGCACCCCCATCTCCCACCCCTTCTCCGGGAACCCCTAGCGAGGACCCCTGGGGCGGTGCGGTCCCCCCGCGAGCGGGCGTGGGCGAGGGTCGCGCCGCGTTCGGAGACGCTTTACTACACCTTGGCTGAGGACAGTGGAGGGAAGGCAGGCGCGAGGCTGCGGGGGCCGGAGCGAAAGTTACAAACTAACAACAGGGAAGGCAGTCCGGCTGAAAATCATAAAAGGAGGAGAGTTTCCTGCGAAGCGGAATGCAGATTGAAGGGCTCTGGTCGGAATCGTTTACACTTTGTCTGACCTGGGCGCCTCTGGGCCCCCGGCGCGTAAAACAGGCCTGGCACGTAGTAGGCGCTCCATCAATGCCCAGTGAGTGAACGCACCACTTAACTATGTGGCCAGCAACGTCTATGGACCGACACATCTAATCCTAAAAAAAAAAAAAAATCCCAATTTTGGCTAGTCCATTTCACACGAGTAAACTAGAGCTCGGAGGGTTGGTTCGCCACAGAGGAGAAGGGTAGAACCAGAATCTGAACCGAGGCCGACTCCAGAGGCTGGGGTCTAACCACTGCGCCACTGCCTGGGGCCCTCGGGACTGCGCCCACCCCCACCCCGGGAACCCGGAGCCCAGGAGAAAGCGCGGGTCTTTGCCGGGGAAGAAGCCAACATTTGTTGCTCCTGGTCCTGAGCGAGACACACACAGTCAGTCCTCACCATTAACCCCGAGGCAGATATTGTTATTGTCCCCGTTTTTATAGGTGGCTTGAGACGTGCAGCACTATGTTATGATCGCATGGGGCGTGCCAGAGTCTGAATTCAAACCGGGTATGTTCAGACTCCCGAGCCCCTGCGGCTGCCCCTAAGGCCTGCCGCTCCTGCCGTCTGGGAGACCTTCCTTTCCCTAAGGAATCTGGTTTTCTGCCACTCCATTTGAAGTCTGTGTTGAAGTTTCAGGAGACACAGGTGGACAGAGGCACCGACCTAGGGCTCGGGAGAAGGGTGGACATTGCTGTTCCGATTTTGGTGTCATCTGTGTGTAGATCATGGAATTCCTGAAAATGGATACGAGTATCCCTAAAATACATGCCGCAGATTTTGAAAGGAGGCAGTGAGGCGAAGGGGCAGGTGGAGGAAGCAGAGAAGCCTCCGAGCAGAGGAGAGTTTCTGGGTGGCTAGGAGGTCTGATTGGTGTAGGGATGTGTCTGGAGTGTGCTTGAATCTCTGGCAAGTTATCTCGCCTCTCTGTGACTCAGTTTCCTAAATGAGTGTAAAAATGAAAGGCAGCATGTAAAGTGCTCAGCAGACTGCCTGGCACACAGTAGCTTTCAGTAAGTTTTAGCTACTATTAGTACTGCTATCCCAAATGACATCCACACTGTGTTTTTTAAAAAATGCCTATAAAAACATTGAAAAAGACAAGCCAGTAGAAAATGGACAAAAGCTATGAAGGTAATTCCTGAAATGCCACAAATGGCTCAAAGCATGAAAAGCTCCTTGACTATACTAGTGAGGGAGCTAAGGCAAAACATACACACACAAAAAACAATCGAATAAGAAAACTCAAGGCCTGTCCAGGCAGCTCAGTTCACTGAGCAGAGAGGGAGAAAGATACCCTAAAAACCACAAAGAACAAAGTGCCATGGAAACGCAGAATAGAACATGAATAAACAAAGCATTACAGATTTCGCCTGGGGAAGCAGAGAGTGTGTCTTACGATGTCCACATATGTATGCGCAGTACTTGCTATAGTCATGCCTCAAGCATCCTCAAACCAGTCCACATCCTAGAGAGGAATTAACAGAGGTCAGAATGTTTAAACAAAGTGGTTAAAAAAAAAAAGAAAAAAAAAACAAGAACACATTACCTTATATTCTTACTACAGTAACTGGAATTCTTCTTCAGCTCCTATGAGCCAGGGAGACAACATTACTGGTTTAGATGTAAGTTGTTTATGAACTGTTTTCTTTTTGTATCCTGGAAGGCAGAAAGGTCTCTAGATGTTGCTTCCTGTTGAATGTGTGCTTTTTTTCCACCAGTTTTTGTTACTTGCTCTTCTAAAGGCCTCTGGATCAAAAGAAAAAAAAATGAGCTATTCATTCATAACATTCAATTATTCAATAAGCCTTTCCAGTGGGAACACATACAGCAAAATCAATAACTTGGGTTTTTATTTTTTTTTAGTACAGAGATAACACATTTGTTTCAAAGGATTAAAATGATTAGAGAAATGTGTAGAGTAAAAAGTAAGCATCGATCCTAAGTTCCTACCCTTTCCCAGATTCCATAGTTCACAGTGAATTATACTCTACCAGAGGTTTTCCCCAAGCGTTTGCACGCGTTGGGTGCGTGCATGTGTAGATGATACATATGTGCGTGATGTGTGTGGGTATATATACGTGGACATGCATCTATGTATAAAGACAGTGTGGTAGGTTCTAAAATCAGGCTGCCCAGCTTTGAATGCCAGACCCACCACTCACCTGCTGGGTGACATAAAGCAGGGCCACTCAGTACCAGTGTTCTCACCTTGAAGTGGGTACAGTGCTCCCCAGGATTAATGGAGGTGCTGCATGGAGACTGCTTAATGTAGTGCTGGGCGCACGGCACATTGTTTACAAATATAAGCTGTTACTATTCGTGTTTACACACACATATACGTTATTCTTTGTTTCACATTAATAAGTTGAAGACAGTGAAATTTGGATGTCTCAAAAGGACTCCACTTGGCAAATCTCTCGGTGAGCGCTGGCTCCTCTGTGTTGGGGTGTACTCAGCGGCTCTGTTGTCTAGGAAAGTAAGATGCACACAGATGAGCAGGGAAAGATTGGGGTAGGTTTGACAGTCAATGTGCTGCATCTGTTACTAACACCAGCAACAGTTCAATCACACCAAGCACCACCAATTCATTCCAAGGACTTCTCAGAATAGATACAACACTCCCAGAAAAAGCAGCCCGGGCAAGAATAACTCCCAAGTAATATACACTATCCCAAACTCTACATAAGCTCTCTAATATGTTATAACATTCTGACCACCTATAAAATACACTTCATATTAGGAAATAACTACTCAGAAATTGCATGTGGCCCATAATGAAAATATCTCTCTATGGACAAAAACATTCTCAGCAATGAAATAAAAAGAATAATGTTCTTCTGGTGAAGTGAAATCATTAATGATCAAAATGCCCATGTCACAGGGAAAATAGAATACAAATGTACAAAACACAGCTAAAGGGCAAAGAAGAGCACAAGGCATAGGATATTTTTCAAATGGAATCTGTAAGAGTAGAAATTTAATCGTCAATGTGGGTGAATGGATTTTTAAATTAGTTGCCTCTGACTCAGAATGCAGAGAGAGGACCTGTTATCAAAATGCAAGCCTAGATACATACCCTCTGTTGGTGATAAAATTTGGATATTTGTTCCTTCAAAATCTCATGTTGAAATATGACTCCCAATGTTGGAGGTGGGACCTGGTGGGAGGTGTCTGGGTCATGGTGACAGACCCCTCATGGCTTGGTGCTGTCCCCCCAATAGTGACTGAGTACTGGGGAGATCTGGCCTTTGAAAGTATGTGGCACCTCCCCCTCTTTCTCTTGCTCCCACTTCGCTTTCCACCATAAGTAAAAGCTCCCTGAGGCCTCATCAGAAACTGAGCAGATGCCAGAGCCATGCTTGTACAGCCCACAGAACTGTGAGCCAAATATATCTCTTTTCTGTATAAATTACCCAGTCTCAGGTATTCCTTTATAGCAACACAAGAACAGCCTAATACAGTGGATTTAAGTTGAGGGAGAAAATGCTGCTTACATGATTCACAAGCCTACAGAATGACATTCATTTGTTCAAGAAATACTTATTGGACATCTGCTGCATGCCAGCCCCGAGCGTGGCCCCAGGGAGTGAGAGCCCTGGTGAGACAGAGGCAGCTGAGATTCCAGAGTGGACCCAGGCAGAAGGGGAACCACAAAGCCTACAGGTGGTGATAAGCATCCTAAAAGAAAGCACAGTGGGCTGTGAACTAGGATGAGGTGAGACCTGCTTTATGTGGGAGGGCTGGAGAAGGCCCTAGGGGAGGTGACATTGGACCCGAAGGGAAAGGAGTGGAGAGGGGCGTGCTGGGCAGAGGGAACAGCATGTGCAAAGACCCTGAGGCTTGAAAGCGCTTCACACCCTCAGGGAACTGAAATGACACCAGTGAGGCTGGAGAGAAAAGAATGAAGTGAATGGAAAGAGGGAAAGAGAGAGATTCCAAGGGGACCGTGTTGGGAAATGGGGGCTCATGGGGCATCTAGATGCTGCCCATCCTCTGTAACTTCCCCAGCAGCTTGGAGAACGTTACTTTGCCAAGAATTCAGTGAGACACTAGCTATAAGAGAGAGCAAGACTTCGGTTTTGCCAGAAAATGTTGGGTGATCTGTTTGCCATTCTGAGAAGCCTCTATCCTTCCAGTTCTAAAAAGCTGTGACAGGGAGCCCCACCACATGGCTGACTGTCCTTAATAAATGTATATGCACTGGGCCTGGGCACTGCGGCTCACGCCTGTAATCCCAGCACTTTGGGAGGCCAATGTGGGTGGATCATCTGAGGTCAGGAGTTTGAGACCAGTCTGGCCAACATAGTGAAACCTCATCTCTACTTAAAAAAAAAAAAAAAAAAATAGCAGGTGTGGTATCACATGCCTGTAGTTATAGCTACTCAGGAGGCTGAGGCAGAAGAATCGCTTGAACCTAGGAGGCGGAGGTTGCAGTGACCCGAGATCGAACCACTGCACTCCAACCTGGGCGACAGAGCAAGAATCTGTCTCAAGAAAAAAAAAATTCATATGCAGTGGGACATAACCCAGGCATCCCAGGAGCATACAGAATCCAGAAGGGATGCAGAGACAAAATGATCTGCTGAAAAGAGTTCTGTGGCTTTAAGGAAACTTCCAGAAATACTTCTAAACAAATATTCATTACCTTGCTCATTTACTCACTTATCCATTCAACAAATATGTGTGGAATGCTTACTGTGTGTCAGGCAGTGTGCTAGGAGCTGAGGATAGGAAGATAGGTATGTTCTAGATTCTTCTACTTAAGGAGTACACAGTTGCTATCATTCTATATAGTTAGTCTATAGAACGATAGTTGGATAAGTGTCAGGGTACACAGAGGAAGGCCACCTGGACCCATCCTGGATGTAGGTGGGCATGGGTATCCTCAGGGATGGATGATGAAGGGTGAATACGATTTGTTAGTAGGCTTAGAAACAGAGCTGGGGGGCCGGGCGCCGTGGCTCACGCCTGTAATCCCAGCACTTTGGGAGGCCGAGCGGGCAGATCACTTGAGGTCAGGAGTTTGGGACCAGCCTGGCCAACATGGTGAAGCCCTGTCTCTACTAAAAATACAAAAATTAGCTGGCTGTGGTGGCGTGTGCCTGTAATCCCAGCTACTTGGGAGGCTGAGGCAGGAGAATTGCTTGAACTGGGGAGGCAGAGGTTGCAGTGAACCAAGATCGCACCACTGTACTCCAGCCTGGGCGACAGAGCGAGACTCCGTCTCAGAAAAAAAAAAAGAGAAACAGAACTAGGGGACAGACATCCCAGGCAGAATCTGCAAGTGCAAAGTTTGGAGGTTTGAGGAAGTTCCAGGGAAGGAGCAAAGGGCTTTCTGTGTCTGGCAAGGAGAGTGGGATATTTCTGCGAGGCCAAGGAACACCAGGCCAGACATGCAGGTTACCTCAAATCCCAGAAAGTCCTGCAAAGCATAGAATCAAAACTGTACAAGGCCAGTTGTCTGCACGTTAATATTTCAATGTCAAACTATGAAAATTTAACAAAGGCATTTTGGTGAGTTTGGGAATGTAAAAAAGAGGTGACAGGTTTGCAATCCACAGCCAGTCTTGTGATTAAGAAATAGCACGAACAGCAGAACATTCTGCCCAGAGGGCTGAGATTTACTCACACTTGTTCCTCTGGTTCACACATGGCTTTTCCACATGGCCTGGGAGAAGTTGCTTTATTTCTTAAAAAAAAAAAAAAAAAAAAAAAAAAATCAGGGATGGGCGCGGTGGCTCATGCCTGTAATCCCAGCATTCTGGGAGGCCGAGGCGGGCGGATCACATGAGGTCAGGAGCTTGAGACAGACCTAGCCAACATGGCGAAACCCTGTCTCTACTAAAAAATGCAAAAATTAGATGGGTGTGGTGGCGAGCGCCTGTAATCCCAGCTACTCGGGAGACTGAGGCAGGAGAATTGCTTGAATCCTGGAGGCGGAGGTTGCAGTGAGCCGAGACGGCACCACTACACTCCAGGCTGGGCAACAGAGCAAGACCCTGTCAAAAATAAATAAATAAATAAATAAATAAATAAAAAAAAATCAGTAACTACTAGTCATGTCAACATGGATATCAATTGGATTTAAATAGGGATTTAAATTGGTGTTTTCCATTTACATCAAAAAAGGAGAAAGATCTCAAACAACTTAACATCATGCCTCAAGGAAATACAGAAAGAAGAATAAACTAAGCCCATTGTTAGTAGAAGGAAAAAAATAATAAAGATCAGAGGAGAAATAAATGAAAGAGACTAAAAAAAAAATACAAAAGATTAATAAAACCAAGAGTTGGTTTTTTGAAAAGATAAATGGCCAGGTATGGTGGCTTATGCCTATAATCTTAGCACTTAAGGAGGCCAAGGGGAGGTGAATCACTTGAGGCCAGGAGTTCGAGACCAGCCTGGCCAACATAGTAAAACCCTGTCTCTACTGAAAATACAAAAATTAGCCAGGTGTGGTGGCGTGTACCTGTAGTCCCAGATACTCGGGAGGCTGAGGCATGAGAATTGCTTGAACCTAGGAGGTGGAGGTTGCAGTGAGCCAAGATCTCATCACTGCTCTCCAGCTTGGGTGACAGAGCACGACTCTGTCTCAAAAAATAAAAAAAAAAATAAAGAAAGAAAAAGAAAAGATAAACAAAACTGACAGACCTTTAGCTAAACTAAGAAAAAACGAGAGGACAAATAAATAAAGTCAGAAATACAAGAGGAAATAATACAACGTGATACTACAGAAATATAAAGGATCCTAAGAAACCTCATGGTTTCACTGCTGAATTTTACCAAACATTTAAAGAATAACTAATACCAATCTTTCACAAACTCTTCCAAAAATTAAAGAGGAGGAAATACTTCAAACTCTTTTTATGAGGCCAGCATTACTCTGACACCAAAACCAGAAAAAGACACTACAAAAAATAAATCAATACATAAATAGGTAAGTAAAACTACAGGCCAGGATCCCTGTTGAACATAGATACAAAAATCCTCAAAAAAATACTAGCAAGCTGAATTCAGCAACACATTAAAAGGATCATTCACCATGATTAAGTGGGATTTATCACAGGATAGGAGGATGGTTCAACAAATGTAAATCTACAAATGCAATACACCACATTAACAGAATGAGGGACAAAAACCCTGTGATCATCTCATCAGACACAGAAAAAGCATTTGACAAAACTTGACATCCTTTCATGATAAAAACTCTCAACAAATTAGGTATAGAAGGAATGTACCTCAACACAATAAAGAACATATATATATGGTAAGCACACAGTTAGCCTTGTACTCAATGGTGAAAAACTGAAACCCTTTCCTCTAAAATTCAGAACAAGACAAGGAAACCTACTCTCACCACTTCTATTTAACATCATGTTGGAAGTCCTTGCAATTAGGCAAGAGAAAGAAATAAAAAGCATCCAAATGGGAAAGGAAGAAGTGAAATTGTTGCTGTCTGTTATCCCATACAGAGGAAACCTTAAAGATTTCACCAAAAAACTGTTAGGACTTAGAAATTAATACGTAAAGTTGAGGATTACAAAAGCAACACATAAAAATCAGTAGTTTCCATTGATTTGTTGACACTGCAGACTTTCCAAAAAACAAATTAAAAGAGCAATCTCATTTACAATGGCTTCAAAAACAAAAACAACTTAAGAATAAATGTAGCCAAGTAGGTGAAAACCTGTATACTGAAAACCATAAAATGTTGATGAAAGAAATTGAAGAAAACACACATAAACAGAAAGATATCCTATGTTCACAGATTGGAAGAAGTAATATTGTTAAAGTATCTGTGCTACCCAAAACAATCTACAGAATTAATGAAATCTCTATAAAATCTCCAATGTAATTTTACATAAAATAGAAACAATGATCCTAAAATTCATACAAAACCACAAAAGAAATCCAAATAGCCAAGGAAATCACACACAAAAAGAGCAAAGCTGGAGGCATGACACTACTTGAATTCAAACTATACTACAAAGTGATAGTAATTAAAACAGCATGACACAGACATAAAAATAGACACATTAACCAATGGAACAGAATAGAGAGCCCAAAAATGAATGCACATCTGTACAGTCAATAGGTTTTTGACAAAGGTGCTAAGAATAGACAATGGGAAAAGGACAGTCTGTTCACTAAATGGTACTGGGAAAATTGGACATTCATATGCAGAAGAATAAAATTGGATCCTTATCTCACCCCATATACAAAAATCAACTCAAAATGGATTAAATATTTAAACATAAAATATTAAAAAAAATAGCCATGTCTCAAGACTTGAGACTATAAAACTACTGAAGGAGAATATTGGGGAAAAATTACATTAGTCTACATAATGATGTTTTTAGATTTGATTCCAAAAGTACAGGTAAGAAAAGCACAAATAAACGAAGGGGATTACATCAAACTAAAAAAGCTTCTGTACGATAAAGGAAACAATTAACAATGAAAAGGCATCCCACAGATTGGGAGGAAATATTTGCAAGCCATATATCTAATAAGGGGTTAATATCCAAAATATATAAGGTACTCAAACAACTCTATTAGGAGAAAAAAAAAAATCTGATTTTAAAATAGCAAGAGACCTGAATAGATATTTCCCAAAAGAAGACATATAAATGGCCCACAGATATATGAAAAAATGTTCAACATCATTAATCATTAGGAAAGTGCAAATTAAAACCACAATGAGACATCAACTCACACCTGTCAGAATGGCTATTATCAAAATGACAAAATGTAGCAGTGTTGGTGAGGGTGTGGAGAAAGGGGAACCCTTGTAGGCTGTTGGTGGGAATGTCAATTAGTACAGCCATTATGGAAGAGAGTATGGAAGTTCCTCTAAAAACTAAAAGTAGAATTACCGTATGATCCAGCAATCCCACTTCTGGGTATTTACCCAAAAGATTTGAAATAAGTATGTTGAAGAGAAATTTGCACTTCCATGTTCATTGCAGCACTATCCACAATAGCCAAAATATGAAATCAACCTAAGTGTCCATCAACAGATGAATGGAGAAAGATAATGTTGTATATATACACGGTAGAATACTATTCAGCCTTTAAAAAGAAAGAAATTTTGTAATTTTCAGTAACGTAGATGGAAGAGAAAAACATTATGCCCAGGCACAGAAAGACAAATACCACATGTTCTTACTTATATGGGAAATCTAAAACAGTCAAACTCATTGAAATGAAGAGTAGAATGGCGGTAACAGAGGCTGGGGGTTGGGAGCATGAGGAGATGACAGTCAAAGGGTACAAAGCCTCAGTTAGACAGGAGGAATAGTAGTTTTTTTCTTTGAAATCTGTTGCATAGCATGGTAAATATAGTAAATAATAGTGTATTGTATGTTTCAAAATTGCTAATAGAGTAAATTTTAAGTGTTCTCACCCTAAAAACTGATGAATATTTGAGGTGATGGATGTATTTGTTGGCTTGATCTAATGACTTCACATTGTATTCATGAATCAAAGTATCACTTTGTATCCCATAAGTATATACAACTATAGCTTGTTAATTTATAATAAAAATGATAATTTGATATAATCAGAAAAAAATTGCTGTTTTCAAGAAAGTGAGGGGGATGTGGACACAGATTCCATAGCAAAACCTGCAAATTTTTCTTCTCTTTTGCTGTTGTGTCTACTGGTGGGTGGACTTTTCTCTCTGTGTGTAAGATGTTAGAGAAGGCATTCTCTCTTCTTCCCTCCGTCTTCCTCCCTGTCTCCCACTCTCCCTCTTCTTTTTTCTTTCTCTCCTCCACCCTCCTCTCCTCTCCCTCCCTCTCTTCTTTCCTTCCCCCTTTTCTCCTGCATTATAAGGAGCTTTACCGCTTAGCTACCTTAGCCACATTTCTGTTCTCGTTGACCTTTTGAGGGCCAGAGAGAAGCACAGATTTGAGATTGCTGTTTAGATAGCACATTTCTCACTGGGGAGAGGTAAAGGTCTGGTGAACATGTGGCTCTTAACATCTGGAAAGTCAATAGCAAACCTTTGTATTCCTGGCCTCTGGTGCATTTTGGGTTGCCTGCCTGCCACTCTACCACCTTGTTCATGAACTGTACCCCCATCTTCCTTTAGGGAGTCACACTCAGATGTGTGCTTCTGGTGGCACCCACAGCTCCTGACTCCAGGACCAGCCAATCGGAACCTCCAAACCTCAGGGGCAGACACCTGAGCCAGGTCAGGCCAAGGGGACAGAAACCCGGGGCTTTTGCTGGAAGCATGCGGGAGAGAAGCTGCAAAGAAGCCATGTCCATTTCTTATTTCCATTTTGTTTTGGTTATAAAGGGCAGAGGAGGGAAATGATTTGCTTCTTTATGCTTGCTTGTGCATCAGGTGCTTTTGAGAGATAGTTTGAAAAAGAAAAAAAGAAAACAAGAAGTGCCCTGGTGGGGTGCTTGTTTTGTGCGGGGCCCCATTTCTGCAGCCCAGTAGGTGATGAAGAGAGCTCACGCTTGCTGGGACTCTAAGACATCTGAGCCTGGACCTCACAGTTCATTCTTCCCCAGCGGCATGCTGGCCTGAAAGCAGGTACTGGCCCTGGAGAGGAATTTGGAGGCTGCCAGGTGCCCTGCGCCTCTGGTCAGTGCAGAGCAGGGCAGCACTTGGAGCTGTCACTGAAGAGAGGCTGTGTAGGGCGAGGGCCCGCTGCGGGCTCAGCTTTGGGGTGATCTCTCCCTAAGGACCTCCCCTTGAGCTGGTAGTTTTGTGTATCAGCCTGTCTCCCTAGGGGTTCTGGGAGGGCAGAGAGTGGAGGGCAGGTGGCTCTGCTCCCTCCCCAGGTAACGGGCATGGTCAGAGAGGGCCACTGTGGGGGCAGTAATCTCACAGGCTCACTGTCTACACACACTTGGAAAGAACAGGGAGGGGGCTTCCTGATTTTCTCCTCTGAGCATCCGAATCTAAATTATCATAGATGAGGGCAGGAAGGAACTCGTCTATTTCTGGAGTCTAATATGTGAGAAGTTCTTTTAGACAGCAACTAAAGGACTGGGTCTCAAAAACTGTCACATATTAAAAATGTCTAATTCTATGCTGCAGGCTAAAAGCACCACCGCCCTCCCACCAGCCCTCCTACGTCTGTTTCTGATGTCAATTTCTAGTTCCTTCTCCTCATAGAGGCAGGGTATGGAATCTAGGCAATGGGACACTGGTTTCTGGGCTGCTTCTTAGTCCTGTATAAACCTGATCTATTTCATCTTCACAAGAACCGGCCACCCGTATCTCTCAGGGGAGGACTCCCAGGCCTGGCAATTGTCTCTGTTTATGCAGTTGTTCCAAATGCCACCTTTGGATTCCAATTCTTTATCAGTTGTTTACATGGGAAGTTCTTCCTGACATTTATTCTGCTCCGCACCTTGCAGGTGGACCACCCTGCCTGGGCTGGGGTACTCTCTGATGCCCTGGCCTTTGGGTCTAGCGTCTCAGGCAGCTGTGGAAAGAGTCAGGCAAAGGCATAGATTGTCATCTTCAGATCTCTCTGCATACTTTCCAGGTTAGCAAGTTCCCCAATAAGCACCGAGTCTGTGGAAAGAGTCAGGCAAAGGCATAGATTGTCATCTTCAGACCTCTCTGCATACTTTCCAGGTTAGCAAATTCCCCAATAAGCACCGAGTCAAATTGAACTAATAGCTCTTGAGTGCTTCTTCTGAGCCAGATACTATGCTGCACACATTGCCTCCTATTATTTTCATTTTTACAAACTCATTCTCAGTGATTAAATACTTTGCCCAAGATCACAGATAGATAGCTGGGAAGTGGCACATGACAGGCTCGAACCCAGGTCTCCCTAACAGCATATGTTTTTCACCTGCAACTCTTGTGCCTACTGATGCTTCCCCACAGGTGAGGGCTGTACAGTCCTAGGTGTGCCCATTGCTGCCTGTGTGACCTTGAATAGGTCACTTTTCTTCTCTACAGTTGGATCAAATAAGCAGATGAACTAGATCATCTCTGAAGTCCCCTCAACCCTTGACAGGCCAGGTCCATGTGTTCATTGAATAAACGTGTAAGAGCCTACTGTGGGCCAGGCATTGTTGGAGTCACAGGGAATATTGCAATGCACATGCTGTCACAGAATTAAAATCAGGTAGGGGTAACAGGCAATAAATGACAACATAAAAAAGTCTAGGGGATGCGTTTTCCTTTCTCCTTTCCCTAGACTTGAGAATCACTGCCAAGGAAGATCATCAAGAACTCCAAGGGAAAAAAGGGCCGTTCAGAAGGAGAGGGGGCTATTCCCACACACAGAGGCTCCCAGGGTTGCAGTGTGCCCCGAGCACAGGCTAGAGTCTGACATCTCTGGGGTGGAATGGGATAAAGGCAGACTGTTTCTTCAGGCTTATTTTTCATGCCCCTGTGTGCTCCAAGGGGATTTAGACAGTTCGTGATAAATAATACAAAGTCCATAAAGCCATTAAAAAGAAAGGAAATGTTTAGGAGCCTTGTAATATGGACTAAAGATGGAAGGAGTTGTGTTTTTTTTTTATCCCAGCAAAACTTGGCTGAGGTGTATGCCTGCAACGGAGCATAAGATTTAACACCGAGCTCCCAGGTAACTAAAGAAAATGGAACACACAGGAAGTTATGAATACACTAATTATCCACTAACAATAATTTTATCACTTATCCAGAGAGACCAGAGTTTTTCACCTCTAATGCGCACAGCGCACCTGATGGATATGTATTTCTTCCCTCGGTGTTCTTACAAATTTCTTTCTGTTCCCAGGGTTGTGAAATTTCTTGAGATGTCACTTTGTGTTCTATTTTCATCTATTGTGATTTGTGATGAACAATTTAACAGCCTTTCAATCTGGAAACACACGTGCTTCTTGTGTTTAAATTGTGGGAGATTTTCCTGAATTTTTTTCTTTAATAATTTGAACCCGGCCTGGCGCAGTGGCTCATGCCTATAATCCCAGCTCTTTGGGAGGCTGAGCGGGGGTGGATCACTTGAGGTCAGGAGTTCGAGACCAGCTTGGCCAACATGGTGAAACCCTGTCCCTACTGAAAATACAAAAATCAGCCAGGCGTGGTGGCGCATGCCTGTAATCTCAGCTACTTGGGAGGCTAAGGCTGAAGAATCACTTGAACCCAGGAGGCAGAGGTTGCAGTGAGCTGAGATTGCGCCACTGTACTCCAGCCTAGGTGACACAGTGAGACTCTGTCTCAAAAAAAAAAAAAAAAAAAATGAGCCCCTCCATTTTCTGTCTCTGGAACTCTGATTTTTTTCTCTCTCTGGGACTCTGATTTTTTTGGATGTTTGACCCTGTGTTCTTTATTTTTTTCCTCATGTATTCCCTATCTCTGTGTCCATTTGCTCAGCTCTTTTTAGATACTGGCTTCATTTTATTTTCCAAATTTTCTACTGAATTCCAAAATCTTTGCCATTATACTTCTAATAGTCTATTTTTTTTAAACACAAATATTAGCCTCCCACCAACACTATTCTGCACCTTACCTTCTGCCCAAACAGAATATCCTGGAAATGGTGTCAAAGCAGAGGACAGAGTGTTGCCTCCTTCTCTTTAATGGACATACAGTGTTTCATTGCATGGCTGTGCCAGACTTTATTCACCACGTTGGGGTGGTTCTGAAGGATGACGGGCATCCACTAACTGAGAGGGGGCTCTGGGCATCACAGGTAGAGGAGCAAGTCGGTGGGAAGATGTGGGATGTGAGATAGCCTGGGACATTGCAAGAACTGGGCATGGGTGGCCAGGATGAGATTGTAGTACATGTGTCTGTGCGTGTGTGTTGGAGAGAATGTGACTTGAGAGTCAGATGAAGGACAGGTCGCTTTTCCAAGTGATGTTAACAGAATACTCTAGACTGAAAAGCAGAGGAGGGCCGTGAGGACATCTGTTCCTCAGAAGTTCCTCCTATCTGCAGTGTGGAAGGTGGACCAGAAGGGGATGAGACTTGGGTCATGAAGGACAGTTAAATGGTTGTTTCAGAAACCGGGGCAAGAAGTGATGAGGGTTGGAACGGGGGCAGTGGCAGTGTGGTAAGCAGAGATGCTCGATGTGAGGACGGCAGGCACTGTCTGGTTTGTGGCTGTGTGGAGGGAACGAAGGAGAAGACTAGCACGATGCCTCCGTTCGGCCAGTTGACTTAGCAGACAAAGTCTCCCTTCACAGGATGGGGAATCCCAGAGAGGAAGCAGTTCTGAGGGGAATGAAGAACTTAGGTTTGGACATGTTGAGTCTGAGATATTTCTGGGACATCCAAATAGAGATGTCCTAATGATGGGGGTCTGATTCTTAACCAAGAGGTGTGGGCTGACGTTGTAGATTCATCGGGACAGTGATGGAAACTGTCATTCACTCCTGGACACCTTGGCGCATGCTCTCCCTCCACTCGTTCCTCTCTCACTGTATCTCCCCTGATGCTCCTCGAGCACATGCAGCAGGGACCTGCCTGAGGGTCTCTGGACTTGCTGTTCTGTTTGCCAAGTGCACGCTCCCCAGGACTTCATGTTGGCCACCTTCCTGTGTCATTCCATCTCTGATCAGCAGCCTCCCTCTCTGATCACCCTAATCCAGGTAGAGCCCTCTCCTAACTGTTACTCTCCATCAGCTTCGCCTCCTTTTCTTTTGCTGCCCAGTGTTTATCATCACCTGTCTTTGTGGTACATACTTAAGCATTCATTTATTTGTCACTTGTTCCTTGCTCTCCGCCCTCGCTCTGCATTGAAATGTAAGTTCTTCCAGAGGAGAGGCGATTGCCATATCCACTGGGCCTAAACACTCCCTGGGAACAAGTTGGTGCCCCAGAAATATTTGTGGAGGGAATGAGTGAGTGTCCAGAGGGAGTCAAGGGAAGACTCAGAAGGTACCCTTGGGGAAACAGAAGGGAAGTCAAGGTAGCCCAGCCTCCAAAGGCCAGGAGAGAACAGATTTCAAGTAGGAGAGATGGGTCAGCCATGTCAGATGTGAGTGGGATGGCAAAAAAGAGAAAAGCAAAGGACCCCTGTTGGTTTGGCAACAGGAAGAGCATGGGCTGCTTTAGCCATGACAGAGGGGCAGAGGGCGGAGGGCAGACTGGGAGGTGAGAGTGGGTGACTAGGGGTCAGGATGTTTTTAAGAAATTTGTTATGCATAAAGACATACAGAGTGATTTAATGGACTTTGTGGACTCCGGGGCAGGTGGGAGGCAGGTGAGGGACAAAAGAGTACACATCGGGTACAGTGTACACCGCTCAAGTGATGGGTGTTCTCAGTCCCAGACTTCACCACTACAGAATTCATCCGTGTAACCAGAAACAACTTGTACTCTCAAAGCTATTAAGATTTTTAAAAAAGAGAAGAAACTGGCTATGAGTGGATCAAGATAAGGGAGGAGCTAGAAGGAGACCAAGATATTTTCCTTTTTTTCCCCCTCCAAATCATTGTTTATTGGTTTTGAGGTGCAACAGCCAGATAAATGACAGGGCACAGTCTGAATGGGCACCTGGAGGTGCCTTTTCAGAGGCAGAAGCATCTGAGATGGTCGCCAGAGTCTAGAGGTGGCAGTGGGGGCAGGAAGCAGGCAGGGCCTGTGCCCTCTCTGTGGAGGCAGCGGTGCACCGCCGGGTCAGTCTCTCTCTGCCTCAGCCCCTCTACTGCTCCCCTCTCCCCATAAGTAGGCTCTGATAAAGCTGGCCTCCATAAGTATGGATTTTCACACATTGTATGTTGCACTTGCTAGTGTGACTGAGGCTGGTGAGAGTCAGGGGTGCCTCTTATTACAGTGTTGTGCTGTCTGAAGTCCCTACCTTGGCCTGTGGACCTGGGCTTCGCCTTTCCCTCGGCTGCCTCTGCTCTCCACTTGTCAGGCTGTCAACACAGAGGCAGCCCTTCCTGTTCCCCACCAGGAAACCTGCTCTCCAGGCAAACCCGGCCACTGGAGGTAAAGAGTCAGTTTGGGGCCAGGCACAGTGGCTTACGCCTGTAATCCCAGCACTCTGGGAGGCTCAGGTGGGTGGATCACAAGGTCAAGAGATTGAGACCATCCTGGCCAACGTGGTGAAACCTCGTCTCTACTAAAAATACAAAAAAATTAGCCGGGCATGGTGGTGCACACCTGTAGTCAGTCACAGCTCCTTGGGAGGCTGAGGCAGGAGAATCACTTGAACTCAAGAGGCGGAGGTTGCAGTGAGCCGAGATCGGGCCACTGCACTACAGCCTGGTGACAGAGTGAGATTCCGTGTCACACACACACAAAAAAAGAATCAGTTTGGAAGGAAGAAGACCAGGATATCCAACCCCTTCCCATTTGTGAAGGAGACTTCCAGACAAGGCAGTGGTGGAGCCTTGGAGGAGGTTCCCATGCTCCCGAGTTTTCTCAGCATCTCTGCAGAACACAGAAACAGGAAGTTGATGTGTGCCCAGGAAGTGAAGTGGGAATGCAGTCCTCAGGCTGGAAAACTGAGGTTTGGGAGCAGATGGAAGGGCCACAGATGGTTGTGTTATAAAGGGACAACCAGACGTAGATGGTCAGAGAGACAACACTATCGCCAGGACAGCTCTGAAAAATATGATGATAACATTTCAGAGAGTCCAGAATGGAGACGGGGCAAAACCAATAATCAAAAGATTTGTAGAATGAGCCGGGCGCAGTGGCTCACGCCTGTAATCCCAGCACTTTGGGAGGCTGAGGCGGGTGGATCACTTCAGGTCAGGAGTTCGAGACCAGCCTGGCCAACATCACGAAACCCTAATTCTACTAAAAATACAAAAATTAGCCAGGCATGGTGGCGGGTGCCTGTAATCCCAGCTCCTTGGGAGGCTGAGGCAGGAGAACTGCTTGAACCTGGGAGGCAGAGGCTGCAGTGAACCCAGATCATGCCATTGCACTCCAGCCTGTGCGACAGAGCAAGAGTCCATCTCAAAAAAAAAAAAAAAAAAAAAAAAAAAAAAAAAGATTTGTAGAATGAAATACAAATCAGACCGAAAATAGAATTCCAACATGAGGAAATCATGGCTGGAGAGGGCAGGCAGTGACCCGAGTTGAACATATGGAGATAAAGCCATGCAACTTTTAAGACACGATTTTTAAAAGTACTTTGTTGTCATTGTTGAAAGAAATGATTTGCAGAGAAATATGAAAATGATGATGTTTACAGATGCAGATTAATTTGGGTAGGGGTGGGGAGGTAAGGAAGAAAACTTCGAAATCTACTGTTTTCCTTATAAGGTTATTACAAGGCTCCTTTCCTTATTGACTTTGACAGTTAGTTTCCATTAAGTTTAAGAATACATTTTTAGGCTGGGTGCGGTGGCTCACGCCTGTGATCTCAACACTTAGGGAGGCCGAGGCGGGCGGATCACGAGATCAGGAGATCGAGATCATCCTGGCTAACACGGTGAAACTCCGTCTCTACTAAAAATACAAAAAATTAGCCAGGCATGGTGGCACGTGCCTGTAGTCCCAGATACTCGGGAGGCTGAGGCAGGAGAATTGCTTGAATCCAGGAGGCAGAGGCTGCAGTGAGCCAAGGTCACGCCACTGCACTCCAGCCTGGGTGACAGAGTGAGACTCTTCCTCAAAAAAAAAAAAAAAAAAGTACATTTTAAAATATTTTCATGTAGGCCAAGCACAGTGGCTCATGCCTGTAATCCCAGCACACTTTGGGTGGCCGTGGCAAGAGGATCACTTGAGCTCAGGAGTTTGAGACCAGTTTGAGCAACGTAGCAAAACCCTGTCTCTCTAAAAAATACAAAAATTAGGTGGGCATGGCGATGTGTGCCTGCAGTCCCAGCTACTCAGAAGGCTGAGGTGGGAGGATCGCCTGAGCCTGGGAGGCAAGTCTGCAGTGAGCTGAGATCACGCCACCGCACTCCAGCCTGGGCAATAGAATCAGACCCTGTTTCAAAACAATTTTTTTCGTGTAATAATTGTTAGATTAAAAGAATATTTACCTCACAAATCAGTACGAAAGTCTATACAGGAAAATAAAAGGGGGAGAAAAAGACCTCACTCAAACAAAACCAAACACAGCAGAGAGGAAACAATTACAGAAGCAAAACTGAAGAGAAACAATGTTGATGGGTATAAATGGGTTAATTCAATAAGTAAAAGGAAGCAAATTGAATTTAAAAACAAAAATCCAATAATAGGCTGCTTACAAATCAGACCCATGACATGATGACAGAGGGAAAGAATTAAAGGCAAACATATAGTACCAGGTACATGAGAACCAGAAAGGAAGTGAGCGGGGATATATTAGCATCAGCCGGGATTCAAAGCGAAAATCCTCCCTGGGAAAGGGGAGGTCTGCTTGCTCTGCATGATAAGGGAGGAAATCAACACTGTCTCCCTAGGGGACCTCATCCACACGCCCACAGTTAATGATCATCTATATGCTAATGATCCTTGATTCACATCTCAGGCCCAGATCCAATCTGTCACCCACCTCCATACCCCACTTCCATTTGTCTGTTTACCACCCTTACCTGACTCAAGTTTCTGCAAGAGTGACCAAGGTTCCCATCTGCCCAGGCCTGCGGGGGTTTTCATCGGCATGAGATTTTCAGTGCTGAGCTGGGACAGTCCCAGGGAAGCCAAGACGGTTGGTCAGCCCAAGTCCCTCTGTCACTGAGAAGGGGACGCCCTGTTTGCTCCATGCTGCTCAGCGCAGACTGTGATCCCAGGCTCATTTCTGCTTCCTTTGTCTCAACGTACAAGGAGGGCAAAGCCTGTGTTTGGGATTGTTTGCCTTTGTGTCTGCGCCGTCTCCCACATGCCTGACACGGAATCAATGTTGGCGGAATGAAAGAGGAAATGAATGATGGCCTAATGTCAAGACTCTTAATGTGCCGCAAAGCAGCATCAGAAAGCACAAGGCAACTTCCAAATAATTTGCTCATTTAAACATTTAAACACATTTTTTAAAAGTATAAAACAAAACATGGGCATCAGGCACGGTGGCTCATGCCTGTAATCCCAGTACTTTGGGAGGCCGAGGCAGGTGGATCACTTGAGGTCAGGAGCTCGAGACCAGCCTGGCCAACATGGCAAAAAACCCGTCTCTCCAAAACAAACAAACAAACAAACAAAGCAACGATTAGTAGCCAGTAGCCAGGTGTGGTGGCGCAAGCCTATAATCCCAGCTACTCGGGAGGCTGAGGCAGCAGAATCCCTTGAATCTGGGAGGCGGAGGTTGCGGTGAGCTGAGATTGAGCCACTGCACTCCAGCCTGGGTGACAGAGCGAGACCCCGTCTTAACAAACAAACAAACAAACAAACATAACCACATTTGTATGTGTGTGTGTGTGTGCGTGTGTGATGTTTCCTTTGGCCACCTTCTCTACAGAGATCATTCAGAAATACCTCCATCTTCTTGAACTCTCCTCAGTCTTTCATTTGTCCGCATCCACTTGTTTTGCTTCACAGAAGTTCAACTTTTGCAAGATATTTTAGTTTCCTAAGATTTTGGAATTTCTTCAACTTTGCTGAGTAAGTTTGGATTTCAAAAAAAAAAAAAAAAAGAAAACAAAACAAAACAAAAAAAAACAGAATTAAAATAGAGTGGCCATTTATTACTAACTAAAAATGTTTTTCCCCTTGATGTAGAAATTGCTCATCTTGGTATCATTTACAGAAACACTTTCTATTCCCCAAATATTTATTAATGAAATATTTTTATCTCCAAACATGCCTTCCAAATATTTACTTCTTAGCAATGCTTTTGCAAAGTTCTGTTTATAAATTGCTAGGAGAAAGTGGTGAGAGTCCCTCTTACTTCGCAGGACTAGGGTAACTTGGGTGAAAGGTTGTTTGGTTGTTGGCTTTGCTACAGAATAATAGGTTCAGTTCTGTTGTGTTTTGTGTGGTTCCAATGTTTAAAACACGTATCCAAGAATAGATGCATATGAATTTTCTGCAAGAGAGGATCTAGCTATAATAGACCCAAATAGATGAGTGAAACCTGAGAATGAGGAGAGGGATGCCTGTTATTAGTTCATAGCAAGTGAAGGCTGATGGATGCATCCAATGGCTGACTCACTAGGCACCAAGACGCATACGAACACACATATAGGACGACCCCTTGAGTTCCTCTTCCCCTTTGCAGAACTTTTCCCTTTCCTAATTGTCCACTTTGGCCCCGCCTTCGGCTGCGCAGCATGGCCTCTGTGCTATAGCTCCTGAAATTTACAGGACCATCTTGAATTTAAATATTTAGTCAGTTTTTGACTGCATGTAGCAAATTAATCCCAGTTTTTGGCTAGGAAAACGTGATCCAACACAACTGAGTGCTTTTCAGCACTTTACTTGGTAAGAAAGAATGAGTTTTCTCAACAAATCTCCTAGGAGAGGGGGACTTAAATTTTGGGTATGTCGTCGGCGTGCAAAATAAATGCCAACATCTTTTTTGGGGGTGGGTGGAGTTGTGTTACTTAAAACGATGGGGTTATTTTATTGTACAGTTTGTGCCAGCTCTGCTCAGTTGAGTGTTGCTATGCACGGTGTTTTCTACATGGTTGGTGTAGTACTCCAAGTCCAAGTAATTTGTTATTGGCAAAACGTGAAGCACCAAAGTTGGTGAATAATTTACCTTAAAACGATTCAAGCTGCTATGTCCTCGATGGAATCCTTGCTCACTTGCATTCGTTTGACTTTATTGGATGGGGGAGAAGGGTT
The DNA here is from genome assembly GCF_000001405.40 of Homo sapiens. Lineage (NCBI taxonomy): Eukaryota > Metazoa > Chordata > Mammalia > Primates > Hominidae > Homo > Homo sapiens. Next base: position 234,930,690 of record NC_000002.12, on the reverse strand, counting down.
AGAGCAACAGCCAGCAGCCAGGGGCTTTTTTCTCCTGTGCCCAGGCAGCCCCCTTGGGCCTGTGTCACACCTGTGTGCATCATCTGGTCACGTGTGACTCAGGGGAGCTCCTGCATGATGTCACTTGTTTTCTAAAAACACTTCTAGCTCTTTCCTTTCTCTATAAAGTGAAAGAGGCAGTTCTGGGAAAGGCACTTGAGGTCTGATTGGAAATGGAAACCTTTAAGCAGAGATAAAGGAAGTAGCTTATGACAAGATTTATATTTGTATAATAGTTTCAATGTACTTTATAAAACTAAATTATTTAGTGCTGATAGAGAAAGTAATGAGAAGATAATGCGAAATGAGCTCACAACCTAATGGTCTTTATTTTTAGACTTGTGTCTCTGTGTGTTCCCAACAAATCGTGCTGCCCAATTCTATTTTCTTAGGTCAATATTACCCTGTGCATGCATGCTCATCTGTGGTGAGTAGTACCAGCTAAGCACAGGAAATGTCTCCTAAAAAGCTAAAAAGAAAACCTAGAACTTAGTTTTTATTGTTGCAATACACAAATTGGATAATCTATATGCCCTTTGTGCAGTGTAGGTTAAAAATAAACAAAAAGGGCAGATGCAGTGAATCACACCTGTAATCACAGCACTTTGGTAGGCCGAGGCGGATGGATCACGAGGTCAAGAGATCAAGACCATCCTGGCCAACACGGTGAAACCCCATCTGTACCAAAAAATACAAAAACATTAGCTGGGCATGGTGGTGCACACCTGTAGTCCTAGCTACTTGGGAGGCTGAGGCAGGAGAATCGCTTAAGCCCGGGAAGCAGAGGTTGCAGTGAACTGAGATGGTGCCACTGCACTCCAGCCTGGGGACAGAGCGAGCCTCTGTCTTAAAAAAAATAAATAAACAAACAAGCCCAACACTGGGTCCAAGTAAACATAAATGTAATAATTTATTAAGGTATTAATAACAAGTGATGTCACCAAGATTTAGCAAAACTCACCACCTTACAAATTGGTCCTAATTACTCATATGCTGGAAAATATGTTTTCAAGATGTCTGTGGGAGTTTGTCTACAATTCAGTATCCTTTAAATAGCAATTTTGTCTTTAAGACTTACCTAGCAACTATTCCTGAGCTGCTCTGTGGCATGCACCCAGTTATTACCTGTAACTGTTCCTGAGAATTTTAATTATTCAACTTTTGGTATGTGTGTTTGTCATCTTTTCAATTATAGGGACTATGCCTTTTACTATCTGGAACCCTTTACTTTGCTCAAAACGGTGTCTACACAGAGTAGGGTTCCAGCACATTGTAATTCAGTTTCCTGCTCTTCTCTCAGAAAGAAAGGATAGCTTTTAAGATCACATGTTCGTAGAATTCTTGGAGGTCCCCTGTGGCCAGCGCCATCTGATGTTGATTCCCTTTTCCCACCTTCCTGACCAGCCTCTGCGTTCAGCCCTGCAGAAGCAAGAGGTCTCGCAATCGCTGTCGGCCTGGGCACGTAAGAGGCAGCGGTCGCCATGTGTGACTGGAATCTGCCTTCCTGAGACTTCCGGCATCAGGGCTGTCTGGCTCCTGGGAATACACAACCATGACCTTCTTCTTCTGAGAGCCCATTTCAGGATGGAAGGGAGCCCTCATAGCCTCCCCATTTCCCGTCTGTCCTGGGCTTACCAAAGACTAAGTTTCCTTGCCCGTCCTGATTGAAGTCGTTCCGAATCAGCTCGCTCTATGGCTGCAGCATGCAGAAGGTATCCAAGGCTGGTTTCCTTTGACTCTCCAGCATTGGAGTCTCCACCCTATATTTGCAGAATATCCCATCTTATGAGTATTTTTGGGAGAACAAACCCACCTCCCACTAGAGAAGCTGAACCCCAGCAAATGGGGTGGCTTTCAACCACCCGAACCCATGCCTGCTTTCTCTTCCCCTTGGAGCCAGTACTTGGTGTTGTGATGAAGGCTCCTCCAACCAGAAGGACCAGGCTGGGCTTTGAGTTGAGATGCAGAAGGACCATGTGGATGCTTTTCCCAGGCAGTGAGGGTGGCGCTCTTGATGATGTTCAGGGTCCTAGGCTCCGTGGCGGTGGCAGGCCCATCCTATCAGGAAGATTCTGGCTGTCGGTTGCAGGTCTGCCCACCAGCTGCTCCTCTCCAGCTCTCCCAGCACTTCCCAGTGCTCTTCTATAAATGGCTTTTCTGCTTAAATCAGCCAGTGTCCATGTCTGTTTCGGGCAGCCAAAAACCTTGTCTGATTGTACACGGTATGGCATGGTGGTTAAGAGTTCTGGGGTGGAGGCTGACTTTGGGGTTCCCCATCACCTGATTCCCCACCTCTGTGGCTATGGGTATTAACATCCTCTTTGGGAAAATGGGATAATAATAGTAATCCTACCTTCATAGGATTTCCCATCCAATAATTAAATACATTCATTAAATAATTAAACATTGTATTAGTTTGTTAGGGCTGCCGTAACAAAGTACTACAGACTAGGTGGCCTAAACAACAGAAATTTATTTTATAACAAAATCTAGTTCATAACTAGGAGTCTGAGATCAAGGTGTTGGCAGGCTGCTTTCTTCTAAGGCTTCACTCCTTGGCTTATACTATAGATGGCCTTCATTTTTTTTTAGCAGGGGACAGGATCTCACTCTGTCACCCCAGGCTGGAGTGCAGTAATGTGATCTCGGCTCATGACAGCCTCCACCTTGCAGGCTCAATTGATCCTCCTGCCTCAGCCTCCCAAGTAGCTGGGACTACAGAGGTGCCATCATGCTCAACTAATTTTTGTATTTTTTTATAGAGACAGCGTTTTACTATGTTGCCCAGGCTGGTCTCGAGCTCATGGGTGCAAGTGATCCACCTGCCTCAGCCTCCAAAAGTGCTGGAATTACAGGAATGAGCCACTGCCCCCCGCCTAGATAGCCATCTTGTTCCAATGTCTTCACACAACCCCCACTGTCTTTTCATCCTAAGCTTCTCTTTTTATAAGTACGCCAATCATATTGGACTAGGGCCCACCCCTATGACCTCATTTTAACTTGGTTACCTCTTTAAAGGACCTGTCTCCAAATACAGCTGCATTCTGAGGTCCTGGGGATTAGGAATTTTGAGGGGAAACTATTCTGCCCATGGCAAAGGTCATAATACATGTGAGGAGCATGGCATGGAGCCTGACATGCCAGAAGCAGCATTGCTCTTTATATAGGCAGGACTCACCCCTCAGAACTAGGTTTTTGAAAGCCGCCTCTCACCTGCGGGATGGGACAGTCATGGAGGACTGTGCCTGGTTGAAGGAAGTATGTTGTTGCTGCTGTTATTATTACTGTTTTTAGCTTTGGCCACGTTGAGGATATTGCAAAAGAACCAGGTGCATTGACGGTTCGAGTCTCACAAATAAACGGGAGATTGAACACCATCACGATGCCCTCCTTGATGTGGTTCTAGAGCTTGGTTCCTTGTTGGCTCCATCCTTAAGGATGAGACAGAGCAGCTCCGTTCGTTCTCTTTGTTGGTGTCTCTGAACAACTGGAAGCCCCAGAGGTCCATTGTAAAATGCATTGTTGAAACGACGGGCATTCAATCTGCTGTGTATCCAGCTGGGTTCCCACGTGGACAGGACAAACCACTGCAACAGCTTTCAGCCATGTGCGCTGATGGCAAAACTGATTTCTCCTGAGTTGGTCCTTATGGGGCTTCACCCTTCCCTGAGCTTTAGAGAAAGGTCTGTAGGGAATGGCAGATTAACACCAGGAAGGTCTTCTGTGCCAGAATGACTCCTGAAATCGGGCATGGAGCTCCTGCGCACATTCCTCAGCAGGTCCAGCACAGCCTTGGGAGGCCTTGCAGATGCCTACTGCAGGTGCCTCAGACCTGAGCTGTGTGCTTTCTCTTATCTTTGTTTTAATCCCCCAGTGACAAAGTCATACAGATGAACACATTTTCTACAGAAATGGAAGGCACCTCAGTAGACCCGGTGCTCATGATTCCTCATACTTTGCTTCCTAAAACAGGCTAAATATAAAACTAAGTATATTGGAGTCTCGCTGTTTCAGTAACAGGCTTTATGATGTGGGATTATGTTCAGAAGCGAGTTTTAAACCTGGGTCCTTCTGGGATTTCCAGGCATCTGCCCTCTAAATGGACTCAGATGAATGCTGCTGATGCCGGCACCCACCCTGAGTGAGCTCTGAAGCAGGCTAAGTTGCACTCCCATTTTCTAAATATTTAACATCCCTTGAATGTGTTTGATATGCAATCCAAATGCATAGCCCTTTGAGTTTCCTCAGAAAATGCATTGTCAAAATGATGGGCTATTCGCTTGGCTGTGTATGGGGGATTTGAAATCAAATGTCATAGTCCAGTTATAAGGGATCTCAGAACAAGTCAGGTATGGCTGAAGGTTGTACATCCCCACAGAAACTGGAAGCTTCTGGCTCACAGAAAGTAAAATGATTAGGATCCTATTATTTTGAAATCCTGAACATGCAATGTGCTTAAGGAATGTATCTCTCTATCATCTATCTATCTATCTGTCTGTCTGTCTGTCTGTCTGTCTGTCTGTCTGTCTATCTATCTATCGTCCTCTGTGTATATAAGGAGGTGTAAATTTTATTAGCTTATGACTAGTACCAAAATTATTCTTAGGAAGGGATCTGTCTTTGTTTAAGAAAATACTGTGGCTGGGCACAGTGGCTCACGCCTGTAATCTCAGCACTTTGGGAAGCAGAGGTGGGCAGATCACCTGAGGTCAGGAGTTCAAGACCAGTCTGACCAACATGGAGAAACCTTGTCTCTACTAAAAAATACAAAATTAGCCAGGCATGGTGCCACTACATGCCTGTAGTCCCAGTTACTTGTGAGCCTGAGGCAGGAGAATCACTTGAACCCTGGAGGTAGAGGTTGCGGTGAGCTGAGATCATGCCATTGCACTCCAGCCTGGGCAACAAGAGCGAAACTCCATCTTGGAAAAAAGAAAAGAAAAAGAAAAAGAAAAAATACTGTGATAAACTCTTTGATGAAAATCTAAAACCTTAAGGGTGTTGGATAGTAAGATACAAAAAGAGCTAACCCGCCATATTGTAAAGAAATCTACAGGATGGGCCCAAAAGCTCCTTCAGCTGTTAAACAACTTCAGCACAGTTTCAGGATACAAATCAATGTACAAAAGTCACTAGCATTTCTATACATTGACAACAGCCAAGCTGAGACCCAAATCAGGAAGGCAGTCCCATTCACAATTGCCACATAAAGAAGAAAATACCTAGGAATACAGTTAACCAGGGAGGAGAAGGATCTCTACAATGAAAATTACAAAACACTGCTCAAAGAAATCAGAGAAGACACAAATGGAAAAGCATCCCATGCTCATGGATAGAAAGAATCAATATCATTAAAATGGCCATATTGCCCCAAACAATTTACAGATTCAATGCTATTCCTATCAAACTAACATTCTTCACAGAACTAGAAAAAACTATTTTAAAACTCATATGGAACCAAAATAAAGAGCCTGAATAGCCAAGGCAATCCTAAGGAGAAAGAACAAAGCTAGAAGCATCACATTACCTGACTTCAAAGTATACTACAAGGCTACAGTAACCAAAGCAGCATGGTATTGGTACAAAAACAAACACATAGACCAATGGAGCAGAATAGAGAGCCCAGAAATAAGGCTGCACACCTACGACCATCTGATCTTTGGCAAAGCTGACAAAAACAAGCAAAGGGGAAAGACTCCCTATTCACTAAATAGTGCTGGGATAACCGGCTAGCAATATGCAGAAGATTGAAGCTGGACCTTTGTCTTACATTATATACAACAATTAACTCGAGATAGATTAAAGACTTAAATGTAAAACCTAAAACTATAAAAACCCTGGAAGACAACCTAGGCAATACCATCCTAGACATAGAAATGGGCAAAGATCCCATGACGAAGACACCAAAAGCAATCACGACAAATGCAAAAACTGACAAATAGGATCTAATTCAGAGCTTCTAGACAGCAAAAGACACCATCAATAGAGTAAACAGACAATCTACATAACAGGAGAAAATATTTGCAAACTGCATCTGACACAAAGGTCTAATATCCAGCATCTATAAAGGAACTTAAATTTACAAGAGAAAAACAAGCAACCCCATTAAAAAGTGGGCAAAGGACATGAACAAACACTTTTCCTAAGAAGGCATACATGCGGCCAACAAGCATATGAAAAAAAGCTCAATAGCACTGATCTTTGGAGAAATGCAAATCAAAACCACAATGAGATATCATCTCACACCAGTCAGAATGGCTAGTACTAAAAAGTCAAATACCAGGTGTTGGTGAGGTTGCAGAGAAAAGGAAACACTTATACACTGTTGGTGGGAGTGTAAATTAATTCAACCATTGTGGAAAGCAGTATGATGATTCCTCAAAGAGCTAAAACTACTATTCGACCCAGTGGTCTCATTACTGGGTATATACCCAGAGGAATATAAACATTCTGCCATTACGACACATGCACACGAATGTTCGTTGCAGCAGTATTCACAATAGCAAAGACATAGAATCAACCTAAATGCGCATCAATGACAGATTGGATAAAGAAAATGTAGTACATATACACCATGGAATACTATGCAACCATAAAAAAAGAATGAGATTATGCTTTTTGTGGGAACATGGATGGAGCTTGGAGGCCATTATCTTTAGCAAACTAACGCAGGAACAGAAAACCAAATACTGCATGTTCTCACTTATAAGTGGGAACTAAATGATGAAAACTAATGAACACAAAGAAGGGAACAACAGACACCAATGTCTACTTGAGGGTGGAGGGTGGGAGGAGGGTGAGGAGCAAAAAAGGTAACTATTGGGTATTGGAGTTAATACCTGGGTGATGAAACAATCTGTACAAAAAACCCCAGTGACATTTATTTGCCTATGTAACAAACCTTCACGTGTACACCTGAACCTAAAGTAAAAGTTAAAAATAAAAAAAAGGAAATGTATAGGAGAATGGATGAAAGGAATAAGGAAAGATGAAGGATGTAGAGCAATCTAGCTACAGTCTGAGTTGTCGGGATAGAAAGAAATCTTCTAAGAACCAGAATCTTGCTGTTATATTTTTAAAATTATTTTAAAATTATGAAATATAACACACATACAGAAAACAGCATAAAGCATGAGTACATGTTTTAACTAATAACTATGAAACCAACAATCCTGTCCAAGATTGAGAATGAGAATGGTCTGGGACTCCAGCTGTGTCCTTTCTGGGTCACAGCTCCAACCACCTTTCCAGCACACCCACTGCCCTCATTTTGTGATGAATTCTTTTCCTCATTTTGACTTTTGCATCCTCCAAAATATAGCTTAGTATCTTCTGGAAAAATTTACATGTATCGTAATGCTCAGATCCTATGTGTTCAGTTTGATGAGTTTGGACAAATGTAAAACCAATACCCAAATCAAGATGTAAAATATTTTAGTCACCCCAGAAGGTCTCCTCCTGTTCCCTCCTGGTCAATCCTCCACCAGTTTGAGGTCACTATGGCTCCGATTTCTGTAACTGGATGCGATGTCAGTTCTCCAACTGCATGTAAATGAATCATACCATATGTACCTTTTGTGTCTGGGTTCTACACGTTTCTCAGATTTATCCATGTTGTTGCATGAATCGGCAGTTTGTCTTTCTTTATTGCTATGTAGCGTTCATCATATGAATGCATTACAGCTCCTTTTTTCCCCCAGTTCTCTTGGTAATGGATATTTGGATTGTTTTCTGTTTTTCCGTTTTGGCTATTATGAATAAAAGTACTATAAACAGGCCAAGTTTGGGTGCCTCACGCCTCTAATCCTAGCACTTTGGGAGGCCAAGGAGGGCAGATTGCCTGAGCTTAGGAGTTCGAGACCAGCCTGGGCAACATGGCGAAACCCCATCTCTATTAAAATTACAAAAAATTAGCCAGGCATGGTGGTGTGTGCCTGTAATCCCAGCTACTCAAGAGGCTGAGGCACGAGAATAGCTTGAACTTGGGAGGCAGAGGTTGCAGTGAGCCGAGATTGCACCACTGCACTCCAGCCTGGGCAACAGAACTAGACTCTGTCTCAAAACAAACAAACAAACAAACAGTACTCTAAACAGTCTTGTATATGTCTTTTTGGGAATATATGCTTTCATTTATCTTGGTTAAATATCTAGGAGTATAATTGTGGGGGCATAAGGTAGGTATATGTTTGACTTCGTAAGAAATTGCTGAACAGTTTTCCAAAGAGATTAGTCATTTTACAACCCTACCCGTGCTCTACTTCCTCTCCGAGATTTGGTATTACCAGTCTTTTGAATTTTTAGGTATTTCAGCGGATGTGGAGTGGTATTTTATGGTGGTTTTAATTCACATTTTCCTGGTGAATAATGATAATAAGCAACTTCATAAATTTTGAATCCATTCATATATTTTCTTTCTGAGGTCCCAGTCTATTCAGATATTTTTCCCATTAAAAATAGGTGTCTTATTTTATCACTGATTTGTAAGACTTTATCTTTCAATACAAATCTCTAGTCAGAAATGTTTAGTAATTATTTTCTTTTACTCTGCAGTTTCCCTTTTAATTTTCTTAAAAGTATCTTTTTCTCAGAGCAGAAAATTTTAATGTTGATGGAGGCTAGTTTATTAACATTTTCTTTTATGGTTTGTATGTTTTGTGGTCCAGTGTTCGTGTGGCCTGAGTTGAGGTCCACTTTCCTCCCCCCAAATCAATACACAGTTGTTCAAGTACCATATGTTGAAAAGACTATCTTTCCCCCATTGGGTTATCCCAGCACCTTTGTTGAAAACCAATTCACCACATATGTATTGGTCTATATCTGGGAGCTCTATTCCATTCCGTTTATCCATATGTCTAACCTTATGCCAATGCCACACCGTTGATGAGTACAGCTGTTGAAATCAGTCAGTGTTTTCCTGCACCGTGTTCCTCTTTTTCAGTATCATTCTACGCCCTTTGCAGTTTCAAATACTTTGTAGAATCAGCTTGTACATTTCTATAAAAATGCCGGTTAGAATTTTGACTGGGATTGCACTGAGTCTATAGATTAATTTGGGAAAAATTGACATTTTACCCATATCAAATTACCTAATCCATTAACTTTACATATCTATTTATTTAAGTCTTTTTTAATTACTCCCATTTTGTCATTTTATAAATTTTAAATTTTGTAATTTTCAACAAAGAACATTAGAAAAATCTTACAGTTTGTTAAATTTATCCCACATATTTCGTGTTTTTTTTTTTTTGGTGCTGTAATGGTGTTGTTTTTGTTTAAAACTTTATTTTTCATAGCTAGGCATGGTGATGCGTGCCTGTAGTCCCAGCTACTCAGAAGGCTGAGGTAGGAGAATAGCTTGAGCCTGGAAGGTGGAGGTTGCAGTGAGCCAAGATCAAGCCACTGCGCTCTAGGCTGGGTGACACAGTGAGAACCTGTCTTTAAAAAAAGAGAAAAAAAAATGTTTTAAATGTATTTTCCAGTTATTTACTAGCATATAGAAATATAATTTATTTTCATATAGCGGTCTTTTATCCAATGATCTTGCTAAATTCACTTAGTCATTCTAGTACCTTTGTTATTTGATTCTTTGGAATTTCTCCATGCATGATCTGCAAACAAAAGTTTAACTTCTTCCTTTCCAAGCCATATACTTTTATTTCCTTTTTTAAATTATTGCATTGGTTAGAAATTCTAGTACCATGTTCAACAGAAGTGACAGAAGGGAAAGTTCTTGCCTCAATCCCACTGTGTAAGGGGAAAAGATCCAGTCTTTCGCAGGAATTATAACACTAGCTGTATTTTTTTCATAGATGCCCTTTTTTCAGCTTGGAGAGGGACTCTTCCATTCCTAATTTGTAAAGAGGGTTTTTAAAAAATTATGAATTTTATTAAGTGCTTTTTGCATCTATTCAAATTGTCATATGGTTGTGCTCCTTTATTCTGTTAATGGTACGTTATATTGATTGATTTTAAAATGTTAACCCAACCTTGCATTTTTGGGATAAGCCCAATCATTGGGTTTTCTTATGTAGTTTTCTGGTTATTTATCCCTTGATATGATTTGCTTAAAAAAATTATGCCTATGTTCATGTAGGATATATGTCTATAGTTTCCATTTCTCATAATATATTTGTCTGGTTTTGGTAATACAGGCCTCATAAAATGAGTTGGAGAATGTTTCCTTTTTTTCTATTTTCCAAAAGAGTGTGTAGAATTGATATTATTTCTTAAAGCTGCGCTAGCAGTCACCAATTAATATGATTTGTCTGTGTCCCCACCCAAATCTCATCCTGAATTGTAGCTCTTATAATTCCCACATGTTGTGGGAGGGACTCAGTGGGAGATAACGGAATCACGGGGTCAGTTTCCTCCATACTGTTCTTGAGGTACTGAATAAGTCTCATGAGATCTGATGGTTTTATGAGGGGAAACCCCTTTCACTTGATTCTCATTCTTTCTTGTCTGCTGCCATGTAAGACGTGTCTTTTGCCTTCCACCATAATTGTGAGGCCTTCCCAGCCACGTGGAACTGTGAGTTCATTAAACCTCTTTTAATGTATAAATCACCCAGTCACGGGTATGTCTTTATCAACAGCATGAAAATGAACTAATACTCCAATGAAGCCATCTATATCTGAGTTGGTCACTCCAGGTGCAGACAAAGGCTGGGGGCTGAACCTACTTGTTCTCCTGAGACTCAGTCCTCTCCCAGGGAGCCTCAGATCTGTTGACCACAACAGTGTGACTCAGGCCACTCCAAGCATGAGTCCCTTTCCAATAGGGTGGAGCTGAGCTCTGTGACAAGGAGCCTACCTTCTGTTTGGACTGTGGCCTATGCAAGGGGACTCCCCAGCTGCTGGGATGTCTCAAAGGAATCACAACCCACCCAGACCTTGGTCAAGAGTCAGCAAGCCTGGCAGCCAATGCCGGGAGAGCCGCTGAGAATCCATTGTAAAGATGTACATTTCCCACCCCTTCATGCAAAAAAGGATCTTAGGGCAAGGAAAGAAAAATGTGCAAAGACTGTAGTTTTACTTGGGGATGGAAACATGGAGCTTCAGCTTGAATCTAGGCATCATTTGCCCACTGCACACTTAGTTGCAAATCACCATGGGAAACTAGAATCTGAGCATGGTCTCCAGGAGGCTTCCCTGGGGAACCCCAGCAATGACTGGGAATGAAGTGTGTGGGAGGAAGCCTTGGCAGCTGATGTAGCGAATGGTGGTCAAAACAAAATGAAAAATTCTGTAAAAGATCATTACTGTGCTCATAATTTTGCTTCCAGGGTGGTGTTACCTTAGACCATTTACCTTGTATAGCTCTTTAATAATTCAAGATCAACCTGGGCAACATAGCAAGACCACATCTCTGCAAAAAAAAACACTAGTCGGGCATTGTGGCATGTGCCGGTAGTCCTAACTACTCAGGAGGCTGAGGTGGGAGGATCACGTGAGCTTAGGAGTTTGAGGCTGCAGTGAGCTATGATGGTGCCACTGCACTCCAGCCTGGGTGACAGAGAGAAGCTGTCTGAAAAAAAAATGAACAAAGTACTTTTAAAATTTTCATTTTTGTTGTGTGTGTGTGTATATATATATATGTGTGTGTGCATTGGAGGGGAGAGTGTACAACAAGATTTTTGATATACATAGTGAAATAATTACTGTAGTCAAGCAAATTAACGTATCTATCATCCCTCCTAGTTACCCATTTTTTTGTGTGTGTGGGTGATAAGAGCACCTCAAGTAAACATCAGTATACAATACAATACCGTAACTATAGTGTTTATGTTATACCTTAGCTTTCTCGACTAATTGATTCTACCTATCTGTACCTTCAAAATCTTTGACCTGCATCTCCTCATTTCCTTTTCTCTTCCTCCTACCTGATTTATTCTCTATGTATTCTACTTTTAAAAAGTTTACATGTAAGTGAGATCATGTAGTATTTTTCTTTCTCTGATTTATTTCACTTAGCATAATGTCTTTCAGGTTCATCCATATTGCCAAAAATAGAAGGATCTTCTTTTTAAGGGCTGAGTAATATTCTATTGCACACTCATCCATCACTTAACAAATGGGATATGTTCTGAGAAATGCATCCTTAGGAAATTTTGTCGTGGGAGCATCATAGGGTGCCCTTACGCAAACCTAGATGGTATACACTGGTGTACACCTGGTAGACACCTGTGCAGTGTGTGACTGTCTCAATACTGTAGGCAATTGTGACACAATCCTATGTATTTATGCAACTAAACATAGAAAAGGTACAATAAAAATACCGTATTATAATCTTAAGGGACCTCCGTTGGATATGTAGTTTGTTGTTGACCCAAACACCGTTATGCAGTGCAACACTGAATAACAATTTCATGGCCGGGCATGGTGGCTCATGCCTGTAATCCCAGCACTTTAGGAGACTGAGGCAGACTGATCACGAGGTCAGGAGTTCAAGACCAGCAAAACCCCGACTCTATTAAAAAAACAAAAAAATTAGCCAGGTGTGGTGGCTTATGCCTGTAATCCCAGGTACTTGGGAGGCTGAGGCAGAAGAATCAGTTGAATCTGGGAGGCAGAGGTTGCAGTGAGCAGAGATAGTGCCACTGCACTCCAGCCTGGGCGACAGAGCGAGGTTCCATCTCAAAAAAAAAAAAAAAAAAACCCACAACAAAAAAACAATTTCTTTATTCTTTATCCATTTGTCTGTTGATGACACTTACGTGGTTTCCACGTCTTGGCTATTGTGAATAATGCTGCAATGCACATGGGGGTGCAGACATCTTTACACATACTGATTTCATTTCCTTTGGGTAATTATCAAACAGAGCACTGCTGGGTACAAAGCACTTTTTGTTTGTCATGGGAATAATAATGAACATGTGCCAGAAACCTAACGTTTGCCCTTCAACATATTTTGGAGTCAACGAAGAGAATTTTAAGTATGACACCTGCAATAAAGGACCAAAACAGCATCAAAAGAAGTGGGAAAATGTTGCTAAAGGGGACTGTCTTCAAAGTCAAGGCCAGACTTCCCCTGGCTACAGCTGTAGATTCATGTCAAAAATAACTTGGAAAGAGAACTCCGGATCTTACAGCCATTGAAATGGAAATATGCGCTCCCCCAGACACTAAAATGAGCCTTATCTGCTGGTTAGCATTCCTTTAGTTAGAGACTTCTTCTTTATGGAAGCCTTAGCACCCATTAACAGGAAGCAGGCCATAAAATACACAGGTTCTAGGACCAGGATTTTAATGGCCTTAGGGGCAATTGAAACTTATGACAGTGAACTTTCCAAGATAAAGTGATTTTTCCTAACTTAGTTAATCTCCTGCAAGTGTGACTTTCCTTAAAGAGCTGTTTCAAAATGTATTTCATGTTGATTCATGAAGCAAAGTGAGAGGAATAAAAAAATCTAATCATCTTATTTGAACCATAAATATGCAAATGATTGGACATTTTTCTCTTGGAGAAAAAAGGAAGATAGCAAATGATGACGCCAAGATAGAATTATATGTAAAGGTCACAGGCACTTTACTGTGTGTTTGGGACTGGTTTATGCACCTCCCACAGCTGAGCGCTTGCCTGGCTTTCTGAGCACTGTGGCCCTGGCAATGAGGGGACCAGGTGGCTGCTGTGCCCCTTGCTATCAGGGACCCACTGTGGTGACTGTTTAGTCCTTCGTGTGGCTCCAGGACAGGACCTGGCAGTGCCCTGCCTCACATGCCCTCCCCATCTCACACTCATGCCTCATATTTCTTGTCTCTTGCCTCTGGGCCTCCCTGTTGTCACCTAGTGGTGACACCCCACCAGTGCCGTGCATCCCCAGTCCCAAAATTCTGGGGCATCAAGGCTCTGGTGAGTGAGCTTTGACCAACAGAGGAGGGAAGCTGGAACATCCGTTCTTCTCCATTCCACTCTCGGGGAGGGCGGTTGGACTTGCAGATACTTCTTTAAGTCTCTCTAAACCTGTCTGAGAGACAGCAGTCAACTTGTTCTGAAGCTGTGGGCCGCGATGATGGCTCTTTCACCCACTCTCCTCCTTGCCCAGTTAAATCTAGGCCTATAAATACTCAATAAAGATTTGCACATGAATAACTTTTTTTAAAGGATATTATTTATTTATTTTTTTCTTCAATTTTTATTTTAAGTTCAGGGTACATGTACAGGATGTGAATGTTTCTTACATAGGAAAATGTGTGCCATGGCGGTTTGCTGCACAGGTCAACCCAACACCCAGGTATTAAGCCAGCATCCATTGGCTGTTCTTCCTGATGCTCTCTCTTCCCTGAAACTGCTCCACCTCTGACAGGCCCCAGAGTGTGTTGTTCCCCACATGTGTCCGTGTTCTGGTCGTTCAGCACCCACTTATAAGTAAGAACATGTGGTGTTTGGTTTTCTGTCCCTGTGTTAGTTTGCTGAGGATAACAGCTTCTAGCTCCATTCATGTTCCTGCAAAGGACATGATCTCGTTCTTTTTTATGGCTGCATAGTATTCCATGGTGTATATGTACCACATTTTCTTTATCCAGTCTATCACTGATGGGCATTTAGGTTGATTCCATGTCTTTGCTATTGTGAATAGTGCTGCAACGAATATATGTGTGCATATATCTTTATAATAGAATGATTTATATTCCTTTGAGTATATACCCAGTAATGGGATTGCTGGGTCAAATTATATTTCTGATTCCTTGAGGAATCACCACACTGTCTTCCACGATGGTTGAACTAATTTACTCTCCCACCAACAGTGTAAAAGCGTTCATTTTTTCCCCATTATATAACCTCACCGGCATCTGTTGTTTTTTGACTTTTTAATAATAGTCATTCTGACTGGTGTGAGGTGGTATCTCACTGTGGTTTTGTTTGCATTTCTCTAAAGATCAGTGATGTTGAGCTTTTTTTCATCTGTTTGTTGGCCACATGGTATGTCTTCTTTAGAGAAGTGTCTGTTCATGTCCTTTGCTTTTTCACCCAGTCCCCTCCTTGCTCAGTTAAATCTAGGCCTATAAATACTCAACAAAGATTTGCAAATGAATAACTTTTTAAAATTTCATAGACATTTAGAACATTTCACTGCAGTACAGAAATATATATATATATCTGAATATATGTTTATCTACTCATATATACATATGCATAAATTCAAAACTGATGGACTTTAGCTTGTCAATTTAGTGATCTCTCCTTTTTTTCAAATTAAAATTTGCAAGAACTGTCACATTTGTTGATTATTTGATTGACTAATGATAATTCTGGGGTAGGGATGATTGTTCTTTCTACTGTAGGATAATTTCATTAAAATCTCTTTGGGTTTGGGAGGCTGAGATGGGCGGATCACGAGGTCAGGAGATCAAGACCATCCTGGCCAACATGGTGAAATCCCACCTCTACTAAAAATACAAATTAGCTGGGCATGGAGCCGCATGCCAGTAATCCCAGCTACTTGGGAGGCTGAGGCAGGAGAATCACTTAAACCTGGGAGGCGGAGGTTGCAGTGAGCCAAGATCGCACTCCAGCCTGGCGACAGAGCTAGACTCCGTCTCAAAAATAAAAAATAAAAATAAACAAAATAAAAATCTCTCTGGGGACTACATTGTACCTGACTTCAGTTGCAGCCAGGCTCTGCCTGTGCAGTCCCGCAGCCATGCCTCTCCTCCTTACATTCCCTTCATAAGTGATCAAAGTCCCACTAAAGTTCCTGGCAGTCCTCAGCTGCTGGAGTAGCTGTCCCTCAAAGAGGGACAAGACCAGAATCTGGCTGTTGGGGAGTGCCCTGCACTCATGTTTAGTCATGGGTAAACAGATATTTTTGCTCTTTATTTAGGAAACTGTATTTTAACTCAATTTTGATGTTTTGGATTCATCCTTTAGGATAAGACAGGATGTTACATTTGTATTAGATTGTAAGCCACACATTCAAAGATAAATCTAGTTGGATTTGATGGTGTGGAACCACAGGAATCAGGGCTACAATAATTCACCTTCATCCCCCCAGAGGGGTAACAGAGTCAGAGAGGGGCGCAGACTTGCCCACGGCTGCCTGCACGGCCACTGCCAGCCCCGGGACGGGAGCCCAGTCTTCAATCAACAGTTCAGTTCTTCTGTCACAAAGGCTGCCTCTTTTGACTTTGTTTATGTTCTAGGACACATACACAGTGCCTTGCATCTTTTCAATGGATTGAATGCTCTGTTGTGCTAAAAGAGAATATTTAAAAGAGAGTTTAATCATAATTCTCAGGCTAATATAAAATAAACACATGTCAAGGATTTTCTTTAACCCATTAACGAATAAGGGAACCAGTAAGATGTCACAACTTGCTCCAAGGAGAATTCAAAGTACCACAGGCATAAAGGCAGAAAAGAGATGCAGAAATGATTCTCCAGCTGGGTGCCGTGGCTCACGCCTGTAATCTCAGCACTTTGGGAGGCTGAGGTGGGAGGATCACTTGAGGCCAGGAGTTTGAGACCAGCCTGGCCAATACGGTGAAACCCCGTCTCTTCTAAAAATACAAAAATTAGCCAAGCCTGGTGGCACATGCCTGGAGTCCCAGCTACTTGAAAGGCTAAGGCAGGAGAATCACTTGATTAGAGAGTCAAAGGTTGCAGTGAGCCGAGATCATGCCACTGCACTCCAGCCTGGGTGACAGAGCGAGACTCTGTCTCAAAAAAAGAAAAAAAAAAAAGCGATGATTCTCCAGATACAGTTGACCCTTGAACGACATGGATTTAAACTGCACAGGTCCACTTACACGTAATTTTTTTCCAGTAAACATGTTGGAAACATTTTTTGGAGATTTTTGATAATTTGAAAAACTTGTAGATGAATGGCATAGCCTACAAATATAGAAAAAATTAAGAAAAAGTTAGGTATGTCATGAATACATAAAGCATATGTAGATACTAGTCTATTATACCATTTACTACCATAAAGTATACACAAATCCTTTACAGAAAGTTAAAATTTATCAAAACATACACACAAGCACAGATTGTATATGGCACCATTCACAGTTGAGAAAAAGGTGAACAAATGTAATGATGCAGCATGAAGTCATAACTGCATGAAATTAACTGCAACCCTTGCTGTACCACTGTGACAGGCTTGTAGCCACCTCCTGTTGCTATTGAGGTGAGCTCAAGTGTTGCCAGTATCTGCTTAAAATGCCATATGACACTTATCTCCCTGTGAGCAGTTCGTTTCTGCAGTAAATTGCACATCACAGTAAAAAGCGATCTCTCGTGGTGCTCGTGGAGTTTACACTGTGGTTAGTGCAATACCATAAACCTTGAATAACACCATGGGACCCATATGAAGGGCCACTAGGAATGCTGGAAGTGCTCCCAAGAAGCAGAGATCAGTCATGACTTTACAAGAAGAAGTTGAATTGCTCGGTATGTACCATAGACTGAGGTCTGCAGCTGCAGCTGCCTGCTGTTTCAGACAGCTGATTTACCTTGTAAACAGACAAAGGAAGCTTATGGTATCAATACACACAGTACGGCACTGTAAATGTATTTTCTCTTCCATACAATTTTCTTAATAATGCCTTTTCTTTTCTCCAGCTTACCTTATTGGAAGAATCCAGTACATAATACATGTAAAATACAAAATATGTGTTAATCAACTGTTTATGCTCTTGGTAAGGCTTCCAGTCAACAGTTAGACTATTAGTAGTTAAGCTTTGTGGGAGTCAAAAGTTATACATGGATTTTTCAACTGGGGAGAGGGTCGGCGTCCCTAACCCCAGGTTGTTCAGTAGTGAACTGTAGATGCAAAATGGGTGGCTAATAATTGCATTCCACCAGATACAACAAATTTGCATCTATCTGGGCAAAACTAATTTGTATCCGTTTTCTAATTAAAGAGTTGTAAAATAGCTCAGAGATTGTTAATGGCCATCCCCAGAAAGAACACACAGTAATCCTTTGTTTTCTATTTTGACGAATTTCAAAGGCTTACAGCTTTTTCTAACAGTAGTAGGAACTGTTAGCCATGATTTAAGAAGTGAGAATCTGAAGTAAGAGTTTTTTAAACAAAAGTCTCCTTGTGGTTATATTCTCTTGCTGTATGTACTTATTCACATGTCTAGAAATCTGATTTCAAAAGCCATCCAGTTTGGAGAGAAATCCAGTGTTTAATGTTACATCTTTATCCCAGTTTTTACAATAGTGGTTTTTACAATCACGTTGGTTCAAATTAAATGATTTTATAGCCTGGGTGGAATGCCTTTCTATTAATCGTAATTTTCTTTTTCTTTTTCTTTTTTTTTTTGAGATGGAGTCTCTCTCTGTCACCCAGGCTGGAGTGCAGTGGTGTGATCTTGGCTCACTGCAACCTCTGCCTCTTTGGTTCATGCAATTCTCCTGCCTTAGCCTCCTGAGTAGCTGGGATTACAGGCGTGCACCACCACGTCTGGCTAATTTTTGTATTTTTAGTAGAGATAGTGTTTCACCATGTTAGTCAGGCTGGTCTCGAACTCCTGACCTCGTGATCTGCCCACCTCGGCCTCCCAGAGTGCTAGGATTACAGAGGTAAGTCACTGCACCTGGCCTTAATGGTAATTCTCTATGTCAGTTCTCACCTCAAATGTAGCCCAGCCTTAAAGGCCCTCTTCTTCCTTTAGGTGGGGCCACAAGGACATTTATTTCTCCCCTTCCTTCTTGGACAAATGCTTAAACCAGCCCAACCCCGAAAGGCTTGGCAAGGTTTCCCCTCTGCAACCAGCCCAACTCTGACTAGGTGGTTCATTAGAAATAAATCTCCTCTTGTTTCTGAGCCTTTGAGCAGGTACAGGTAATTCTGCCTAGACCTTGGCCTTTGTCCTTGTTTCCATCCCTGCAATGGGTCCAGTGGCCCTGTCTCACTGGGGCTTGGTGTCTCCATCCCAGGGACCCAAATCTAACAAATCTCTGTGCTGTCCTCCCTCCACCCAGACCAGTGTTAACTTCCTGCCTGATGTCTGACCATTTCCGTCCCACATCAGTGCCCCCTGCACCATCTGGCCTTGGAATTCCTGAGCCATGTCTGGGTGTTTTTGTGCATCCCTTGAACATGGGGGCTCCCACTGGACTCAGCATCTCTGTAAGTTCCCCCAGCATCTGCCTTGCCCCAGTGCAGAGTCTAGTGCCAAAGCCAAGTCCTCTCTCCAGCCAAACCGGCCCTTCCTGCCAGAAGCCTGAGGCTGGGAGTGAGTCATGGGATAATGTGGAAGATCAGTTAGCATTTTAAGAGCTCACAAATGTATTCTGCTTCAGACAGCATCATAAAAACCAAGTGGTTGGCTAGGCACAGTGGCTCACGCCTGTAATCCCAGCACTTAGGGAGGCTGAGGCAGGTGGATCACTTGTCAGGAGTTCAAGACCAGCCTGGCCAATGTGATGAAACCCCATCTCTACTAAAAATACACAAATTAGCTGGGGGTGGTGGCACGCACCTGTAATCCCAGCTACTAGGGAGGCCGACATCGTGCCACTGCACTCCAGCCTGGGCGACAGAGCGAGACTTGGTAATAAAAAACAAACAAACAAATGAAAAACCCCAAATAGTCTAGGTGAACACAATAATTAACACTAAACAGACACTTGGCAAGCACCGACTATGTCCCAGCATGCTTAGGTTTATTATCTTTAACCCTTAGAACATGGAAGTGTTAGGTATGGTGTGAATTTAGACTAACTGTGTAAGTACAGCCATGCATGAGCACCAGCAGGGTGACCCAAGGTGAAGCAGCATCTCCTGGTTGTTTTCAAATAAAATTTTAATAAAATTTATAAATTTAAAGTTATTGGTTTATCCAGGTGTATTAGTGGTCTGGCTATGTATACTGTGTCAACTTTTTCATGAAAATGCTTTGGTCATTCTAGTTCAGTGGCAGAAAGCACAGTGCAAAACGGCAACAATGATATTAGCGACAAAACCTTGGGATGGGTCGTTAGAGAAGATCAAGAAACAGATGAAAGTTGGCTTTCCTAAGGCCTTAGTGTCTGCATGTCTTAGAACGGCCAAAGGACGCTGACACTCTATCTGTGAAGCTCACAGGAGGCAGAGGACAATGACCTTGGCAGGAGTTAGGTGTCCCCTGAGGTATTTTAGAATCAAGTCTCTCCAGGGGCTGCTATTCCAGACTCAAGAAGGATACAAATTTGCACTCTTCCTGGTGCTTTTAGATAGTGCTTATTTAGCAAAATCAGATACATTTTCAGATGCAGAAATTATGCTTTGGAGAAACTCTTCAAGGCAGCTGGTGGTTAACACCTTGGGTGAGCTCATCCAGGAAGTAGATGGTTATTCATGGGTGGGAGACCCAGGAGAGTAGCAGAGTGCAAGAATCCACTGGATTGATGGAGAATAGTCTCTTTATTAAAAAAAAAATGGAGCATTGCAATTATTTCAGTTTAGTTAAATCTAGAATAAAATTAGTGCCACTTACTTTAGCATAGTATTCTAATGAGAACGTGGCTATGGAAAGGATGGATTAGAGAAGTGTTATAACTTGTATCTGGGCTTCTATCATTTAATACATAAACCTACAATATGGTGGCAAGCCTACCGCAGCCTTGGGTGGCTTCCAAGGCTTGGCTCTTGTCATATTTACTCCCAATAATGACTTATGAAGTCTATTGTTAAATAGAAAGATGTTTCGCACAGTTAATGGCAAATAAAAACAAGTTAATTTTAGCCTCACTGGCCATTGGTCCTGAACTTCTAGTTAAATGCTTACTGCTAGTTTGTTAATCATGGTAACAGAAAATTTTTAGCTATGTATTTTATGAAAGAAGAAATGATGTTTTAGACATCCAGTTTAATACATCTAAGCAAAAGCTGGTGATTTTAATTTTTGTGCTAGTAGAAGAAATGGTTACTTAAAACAGCTTCAAATCCCTGATTATTGAATGATCATGGAATCTGCATTTGGCAAAGCCATCATTTTACAGAGTCAGCTCTTTCAGAGGTCACTGGCAAATGAGAAAAAAGACTGTCGGGTTTCAGACAAGTGCCCCTGAAGGTGCCCTGCACAGAGGTTGGCACAAAATGGGCCCACAGAGCAACAGGGGTAATAGTTATCCTCTGTCCTCCTCTCACGTA
Organism: Homo sapiens; assembly: GCF_000001405.40. Taxonomy (NCBI): domain Eukaryota; kingdom Metazoa; phylum Chordata; class Mammalia; order Primates; family Hominidae; genus Homo; species Homo sapiens. Next base: position 234,909,566 of record NC_000002.12, on the reverse strand, counting down.
ACAAAATGCCCTCGTCCAAAGCAAAGCACAGCCTCTCTTTTCCTGCATCTCCTGACTCCCAAGGTGAATCTGCAAGTCCATCACCTCCTGGATCTCTCTGTGACAGCGACGGTGATGACCCCACATGGCTTCCTGAAAGTGGATCTTCGGGGCCTTGGCTCTCCTCCCAATCCCCCTCCCTCATGGACTCCCATTCCTGTTTCTCCTAAACTTGCAAACACTAGGCCTGCCACCTGCCAGGAAATCCATCCAGGCCCTTTCCCTGGAAGCCAAGTGCTACTAATAAGTTTGAATGACTTTTTTGGGGCCATCTATCGTTTTTCTTTTGTCAGTTGCTTGGTGTCATTATCTTTCAATTTTCCTTTAGGGATAATTCTAAAAACCTTATTTTTTTTTGTTTTTGTTTTGTTTTGTTTTGTTTTCACACAGTAGTGGCACTATGGTTTGAATCTTTGGTTTGTCATGTCTGTTGCAGATGTATTTTTGCTTTTAAATTTTATTCATGGAATTTTTGTTTTGTTTTGTTTGCTTTATAAATAAGTGATTTTTGAATGTTGTCAAAGCCAATGCTCACTTGGGGATTGGGTGTGCCTGGCCCTGGTACAGTGGGATCTGTATCCTAAACAACAACTGTTGTGACTGAAACTATTTGGCTTCCTGGAAAAAAAATCCTCACCTCTTGCTCGACATCCTCAAAACAAAAGGTGATCATGTCCCAACACTAGGGCAGTGTATATGCTGTGCTGCGGCCGAGGCTAAAGGGGTACGTGGCTCTGGGGTGGAGAACCGGGAGACAGAGGTGCTTCGATGAGAAGAAAGACATTGATTACCTGGTCAATCCCTGTCTCATGGCAGGTACGCGTTCAATCAGTTCTTGCATGCTCAAGCACAATCTCTTGGTTGGGTTGCATGTCTGTTTTCTTGCTTCTTTGCCTGGATTCAAATTCTTGAATCCGGAGATCTTTTTAGATAGGAATATTTATAAGGATTAAAATAATTTCTGTACAAACAATATTTTATATATACACACATACATTATTCTCTCTATAAGATTTATACCATGGCCAGGTGCGGTGTCAAGCCTGTAATCCCAGAACTTTGGGAGGCCAAGGCTGGTGGATCACCTGAGGTCAGGAGTTTGAGACCAGCCTGGCAAACATGGCGAAACCCCTTCTCCACTAAAAATACAAAAATTAGCCCGGCATGGTGGCACACGCTTGTAATCCCAGCTACTGGGCAGGCCAAGGTGGAAGAATTGCTTGAACCTGGTAGGTGGAGGTTGCAGTGAGCCAAGGTCACACAACTGCACTGCAGCCTGGGTGACAAGAGCTAAATTACATCTAAAAAAAAAAAAAAGATTAATACCATTTCTATATATATAGTATTTTGTACACATATATATCTAAACACAACAGGTGTGAAGCATGAGATTCCCTTTCTTCATATTGGCAACAAGGACTGTGATTGCTAGGATTGGAAATAGTATCATTTTTATTATTTAGTAAGATTTAATTAACAAAAATAAATTTAAAATTTTATCTTTGCACAAAAAATTTTGATTGAAAATTCTGATAGCCACTAATTAAAACTTTGCCTTTTAATTGTAATAAGTTATCACAGATATTTTAGAAGAAAAATATTTTTCAAAAACTAATTAAAATAATTTTAGATTTTTTTTTTTTTTGACAGAGTCTTGCTCTGTTGCCCAGGCTGGAGTGCGGTGGCATGATCTTGGCTCACTGCAAGCTCTGCCTCCCGGGTTCACGCCATTCTCTTACAATAATTTTAGATTTTAATATTCATTCAATGTATATTTTTGAAGAAGAAAATTCAAATTTTGTACACTTAAAATGCCATTAAGTTTTGCTTTATAATCCTTTGGATTGTTAGAGTCAATGGAATATATAAATTATGTTAAAAAATTTAAAATAATGTAGTGATTTTTACTGAAGTGAAGGCAAGAAAATAATTTTTTTTTTTTTTTGAAACAGAGTCTTGCTCTGTCATCCAGGCTGGAGTGCAATGTCGCCAGCTCGGCTCACTGCAACCTCCACCTCCCAGGTTCAAACGATTCTCCTGCCTCAGCCTCCCGAGTAGCCGGGACTACAGGTAAGCGCCACTACACCCAGCTAATTTTTTGTATTTTTAGTAGAGGCGGGATTTCACCATGTTAACCAGGATGGTCTCCATCTCCTGACCTCGTGATCCATCCACCTCAGCCTCCCAAAGTGCTGGGATTACAGGCATGAGCCACCGCACCCAACCCGAAAGTAATTTGTATGAATGAAATATAACATTTTATTTGTTATTTATGCTTGTTTTACGACTTGCCCACATATTGATGGCTCAGCAACAGAATACCCAAACACAACACAATCATTATGACATGCAGTCTTTGATATTTTGCTAACTTCCAATCTTAAAAAGCATAGCTTTCTATGAATTTCATGTTTTTGTTTTATGACAGTATAGAGAAGGATAAAACATCTTTAATTTAACAATCTGTTAGCTTGATTTATAATTTCAGATCCTTACACACGTGTTATATGAGCTACCGTTTCCACCCTAGGTTGCTGGCCTTGTCCCTGTCTGGCTGCCCTGGTCAAAACTCTCCTGTTGACATGCGTGTCTTTTGTGTTGTACTTAGAAGTCCCTATTTGGCCTTGATTTAATACAAATCTTTCTGTTGTTTTCTTTCCTATTATTTTCATGACTTTGTTTTATATATTAAAATCATTAATCCATCTGGAACCCATTTTCATTCAAGATAAAAAAAAAAAACAAACTTAACTCTGTGTCTGAAACTCAGCCAATTATGCAAACATGATTTGCTGGAAAATCTCTCATTTTCTAACTAGTTTGTAATTTTGCCTTTATAACACGTTACATTTATTTATCACATTGTGTGTCTGTGTGGTTTTAATTTTGTTTGTTTCAGGGCCAATTGTACTGTTTTTATTGCTGTTGTTTTTTCAGTCGTTGTTTTGTTTTGCTTTATGATAACCCTTAGGGTATGTCTTACCTCATTATCTTTATTTTTAAAAAATTGATCAGGTATTCTTGAGAATATACTGTCCAGATATACTTTAGAATGTTTGGCAAGGTAAATAAAATTTTCTTCTTTGTTAAACGAGCAGAAAATGTTTATGAAACTTTGGAGAAAAAAGAGAATGCCATGCAACAACTCACCTGCCTAGTGTACCATCATTTTCAAAAAATGTCTTCTTTTGGGCTTTGGAGATTATGAAAATACTTTTTTTTGCATATTCATGAGTTCTGTTCTGCTTTGCTTTCTAAGGAGAACCTGCTCAGGCAAGCTGGGAATCTACGTCCAGGATCTGGACCTGCCAACGAGGCTGAGGGACTCTAATCAGGCAGTGAGGCTGGCCTTAGCAATGCAGCTGGGCTTCGAAGGCCCGAGGTTCAGTGGGGAGAAATCCAGGCAAGAAGGGTGCTGGGAAGTGTGCCAGGCCCAGCTGAGCAAGGAGAGATTCTTTGAGGAAACCACTAATGGGAATGCGATGATGCCGTGTTTCCGAGGATGGCTGCTGCTAGGGAGGGAAGCAGGCTCGTACCTGGAGGGTCAAGGTGGGTCTCAGTCCTGGGAGGGAGATCGGGTGGGAAGGAAGCCAGAGTGAACTGTAGACTGGTGATTGAGGCCAAGATGGGGTCTATGGATGGAGCTGGGGGGAAAACACTGCAGAACTGGGGTACACAGGGAGCTCGGGGCTGCTGCAGGTGCTGGGATCCCAAGTTTGGGGCTTACCAAGGCCTGTAGACCTTTCTTTCTTCTTCCTTTCCCTTCCTTCCTTTGTTTATTTTTCTTTCTTTCTCTCTCGCTTCCTCCCTCCATTCCTCCCTTCTTCCTTTCTCTTTTCCCTTTCCCTCCCTCCCTTCCTTCCTTCCCTTTCCCTTCCTTCCTTCCTCCTCCCTCCTTCTCTCCCTTCTTTCTCTTCTTTTCTCTTCCTCCCTTCCTTCCTTCCTTCCGTCCTTCCTTCCTTCCTTCCCTCCCTCCCTCCCTCCCTTCCCCCCTTCCTTTCTCTCTCTCTTCCTCTTCCTTCCTTTCTTCCTTTCTTTTTTCTTTTGAGAGGGTCTCACTCTGTCACCCAGGCTGGAGTGCAATGGTGTAATCATAGCCCACTGTAGCCTCAACCTCCTGGTCTCAAGTGATCCTCCCACCTCAGCCTCCCTGGTAGCTAGTACAACAGGCATGCTCTGCCACACCTGGCTAATTTTTGATTTTTTGTAGAGATGGGGTCTCACTATGTTGCCCAGCTGGCCTTGAACTCCTGACCTCAAGTGATTCTCCTGCCTCAGCCTCCCAAAGTGCTGAGATTACAGGTGTGAGCCACTATGTCCAGCCCCTATTGGCTCTCTCTGAGTCCCCAGTGAGAGCTGAAATGTCATCCAACAACCATCAACCTATCACAGAATTATTTTCTTTTTCCAACCTTCTCTTTTAGGTATTGGAGATTATAAAAGTACATTTTTGCAAATTGATGCATTCCAGCCCTACTGGAAACATACTACTTTTGAGGTAGGCTGGCTAGAAAGGCTTTCAAGAGCCTGGCTGCAGAGCCTCTCCTCAGCTTCTGTCCATGGAGACCGGCGGGAGTTCAGGGACATCCTGCCTGAGCCTTGCACAATGGTCCTTTCTTGGTGGACCTGCTCATGTACAGCACAAAGTTTGTGTGACTTCTCAGCATCTGGTGGTTAAAGACATGAGAGGAGGGATTTTTCAAAATGCTGAACAGAAGCAGTTACCCAATTTGCAGGGCCTAGTGCAGAAGCTGTTAAGGAGTTTGAGACGGTGAGGGCAGAACATTAAACCTGACCCAAGCTGTCTGAGCCCATGCTCATGAGGCAGCTGTGACCCAATGGTGTATGATGTACAAAATAGATGTTCCAATAGTCAAACGTTTAACCCATACCTGAAGAATCATAATGGTCTTCGGAGAAACTGTTTGGATTGGGAGTCTCAAGATAAACACGTGGGGAATTTTTAGAGATCAGCATTGAGGGAGACAGGAGATTCGCTGCAGGAAATTGGAGGTGGAGAGAAAGGAAAAAGAGACCGAATACCCTGGGTGCTTGTGGGGTGCACACTGCGAGAGCCTCATTTATTTTTATTTTTATTTTTTGAGACAGAGTCTTACTTTGTCGCCCAGGCTGGAGTGCAGTGGCACGATCTTGGCTCACTGCAACCTTTGCCTCTCGGGTTCAAGCAATTCTCCTGCCTCCGCCTCCTGAGTAGCTGGGATTACAGACGTGCACCACCACGCCCAGCTAATTTTTGTATTTTTAGTAGAGATGGGGTTTCACCATGTTGGCCAAGCTGGTCTTGAACTCCTGACCTCATGATCCGCCCGCCTCAGCTTCCCAAAGTGCTGGGATTATAGGCGTGAGCCACCGTGCCCGGCCCACTTCTTCCCTGTAACCCAAGCCCCAGCAAGGAGAGAGGCGATGATATTGACAAACACTAGTAGCACCAACCTGGTAAACTATTGAGAGGACCAGAGGCAAAATATGCTACATGGTACAAAGAATAAAATAAAATCAAGGGAGCAAGAGAAATAAAGTTTGAAAATAATGAAAGAAAAGATTCAAATATTCACAGAGATAAAGCAGACTTTTTTTTTTTTTTTTTTTGAGACGGAGTCTCACTCTGTCGCCCAGGCTGGAGTGCAGTGGCGCAATCTCGGCTCACTGCAAGCTCCGCTTCCCGGGTTCACGCCATTCTCCTGCCTCAGCCTCCCGAGTAGCTGGGACTACAGGCACCCGCCACCGCGCCCGGCTAATTTTTTTTGTATTTTTAGTAGAGACGGGGTTTCACCTTGTTAGCCAGGATGGTCTCGATCTCCTGACCTCATGATCCACCCGCCTCGGCCTCCCAAAGTGCTGGGATTACAGGCGTGAGCCACCGCGCCCGGCCAAAGCAGACTTTAAAAAACAGAAATGAAGTAGGAATGACAAGACTGAAATATAAGGAGAAAAAGAAAGTAAAAAGTGAAAGAACAACATAAATGATTTTTAAATGATTGTGTCAGTTTTCCAGGGCACCCTTGATAAAGTACCACAAGCTGGGGGCTTCAACACAGAAACTTATTCTCTAACAGTTCTGGAAGCTGGAAGTCCGAGATCAATGTGTCAGGGGGCTCGTTTCTTCCCAGGGTTCTGAGGGCTCCCTCCCAGCTTCTGGTGGATTGCCTGCAATGTTCAGGGTTCTCTGACTTGTAGAAGCATCACCCCAACCTCAGCCTTCATGTTCACATGGCATTCTACCTGTGTGTCTCCGTGTCAGAATGTTCCCTTTTACAAGGACATCAGTCATATTGAATCGGGTGCCCACCCTACTCCAGGAGGACTTCATGTTAACGAATTGTGTTGGCAACGACCCTGTTTTCAAACCAGGCCACATTCTGAGATATTGAGGATAAGGACTTTAATAGACAAATTTGGCTGGGAGGGCACAATTCAATCTATAGCAATGATAAACAAGAGAAAGATAAAACCAGGACAGTAAAGAGATAATTTAGAAGAAAACACTGAGAGCTATATTCCATAAATATCACTACGCCATAACAGGCAATTATGAAATTTTAAAAATTAGGTACTCGGGAGGCTGAGGCAGGAAAATGGCGTGAGCCTGGGAGGCGGAGCTTGCAGTGAGCCGAGATTGCGCCACTGCACTCCTGCCTGGGCGACAGAGTGAGACTCCCTCTCAAAAAAAAAAAAAAAAAGTAGGATACTAAACAAATCTTTTACGTGAACAAAATAACAAGAACCAAAACCTTATGGAAAATATAACCAGAGCAATACAAACAAATGATTAAGACAGTGAGTGTCTTTGACACGGTGTGGCAGCTTCTTTGGGCTGAGACCCCAGGGAGTTTTATCCTCAGGGCAGAAAATCAAGAGGGGGTGGGTCAACCTAGACACCTGGGGCCTCCTCCCTCCTCCCTCTCCAGGTCAGAGGCTGACTTCTCAAGACTGACCGGCACACACCTGACAGTCCACCATCACCTGCCAGGCATGGGGCCCTCTCCTTGTTTCTTTTTAGATTGTGTGCCAGGGACAAAATAATATAATCAAGCCCCATGATGGCATACCGTCCACAATCTGTCCCCCATCATTCTGCCTGGGAAATTCTTGCCAACTCTGCTGGTTCTCTCCTTCCAACTTGGCTAGTGTGTGTGTGTGTGTGTGTGTGTGTGTGTGTGTGTGTGTGTGTGTGTGTGTGTTCCTGTGTGCATGCGTGCCTGGTGCATATATGTGTTTTCACAAACTGGCACATATACAAAGTAGTCAAGATGTACCCTGAAAGAGAATGCCTGCTTGGCTCTGCAGGAGAGGATTTACCAGTTCTGCTAGACTTGCAGGAAGGAGAAGAGAAGGCCAGGAGTTCTTCTGGGGAATTTCTTTCCTTCCTTCCTTCCTTCCTTCCTTCCTTCCTTCCTTCCTTCCTTCCTTCCTTCCTTCCTTCCGTCTTTCTTTCTTTTTCCTTCCTTCCTTCCTTCCTTCCTTCTTTTCTTTCTTTCTCTTTCTTTTCTTTCTTTCTTTCTTTCTTTCTTTCTTTCTTTCTTTCTTTCTTTCTCTCTCTCTCTTTCTCTCTCTTTCTTTCTTTCTTTCTTTCTTTCTTTCTTTCTTTCTTTCTTTTGCTTTCCTTCTTTCCTTCTTTCTTTCTTTTTTTTTTGGAGATGTAGTCTTCCTCTGTCACCCAGGCTAGAGTGCAATGGCACCATCTTGGCTCACTGCAACCTCTGCCTCCCGGGTTCAAGTGATTCTCCTGCCTCAGCCTCCCGAGTAGCTGGGCCTACAGGTGCCCACCACCGTGCCTGGTTAATTTTTGTATTTTTAGTTGAGACAGGGTTTCACCATGTTGGCCAGGATGGTCTCAAACTCCTGAGCTCAGGTGATCCGCCCAGCTCAGCCTCCCTAAATGCTGGGATTACAGGTGTGAGCCACTGCCCCTGGCCTGATGAGGTTTCTTTTTAAGGGGCTTATATGGTGGGGGGAGAATGGTGTTGTGAGAAGCAGTGGTTGGTTTTAGGGAGATACTAAGAAAGAGAAGGGGAAAAAGGTTATTAAAGCTTGCTTCTCTGTGCTTGTCTATTTTCTCTGTGGCATTTTTTGAGACACTGAAGAAAAGATCTGAATTCCTTTCACCTTTTAGTTTCCTTGGGAGTGACTCAAGCACTGGGACCAAGTGAGGTGCTTAAAAAAAAATACCGATTGCAATTTTCTCAGTATTATTGATTAATGTAAGTAGTGAACACCCACCAGCCGCAGGGGCTGGGTGAGGCAGTGAATGTGCGGGGAGAGGCTGAGTCCACATTCCAGCTGCTGCTCTTCCGGCCTCTGAACCATTTCCTACAACACTTTTGACACCAAATGTTGAGGGGCGTTTTTCCACACCAACCACTTCTCCAACACTGGCCGGTGCCCTTCAATTCAGTTCAATTCGCTTCAATTCTAACACGCAGCTCGCACAAGTTAACACACCCTCTTCACCTCAGACGCCAATCAGTCACAAATCTCAGCCTCTTGCACTTCTGGCCCGTCAGCTCTAAGTCAGGGATTCCCAAGACCCCCTCCTTAGTTTGATAATTTGTTAGAAGGGCTTATAGAACTCTGGAAAGTGCTTTCCTTACCATTACTGGTTCATTATAGAGGATACAGCTCATAAATGGTCAACGGAAGAGCTGCCCAGGGCGAGGGTGGGCAGGGGCGTGGAGCTTCTATGTCCCAGCCCTGAAGCAATTCGACAACCCAGAAGCCCTCAGAACCCCAGGGTTTAGGGTTTCTATGGAGGTTCCATTATGTACTCATGACTGATTAAATCATTGGCCACTGGCGATTAGCTCAATCCCCAGCCTCTCTTCCCTCCCTGGAGGGTGGGGAGTGGGACCCCAGGTTCCTAGCTTCTCATTGCATGGGTGGTTCCTCCGGTCTTGAAGCTATTTAGGGGGCATCAGTGTCATTTCATTAGCGTAAACCCAGGTAAGGTTGAAAGAGCTGATTTTTTTTTTTTCCTTTGAGATGGGGTCTTGCTCTGTCACCCAGGCTGGAGTGCAATGGCGCGATCCCAGCTCACTGAAACCTCTGCGTCCTGGGTTCAAGCGATCTTCTTGTCTCAGCCTCCTTAGTAGCTGGGATTACAGGCTCCCACCACAATGCCTGGCTAATTTTTGTATTTTTAGTAGAGATGGAGTTTCGCCATGCTGGCCAGGCTGGTCTCGAATTCCTGACCTCAAGTGATCCACCTGCCTTGGCCTCCCAAAGTGCTGGGATTACAGGCATGAGCCACCGCACCCAGCGGAAAGGGCTGATTCTGATAGCGAAAGATACTCCTCTAACCCCCATCACTTGGGAAATTCCCGACGGTTTTAGGAGCTCCATACCAGAAACTGGGGACAAAGACCAAATATATGTTTCTTAGTATATCACAATATCACATACCTAAGTGACTTCTTTCCAGAAAGTTCCAAACCTTCTCACTTCTTTTTCTCATTTGTGCTATGGGGACAATTAATAATAATATAAAGTTATTAATATAATATTAATATTATAATTATATTATTATTTTAATAATACCCCTTATTAAAAATAATCTTTTTTTTTTTGAGACAGAGTCTTGCTCTGTCACCAGGCTGGAGTGCAGTGGTGAGATCTCGGCTGACTGCAACCTCTACCTCCCAGTTTCAAGCAGTTCTCCTGCCTCAGCCTCCCGAGTAGCTGGGACTACAGGTGCCCGCCACCACACCCAGCTTATTTTTGTATTTCTAGTTGACAGTGGGTTTCACCATGTTGGCCAGGATGGTCTCCATCTCTTGACCTTGTGATCCACCCGCCTTGGCCTCCAAAGTGTTGGGATTACAGGTGTAAGCCACTGCGCCTGGCCAATAATTACTTTCTAATGGACTTCTCACCAACACATCACAGGTTCTCAACTGAAACATCGGTCGTTCCTACCTGGAGCAGTTAAAATGATGTCAAACATACCGATTATTTATAGCAGCCCCAGTCTATTCCTGACCTCACCTGGTGTGAATGACAGCTCTTCCCTGCACAGTGGGGGCCGTCTCCTTGTGACCACTGTGATACGTTCCACCTGAGTGGCTTCAACTAGGGAAACTCTAAACATTTAGTCTTGGTTAATTATTCTTCATCTCACCATCTCAAACTTTCAAATATTAGAGATGCTGTACCAAAGGTGGCTCAAGGACAAGTGTGGTGCAGGACAGAGGGTGGGACCTCATGTTACAAAGGCCCTGTGGGTGGCTGGAGACCCAGTGTACTGGTGCAACAGTACTTGCAGAGAAGTACATTGGCTTGTGGTTGAGACTGAAGGAACTCTTGTTAATGGCAGAGAAGACATTGGCTTGTGGTTGAGACTGAAGGAACTCTTGTTAATGGCAGAGAAGACATTGGCTTGTGGTTGAGACTGAAGGAACTCTTGTTAATGGCAGACATGGGAAGGCAATTAGAGGGAGCTGTGGTTTTGAGAGAAGGGAGAGGGAGAACAGAGTGGGAACAGGGTGAGAAATGATGGATTTCTGACATTTCTGGGCCATGGAACCTTGTGAATCCATAGCCCTTCTAGACCTCTTTGATCTCTCTGGTCCCTTCTCCTCCACACCATCTCCAATTTCAGGCTCTCACTGGGTCCTTTCAGAAGGAGAAGTAAGGAACACTCCAGGGGCAGAGGGAGCCAGCACAGAAGGAGTAAGAAATTCATTATCAAACAAAAGGACTAGAATACATTTGAATGAATAAAGAGGAAAGCTGTCCCTTTTTGTCCTGCTAGAATATTTGAAATGCAAAATAGCTGGTGTTTATACAAATTTACAGCATCTATTGTACGTCTTAGTCACCTATACCATTTGGAAAGCTGTGTGTTCTCTAACTAGAGGCAGGTCCGGAAGTAATTTATGATGAACCTGTGTGCACTTCTCCCTCCATTCCCACACCCCCTGCTCAAATTGGGGAGAGAGTGACTACACCTGCTTTTGAATCCTTCTCTCACCCGGCCCATCTGCCCGCTGGAAACCACTCTTGGGCTTGACCACACTTTTACAGGCTGGCCAGGGAAAGTCCTCGGGGATAACAGGCCGCAAAGACCCCTAGGTGATGTCAGTTGGGGGTGGGCTGGGTGTGGATCTGTGAAAGTTGTCAGAATCAATATAGAGTCACTTATGTCAAATCCTAATAAAATGAAGTCAGGAGGCCGTGAAGGGAAAGCCCTCATGTATATTTGCCTTATGAGAAGAACTACCACAAGAGACTCTCCCAAGCCACAACCCTGAAGTTAAGCCCACTTCTATGAGGACAGCTTTCCAATAACAGCCAGTTCTAACTGCAACCTTGCAAGTAGCCTTACGAAACTGCAAGCTTGCAGTCAGTGCCGCTCCTGTGAAGACCCTCTCCTAGTACTGGCCAGTGCACACTTTGCCACCTGTGATAAGCCCTGTAACCAATAAACTTTTGTTTCAAAACCTGCACATACTTCTCCTTTTTGCCTTTAAAGGTTTGCCTTTGCCTCAGCCTCTCCAGATATGCCTATGAGTAGTCATAGCATGCACATCTGGATTATAACCCTTCTGTCTGATCCTGAACAAACTCATTTCTTTGGAGGGCCACTCTGTTATTTTAGATTGACATATCTGTTAAGCAATCAGGATTTTCCTTCTAACTCATATTTTTTATCCTTAAAAGTAAATTTATTTCTGTTATGATGGTGCCAACATTTTTTATGGCTTCTTGTGGCAGCCACTGAAAGAAAATTTATTTTGAGTGTACTTGTCCTCTTTGGGAAATATATAAAAGTAAGATAATTTTTCCCCCAGTGAATTTATCTAATTTTCTCCAATACCCAAATGTTTCCAACTCATAGATGATTTCCAAAGATACCTGGTGATGTCCATCTTATTGCACACTGGAGACAGGAAGAAGATATTCAGAAAATAATTATATTTGAAATAACGTTTCCTCAGTCAATAACTGTCTAGTCATTGTCATCTCTTTTCCATATCACCTCTGGCCCCTTCGGCTCCCCTCTCCTTCTCTATCTCATTGCTGGGGCTGGCTGCAGAGCCTGTCAATGCCCATGCTGTGTGGATGCCCAAAGAATGCCCACATGGGGCTGCCCCCAAGAGTCAAGTCCACAAATGGCGTTTGGAGTCACAGGGATAAGAAATGGTTTGAAAACTTTGGCCTAAGAACGGTTAAGTGATATGGCATTTCCCTAAGAACACTTTTAGTTATAAAAGAATTAGAAATGTTTCTAGGTAAACGATTAGTTGAAATCACCTTGAAAAGAAGCAATCAGGTGTGAAAGTCAAAGTCACGGGCTCTGGAGATAGACAGGACTTGGTCAAAGCCTGGCATTCCCATTGCCCAGCTGAGTGACCCTTAGCAGGTCACACTCCTGCACCAAACCTGTTTTGCATCTTCAGAAACAAAGGTAACGACTATCAACCTATTGCATATTGGCTGATGTGAGGATGAAATGAGAATACATCGGGCTTCTGTGCCTGATACACAGGAAGCACTCCACAGAAGTGAGGTGCAATTGCTGTTTCTTGGCTTTAAGGAAATACAAGCGTGTTCTTTATTCCCCTGGTGAGACACGTGTCACGGAGATTCTCCTCCCATCCATTCGTGGTCTGGTGGAGGTGGACAACAGAAAGGCCAATATCATACATACACCCTGCAAGAGCCTCCCCAGCCACCACCTCCTGATCAGATGGAACCTGTGGGCAATTGGCTCCTCAGCCCCTCATAGGCCAGGCCTGGATGTCCAAGGCTGAGCAAGCAAAGCTGTCTTCAGGCTAATGTGTCTACCACCATAAAGATGCTCTCACGGGTTAAAGTGTTGTGAACCCCCGTCCAGGTGATCCTGGCCTGGACAGGGGATAGGCAATTCCTGGCTCTCTTCAGGTTGCCATTATGCATACAAATACATGCATATTTAGTTCAAAATTAAATGCATTCTTAGCTAATATACATATGTTATCTTAGTTCAGGCTGTTACAACAATTAGGCTGGGCAATTTATAAATAATAGAAATTAATTTCTCACAGTTCTGGAGGCTGGGAAGTCCAAAGATCAAGGCACTGGCAGATTCCACCCTTCCAGGTGGCAGGCCGGGCATCTCACCTGGACTTTCAGGCCCACTCCTTTGGCTTCCAGATGCATCTTCTTGTCTCTGGTGACCATGTCTTCAAGATGTCCCATGGAGAGGTCCTTCTAGCACCCACCTAGTCATGTCCCCCTGCCATCCCACTTTCTACAACCTTGCTGGCTCCCCATTAAGCTTAGGGTGAGACATACCTGACATTCATGACTCAACTCTGCCATTTCTTTCCACCTTCACTGCTGGCCTCTCCCACCATGGGCCACCTTGTGCTGCCACAGAATGCCGTGACCACATGTTAACCCTGGGGGGCCTCAGGCCTCTGTGCCTCTCTCCCAGGGCTGCTCTGCCTGGGTTGTACTGTCCTTCCCTTGCTGAGGCAGCTGGAGTCAGATGTCTTTCTCTGTGAAACCTTCCTCAGCCTGCCCTACTCACCTTCTTGTATCTATACGGCTCTGTTCAAGTTGCCATTATGCATAAAAATACATGCATATTTAGTTCAAAACTAAATGCCTTCCTCGCTAAAATACCCATGTTGACTCAGGTCAGGCTGTTACAACAATTAGGTTGGGCAACTTATAAGAAATAGAAATTTATTTCTCACAGTTCTGGAATCTGGGAAATCCAAGATCAGGGCACTGGCAGGTTCCACGTCTGGTGAGGGCTGCTCTCTACGTCAAAGATGGCGCCTCATTGCTGCATCCTCACATGGTGTAAAGTGGAAAGGCAAAAAGGATGAAGAGATGAACTCACTCCTTGAGCCCTTTTAGAAGGCCCTAATCTCATCCAGGAAGGCAGTGCCTAATTGGTATGGTTTGGCTGTGTCCCCACCCAAATCTCATCTTGAATTGTAGCTCCCATAATCCTCATGTGTTGTGGGAGAAACCCAGTATGAGGTCATTGAATCATGGGGACAGGTCTTTCCAGTGCTGTTCTTGTGATAGTGAATAAGTCTCGTGAGATTTGATGGTTTTATAAAGGGCAGTTCCCTGCACCAGCTCTCTTGCCTGCTGCCACGTAAGATGTGTCTTTGCTCCTCCTTCACCTTCTGCCATGATTGCAAGGCCTCCCCAGCCATGTGGAACTGTGAGTCCATTAAATCTCTTTCCTTTATAAATTACCTAGTCTCAGGTATGTCTTTATAGCAGCATGAGAATGGACTAATACACTAATCATCTTCCAATGGTCCCACTTCTTAATACCATCATCCTGCGCTTTAAGATCCAACATACGAATTTTGGAGGGACACATACATCTGAATCATGGCACACATCCATACAAAATGTGTATTTACGTACATATGTAAGCAAATATATACACATATGCATGCATGTATATATGTCTACATTTATATACATGTACTGTGAGCTCCAGGCAGGTGAAAATGTTGTTTTGTTCACCTTATTTAGTCTGGTAGGATTTATCTATATGGAATATATAAACAAATATTAATTACATATTTTTCAAATAAAAATGTATGAAAATATAAGCATATTAAGATAAACATGTAATTTTGCCTAACGATATAAACATGGAAGTAGGATATACAAACATAGATATATTGGTAAATAAGTATATTGACATAAAAATACATATATGTAAGTATATTTTTTCCACATAGAAAACTGAACTTGTCCCAAATCAGAAAGGGAAAGGTTTGAAATGCTAGCTCTCTCTATATAGTATATATAATCCAGATTTTCATATATACATCTATCTACCTCTGAAATCTCTATTTAGTTCTATTAATACATGTCCTTTCTTGTTCCAATTTTACAGTATTTTAATTATTACTTTATACTGTGTTTTGATACTTGATAAGGTAATTTCCTTCTCATTATTTTTGTTTTTAAAATTTTATTGCTATTTTTGCATATTTTCTTTTCTGTATGAACTTGAGAATCAACTAATCAGTTACAATAAATTATTTTTCACTTATTTTTATTATTTTAAATTATTTTTATTTATTTTTAAATTTTTATTTATTTATTTATTTTTTTTCAGTTCTTTTTTTTTTAATTTTTTTTATTATACTTTAAGTTTTAGGGTACATGTGCACATTGTGCAGGTTAGTTACATATGTATACATGTGCCATGCTGGTGCACTGCACCCACTAACTCGTCATCTAGCATTAGGTATATCTCCCAATGCTATCCCTCCCCCCTCCCCCCACCCCACAACAGTCCCCAGAGTGTGATATTCCCCTTCCTGTGTCCATGTGATCTCATTGTTCAATTCCCACCTATGAGTGAGAATATGCGGTGTTTGGTTTTTTGTTCTTGCAATAGTTTACTGAGAATGATGTTTTCCAATTTCATCCATGTCCCTACAAAGGACATGAACTCATCATTTTTTATGGCTGCATAGTATTCCATGGTGTATATGTGCCACATTTTCTTAATCCAGTCTATCATTGTTGGACATTTGGGTTGGTTCCAAGTCTTTGCTATTGTGAATAATGCTGCAATAAACATACGTGTGCATGTGTCTTTATAGCAGCATGATTTATAGTCCTTTGGGTATATACCCAGTAATGGGATGGCTGGGTCAAATGGTATTTCCAGTTCTAGATCCCTGAGGAATCGCCACACTGACTTCCACAATGGTTGAACCAGTTTACAGTCCCACCAACAGTGTAAAAGTGTTCCTATTTCTCCACATCCTCTTCAGCACCTGTTGTTTCCTGACTTTTTAATGATTGCCATTCTAACTGGTGTGAGGTGGTATCTCATTGTGGTTTTGATTTGCATTTCTCTGATGGCCAGTGATGATGAGCATTTTTTCATGTGTTTTTTGGCTGCATATATGTCTTCTTTTGAGAAGTGTCTGTTCATGTCCTTCGCCCACTTTTTGATGGGGTTGTTTGTTTTTTTCTTGTAAATTTGTTTGAGTTCATTGTAGATTCTGGATATTAGCCTTTTGTCAGATGAGTAGGTTGCGAAAATTTTCTCCCATTTTGTAGGTTGACTGTTCACTCTGATGGTAGTTTCTTTTGCTGTGCAGAAGCTCTTTAGTTTAATTAGATCCCATTTGTCAATTTTGGCTTTTGTTGCCATTGCTTTTGGTGTTTTAGACATGAAGTCCTTGCCCATGCCTATGTCCTGAATGGTAATGCCTAGGTTTTCTTCTAGGGTTTTTATGGTTTTAGGTCTAATGTTTAAGTCTTTAATCCATCTTGAATTGATTTTTGTATAAAGTGTAAGGAAGGGATCCAGTTTCAGCTCTCTACATATGGCTAGCCAGTTTTCCCAGCACCATTTATTAAATAGGGAATCCTTTCCCCATTGCTTGTTTTTCTCAGGTTTGTCAAAGATCAGATAGTTGTAGATATGCGGCGTTATTTCTGAGGGCTCTGTTCTGTTCCATTGATCTATATCTCTGTTTTGGTACCAGTACCATGCTGTTTTGGTTACTGTAGCCTTGTAGTATAGTTTGAAGTCAGGTAGTGTGATGCCTCCAGCTTTGTTCTTTTGGCTTAGGATTGACTTGGCGATGCGGGCTCTTTTTTGGTTCCATATGAACTTTAAAGTAGTTTTTTTCCAATTCTGTGAAGAAAGGCATTGGTAGCTTGATGGGGATGGCATTGAATCTGTAAATTACCTTGGGCAGTATGGCCATTTTCACGATATTGATTCTTCCTACCCATGAGCATGGAATGTTCTTCCATTTGTTTGTATCCTCTTTTATTTCGTTGAGCAGTGGTTTGTAGTTCTCCTTGAAGAGGTCCTTCACATCCCTTGTAAGTTGGATTCCTAGGTATTTTATTCTCTTTGGAGCAATTGTGAATGGGAGTTCACTCATGATTTGGCTCTCTGTTTGTCTGTTGCTGGTGTATAAGAATGCTTGTGATTTTTGTACATTGATTTTGTATCCTGAGACTTTGCTGAAGTTGCTTATCAGCTTAAGAAGATTTTGGGCTGAGACAATGGGGTTTTCTAGATATACAATCATGTCATCTGCAAACAGGTACAATTTGACTTCCTCTTTTCCTAATTGAATACCCTTTATTTCCTTTTCCTGCCTGATTGCCCTGCCCAGAACTTCCAACACTATGTTGAAAAGGAGTGGTGAGAGAGGGCATCCCTGTCTTGTGCCAGTTTTCAAAGGGAATGCTTCCAGTTTTTGCCCATTCAGTATGATATTGGCTGTGGGTTTGTCATAGATAGCTCTTATTATTTTGAGATACGTCCCATCAATACCTAATTTATTGAGAGTTTTTAGCATGTAGGGTTGTTGAATTTTGTCAAAGGCTTTTTCTGCATCTATTGAGATAATCATGTGGTTTTTGTCTTTGGTTCTGTTTATATGCTGGATTACATTTATTGATTTGCGTATATTGAACCAGCCTTGCATCCCAGGGATGAAGCCCACTTGATCATGGTGGATAAGCTTTTTGATGTGCTGCTGGATTCGTTTTGCCAGTATTTTATTGAGGATTTTTGCATCAATGTTCATCAAGGATATTGGTCTAAAATTCTCTTTTTTTGTTGTGTCTCTGCCCGGCTTTGGTATCAGAATGATGCTGGCCTCATAAAATGAGTTAGGGAGGATTCCCTCTTTTTCTATTGATTGGAATAGTTTCAGAAGGAATGGTACCAGTTCCTCCTTGTACCTCTGGTAGAATTCGGCTGTGAATCCATCTGGTCCTGGACTCTTTTTGGTTGGTAAGCTATTGATTATTGCCACAATTTCAGATCCTGTTATTGGTCTATTCAGAGATTCAACTTCTTCCTGATTTAGTCTTGGGAGAGTGTATGTGTCAAGGAATTTATCCATTTCTTCTAGATTTTCTAGTTTATTTGCATAGAGGTGTTTGTAGTATTCTCTGATGGTAGTTTGTATTTCTGTGGGATCAGTGGTGATATCCCCTTTATCATTTTTTATTGCGTCTATTAGATTCTTCTCTCTTTTTTTCTTTATTAGTCTTGCTAGCAGTCTATCAATTTTGTTGATCCTTTCAAAAAACCAGCTCCTGGATTCATTAATTTTTTGAAGGGTTTTTTGTGTCTCTATTTCCTTCAGTTCTGCCCTGATTTTAGTTATTTCTTGCCTTCTGCTAGCTTTTGAATGTGTTTGCTCTTGCTTTTCTAGTTCTTTTAATTGTGATGTTAGGGTGTCAATTTTGGATCTTTCCTGCTTTCTCTTGTGGGCATTTAGTGCTATAAATTTCCCTCTACACACTGCTTTGAATGCGTCCCAGAGATTCTGGTATGTTGTGTCTTTGTTCTCGTTGGTTTCAAAGAACATCTTTATTTCTGCCTTCATTTCGTTATGTACCCAGTAGTCATTCAGGAGCAGGTTGTTCAGTTTCCATGTAGTTGAGCGGTTTTGAGTGAGATTCTTAATCCTGAGTTCTAGTTTGATTGCACTGTGGTCTGAGAGATAGTTTGTTATAATTTCTGTTCTTTTACGTTTGCTGAGGAGAGCTTTACTTCCCAGTATGTGGTCAGTTTTGGAATAGGTGTGGTGTGGTGCTGAAAAAAATGTATATTCTGTTGATTTGGGGTGGAGAGTTCTGTAGATGTCTATTAGGTCCGCTTGGTGCAGAGCTGAGTTCAATTCCTGGGTATCCTTGTTGACTTTCTGTCTCGTTGATCTGTCTAATGTTGACAGTGGGGTGTTAAAGACTCCCATTATTAATGTGTGGGAGTCTAAGTCTCTTTGTAGGTCACTCAGGACTTGCTTTATGAATCTGGGTGCTCCTGTATTGGGTGCATATATATTTAGGATAGTTAGCTCTTCTTGTTGAATTGATCCCTTTACCATTATGTAATGGCCTTGTCTCTTTTGATCTTTGTTGGTTTAAAGTCTGTTTTATCAGAGACTAGGATTGCAACCCCTGCCTTTTTTTGTTTTCCATTTGCTTGGTAGATCTTCCTCCATCCTTTTATTTTGAGCCTATGTGTGTCTCTGCATGTGAGATGGGTTTCCTGAATACAGCACACTGATGGGTCTTGACACTTTATCCAATTTGCCAGTCTGTGTCTTTTAATTGGAGCATTTAGTCCATTTACATTTAAAGTTAATATTGTTATGTGTGAATTTGATCCTGTCATTATGATGTTAGCTGGTTATTTTGCTCGTTAGTTGATGCAGTTTCTTCCTAGTCTTGATGATCTTTACATTTTGGCATGGTTTTGCAGTGGGTGGTACCGGTTGTTCCTTTCCATGTTTAGCGCTTCCTTCAGGAGCTCTTTTAGGGCAGGCCTGGTGGTGACAAAATCTCTCAGCATTTGCTTGTCTGTAAAGGATTTTATTTCTCCTTCGCTTATGAAGCTTAGTTTGGCTGGATATGAAATTCTGGGTTGAAAATTCTTTTCTTTAAGAATGTTGAATATTGGCCCCCACTCTCTTCTGGCTTGTAGGGTTTCTGCCGAGAGATCCACTGTTAGTCTGATGGGCTTTCCTTTGAGGGTAACCCGACCTTTCTCTCTGGCTGCCCTTAACATTTTTTCCTTCATTTCAACTTTGGTGAATCTGACAATTATGTGTCTTGGAGTTGCTCTTCTCGAGGAGTATCTTCGTGGCGTTCTCTGTATTTCCTGAATCTGAACGTTGGCCTGCCTTGCTAGATTGGGGAAGTTCTCCTGG
Organism: Homo sapiens; assembly: GCF_000001405.40. NCBI lineage: Eukaryota > Metazoa > Chordata > Mammalia > Primates > Hominidae > Homo > Homo sapiens. Next base: position 234,889,839 of record NC_000002.12, on the reverse strand, counting down.
ATAATATCCTGCAGAGTGTTTTCCAACTTGGTTCCATTCTCCCCATCACTTTCAGGTACACCAATCAGATGTAGATTTGGTCTTTTCACATAGTCCCATATTTCTTGGAGGCTTTGCTCATTTCTTTTTATTCTTTTTTCTCTAAACTTCCCTTCTCGCTTCATTTCATTCATTTCATCTTCCATCGCTGATACCCTTTCTTCCAGTTGATCGCATCGGATCCTGAGGCTTCTGCATTCTTCACGTAGTTCTCGAGCCTTGGTTTTCAGCTCCATCAGCTCCTTTAAGCACTTCTCTGTATTGGTTATTCTAGTTATACATTCTTCTAAATTTTTTTCAAAGTTTTCAACTTCTTTGCCTTTGGTTTGAATGTCCTCCCATAGCTCAGAGTAATTTGATCATCTGAAGCCTTCTTCTCTCAGCTCGTCAAAGTCATTCTCCATCCAGCTTTGTTCCGTTGCTGGTGAGGAATTGTGTTCCTTTGGAGGAGGAGAGGCGCTCTGCTTTTTAGAGTTTCCAGTTTTTCTGTTCTGTTTTTTCCCCATCTTTGTGGTTTTATCTACTTTTGGTCTTTGATGATGGTGATGTACAGATGGGTTTTTGGTGTGGATGTCCTTTCTGTTTGTTAGTTTTCCTTCTAACAGAGAGGACCCTCAGCTGCAGGTCTATTTGAGTACCCTGCCGTGTGAGGTGTCAGTATGCCCCTGCTGGGGGGTGCCTCCCAGTTAGGCTGCTCAGGGGTCAGGGGTCAGGGACCCACTTGAGGAGGCAGTCTGCCCGTTCTCAGATCTCCAGCTGCGTGCTGGGAGAACCACTGCTCTCTTCAAAGCTGTCAGACAGGGACATTTAAGTCTGCAGAGGTTACTGCTGTCTTTTTGTTTGTCTGTGCCCTGCCCCCAGAGGTGGAGCCTACAGAGGCAGGCAGGCCTCCTTGAGCTGTGGTGGGCTCCACCCAGTTCGAGCTTCCCGGCTGCTTTGTTTACCTAAGCAAGCCTGGGCAATGGCGGGCGCCCCTCCCCCAGCCTCGCTGCCGCCTTGCAGTTTGATCTCAGACTGCTGTGCTAGCAATCAGCGAGACTCCATGGGCGTAGGACCCTCGGAGCCAGGTGCGGGATGTAATCTCGTGGTGCGCCGTTTTTTAAGCCCGTCGGAAAAGCGCAATATTCGGGTGGGAGTGACCCGATTTTCCAGGTGCGTCCGTCACCCCTTTCTTTGACTCGGAAAGGGAACTCCCTGACCCCTTGCGTTTCCGGAGTGAGGCAATGCCTCGCCCTGCTTCGGCTCGCGCACGGTGCGCGCACCCACTGGCCTGCGCCCACTGTCTGGCACTCCCTAGTGAGATGAACCCGGTACCTCAGATGGAAATGCAGAAATCACCGTCTTCTGCGTCGCTCACGCTGGGAGCTGTAGACCGGAGCTGTTCCTATTCGGCCATCTTGGCTCTTCCCCCCTTAAATTTTTATTTATGTATTTATTTACTTTTTCATAGAACCACCAAGTCCAATACAATACATTTTGGCAGGAGTTTTCATTGAGATTACATTGAATTTATAGATTAAGGTAAAATCAATATTTTTCTGGTTAAAAAAACTCCTATCCCGAAATACCCTGTTTTTCTCTTTAGGTTTTTAGCTTTTGGTTAGGCGTTACAGAAGATTTCTTTATATATGCATAGCGCATTACTTGGTAGATATATTTTAATGTGTTTTATAATTCTTGTTACTGTGAATGGGATAGTTTTTTGAAAATAAAACTTCTTATAGTGGAAAGTTTCAAAAGCAAAGGCAACTTGTGTGAGGGGAATGAGGAATCCTTGTGTTCCCCAAACCAAGCTGAGTCATGCCCACTCTTCCTTTCTCCCTACGCCACATACTCCTTTCTACCTCCCCAGTTATTTTGAAGCAAATCCTGGATTTAACATTATCCACCATTGGCTCTTTCATGTTAATTTTGGGCCTGAAAACTTACTTAGCTTTCTTATTCGTTTTAATAACATATTGTTAATTTACTTTGCTTTTTCAGGTAGAGACACTTTTGACTTGATCTCTGCAGTCCTCAACATGGTATGTAACACAAGATAGGTCCTTAATACTTGCATTTGCTTGGTTCGAAACTAAACGCGTGACCGTCACGATGACATCTCTCAGCTTGCTCTCATGTGGCACCACTGGGTCATCCTTCCCATCCCATGACAGTTGTTAGACTCAAGTTCAGGTTTAGTTGGTCTATCCTAGCCCCCCGTGTTGTTTACCATTCCACAGACAATGCATTTCTTGGCTACTGGGAAAAAACATCCTGCAGTGTGAACCAATCTCCCCCTCTCCCTGCCTAGCCCTGGGTCTCAGTTTGCAGAGGCTCTGCCTTGGGCTCATTCTCACAGAGCAGCAGCAGCCGCAGATAAAAGTGGGGCAAGGTTCACCTGAGCACAAAGCAGAGCCCGGACTGGCTAATAAATTATGTAGAGATTCTATTGCTCAGAACCTGAATCCATTATTCAGCTTTAAAACAGGAATAAAATATGCAAATGCAGCAGGCAGAAGTGCACACACAGCACACACCATGCTTCAGCCTTGGCAATGGCTGGGCCCACTGGAGTTTCAGAGACAGACACTTTATTTCCTCTGCCTACGAGTGTGTAGAAAGAGACAGAAATCTCAGCCATGGCAAAAAAGCACCGGGCCACTGTTTATCTTCAGATCTGGCCTTGGGAGACATCTTTAGTGGCCCCCAGCAGCAGAGAAGTCAAGACCAGCCTCTGGGGAGAGGCTTGGGTCAACCTGTCCTTGTCTTTCCCCTGAAAGAGGGAAACTCTTTGATGGCAGTTTCAATGCAAAGTTGTGCCCTTCCCGATCCCATTCTCCTATAAAATAACCTATTATTGGTGGCATCCATATATGAACATAAATCCCCTTTGACAATTTTTGTTTGATATTTTGGGTTAGCACATTCTGCTACTTATTGGGTAAGGTAGTCATGTTTTCTTTACTCTGATGTTGACCTCTTTCTATCAAGTAAGTTGCTGAGACGAGGCTGGGCGCGGTGGGTCACACCTGTAATCCCAGCACTTTTGGAGGCCAAAGTGGGCCGATCACTTGAGGTCAGGAGTTCGAGACCAGCCTGGCCAACATGGTGAAACTCCGTCTCTACTAAAAATACAAAAATTAGCCAGGTGTGGTGGCGGGTGCCTATACTTCCAACTACTCGGGAGGCTGAGGCAGGAGAATCACTTGAATCTGGTAGGCAGAGGTTGCAATGAGCCAAGATCTCACCACTGCACTCCAGCCTGGGCAAACGAGTGAGACACCATCTAAAAAAAAAAAAAAGAGGTCTACATTCAGCTTGTCTACTCCTCAGTCACGATTTTAAGGTTCTCATCCATAAGAGAGGCCTGAGGCTTCTCAGTTTTAAAAACGTGTCCTCATGGCAACTCCCACACCATCCTTGACTCTGATCCCCCCTGCTTCTTCTCTGGCTTTGGTATGGCTTTCTTTGGTTCTGCCACCCAAAGTGAAACTGGCTTGGTTGTGTGCCTAGGCTGGGAAGATTTAATCTCATTGAAAAAGTAGCTGCTATTTAATGAAAAGAGGGCTGGATTTGAAATCTGAAAATATGGGCTCAAGGCCTGCAAGTACAATTTACTGCTGGGGCCACCCTGGTGGAGCCGTTTCGCATCCTGGAGCCGTCAGTGTCATGGATAACACTGAACTCAGTGAACTCAGACCTTTGGTACAAGAGTCAGACAGGATGATGGGTGTAAAAGTATTGGGTAGGATGTGTTGTTTATCCTCATATCACTAGGACTGTATCCGGCTGACATGCACCAGAACACATTACTGGTTGTTAAAATGCTGAAGTATTTCTGTGCCAGGTCAGAAATAGCTGTCTTTCCAAGAAGCCCCACACCCCCAATGTCCCAGGGTTCCTCAGTGCTCTTCCCACCTCGACCTCTCGTTTACTGCCCCTGCATTCCCACTGTCCTGCAACGAAAGAGTTAATGGCTGGTACTATTCCCGAGACTCACAATTTTCTGCCTTTGGCTCCAGGCAACACACATTTATTTTCAGCATTAACTGGAGCTTAACCCCAATGTTAAAAATTAGAATCTGCAGAAGTTAAAATTGGCCGCTTAAGGCAAATTCTCTCTCCCTCTCTCTGAAAGTATGAATTACTGCTTCTACTGTCTGGGTAAGATGAACTTGATATAATAGCCCCAATCTTGTTTGTTCCAATAGAATATTTCATACGGTCGAAGAAGGCTAAATTATGTGTTTTGAAATTCCCTGAAGCTGCAATTCAAGAAGTGTATAATTAAGCCCTGGCATTATTAAGGAGTAGAAAATATTTTTCTTCCAACTTTCCTATGGTTTAAAAACTATTCAGGCTTTGGATTTTTGTGATAGCAGACTAGGTGACACATTCTAAGAACTACCGTTAAATGGTGAACGAAAGTCAATGAATGTGGCCCTCCTGCTGGGAGTAAAAAGACTTTCTCACAGCTTTGCATTGGCAGCAGGCGTAGGTATTCCCTTCTTGGAGGCGGCCCTGAGAATCTGTGACAGGTGCGACACTTTTCAGCTACAGTGTCTGGAAAAGATATGGTTCAGCCTTCAGATCCCTTCCTGGCAGGGGTGACGAGAGTGGGCCGTGGCAGTCATTAAGTTCATTGTTTCAGTGAGATCCATACCTCCTTGAGAACTGCTTATGTTTCTCTAAAGAGATAACGTCACTAAAGGGTGAAGGCTTTTAAGGATAAAATCACACAAAAAAGAATATATTCTTGCATTGCTTAGATGTTGTTTTCCGTCCCTGGGGCTGTTATAACAAATTGCCAAAAACACGATGGCTTAAAGACAACAGAGTTTTATTCTTTCACAATTCTGTAGGTCGAAGTCTGAAATCAAGTGTGAGCAGGGCCACATGGGCCCATTCTGAAGACCCGAAGGAGAGTCCCCCTTTCCCTCTTCCAGCGTCTGGCAGTCCTAGGCCTTCTTTGGTTGACGGCAGCCTCACTTCCATCTGTGCCTGTGACTCACATAGCCCTCTTCTCAAAGTCTCTGACTTTCTCTTCTCTTAAAAGAACACCTCGGCTGGGTGTGGTGGCACACGCCTGTAATCCCAGCACTTTGGGAGCCCCAGGCAGGTGGATCACCTGAGGTCAGGAGTTTGAGACCAGCCTGACTAACATGGTGAAACCTCGTTTCTACTAAATACAAAAAAATTAGCTGGGCATGGTGGCACATGCCTGTAATCCAAGCTACCTGGGAGGCTAAGACAGGAGAATTGCTTGTGCCTGGGAAGGCAGAGGTTGCAGTGAGCCGAGACTGTGCCATTGCACTCCAGCCTGGGCAACAAGAGTGAAACTCCATCTCGAAAAAAAAAAAAAAGTAAAAAGAATCCCCAAAAAACCCCCACACCTGCTGTTGAGTTTAGGGCCTCTCCTCAATGCAGAGTGCTCTCATCTTGAGATAACTTAATGATATCTGCTGATAAAGATCCTTTTTCCCATAAGGTCACATTCACCAATACTGAAGATTAGGACATGAATGTATATTTTGGAGTCACAATTTAACAGACTTTAGATGTATATTTAAAAAATTCGGAAGATAACTAAGGGATTGATTACAATAGTTATCTATCTGGGGAGAGGGCGGAAAGAGAGGATAAGGCAGCAGAGGAGGAAGGGAGAATTTTGCTTCTATTTCATTCTTAAACAATTTAAAGTTTTGAGTCTGGTAAATCTGTCACTTAGTAAATAATTAAACAAGTAAATCTAATTTAAAATGATACATTTTCATTTTTATACTTTTTTTTTTTTTTTTTTGGGACAGAGTCTTGCTCTGTTGCCCAGGCTGGGGTGCAGTGGCACAATCTCGGTTCACTGCAAACTCAGCCTTCCCAGTTCAAGCGATTCTCCTGCCTCAGCCTCCCAAGTAGCTGGGATTACAGGTGTGCACCACCACACCCGGCTAATTTCTGTATTTTTAGTAGAGATGGTGTTTCACTATGTTAGCCAGGCTGGTCTCAAACTCCTGACCTCAGGTGATCTGCCCGCCTTGGTCTCCCAAAGTGCTGGGATTACAGGGGTGAGCCACCATGCCTGGCAGTCAGTTTCAATCTTTTTCAATCTTTTTTTTTTTTTTGAGATGAAATTTTGCTCTCATTGTCCAGGCTGGAATGCAATGGTGTGATCTCGGCTCACTGCAACCTCTACCTCCTGGGTTCAAGCAATTCTTCTGCCTCAGCCTCCTGAGTAGCTGGGATTACAGGCGCCCACCACCAGGCCCGGCTAATTTTTTTGTATTTTTAGTAGAGACGGGGTTTCACCATGTTGGCCAGGCTGGTCTTGAACTCCTGACCTCAGGTGATCTGCCTGCCTCGGCCTCCCAAAGTGCTAGGATTATAGGCATGAGCCACAGCATGGGGCCCAGTTTCAATCTTTTACCAATGAAAACCTGAACACAAAACAATAATTCTTAACCAATCATGATGAAACACAGTAACTTTTTTTTTTAATAAAAGGAAGAAGAAAGTGTTGAAAATTGACATCTATGTTTACATATCACAGCAACACAAAGTGCCAGCAAAAAAAAAAAAAGTGGAAAAATGAAAGTATCTTGGCCCCATGAGTTTTGCTCTGCTTCCCACTGTCATTTATTCAGTACATGTGTCACTAGATCCAGGACTTGCTCTAGAAGTTGGAGGAAGTCAATGGCACTGTGAGAAACGTGAATTACCAAGGGACTCTGTCATGTCCTTCGTTACTCATGTGACTTCCTTACATGAAAGGAAAATAGATCCTGGGGCCTCCAAATCACTCAGCTAAAGGGAAAAGTCAAGCTGGATCTGCTTAGGGCAAACCTGCCTCCCATTTATTCAAAGTCATCCCACTCTTCACTGAGATAAATGCATATCTGATGGCCTCCTTTGGAAAGGCTCATCAGAAACTCAGAAGAATGCAACCATTTGTCTCTTATCTACCTATGACCTGGAATTTCAGTATTAAACCAATGTTTATCTTGCATATATTGATTGATGTCTCATATCTCTGTAGAGACTACATGAAAATTTTGTTGTTGAAATAATTCGTTGTACTGAGCTTCAATTGAAATGCTTAAATACCTTGAAAACATTTCCATTTTTGCCTTTACTCAAATCAGGTGGTGGCTACTTTCTAATGAATGCAAATCCCAGTATGTGAAAAGTGTGGGTTAGGACAATAAAAGGGGAGGTGACACCATTTTAATGGTTTCTCAGAAGCTGTGCTCCGATGTCCTTGGGCACATGTCATCAGTACCTCCTGAGGTTATGTCACAGGTGCATGTCCTTAACTTTGGCAAAATAAACTTCCTAAATTAACTGAGATCTGTCTCAGATATTCAGGCTTCAGAGCTATGCCAGCTAACCCCTTATGCTGAAAACGAGGACTTAGAAGGAAAGGGCAAGAGAGCCAGACTTGCTTTTTCCTTTTTTTTTTTTTTTTTTAAGTCTTTCCTTATTCATCAATAAGCCAAAAGTAGAGGTTGTTAGTAGAAAATGTGTGCACCAAGAAGTGAAATAAAGACAGTTGAGTTCATGTGTTGTAGTGTTTCCAATGTTCTGCTAAGAATGAAATATATATGCATGTACAAGCCACAAAATACAAATTGTGTAATTTTGGTGATGCTGCATATGAGTTAAATGTACTTATGTTTGTATTTAAACGTGAAATTGCACAATATGAAGAGTAATGGTAAAATTCATGCTAATGATTTAAAATTGTATTCTTTCTTTACTCAAAACGACCTCAAGGAGCAAAGTAAAAACACCATAACAAATTGAGAGACTGTAGAAAAAGGGAAAAGCCTTATCTTTTACTACATTCCATGGCACGTTTCTCCTGCTTTTTGAATGAGAGCACTTACAGTTTCATTTTGCATTTGGCTGCAAAAACAGCGCAGCGCCCCCTGCAGGGAGCTGTATCACGGTGTTCTGATCAGCCTCTGGGGAAGTGGCCTCCTCTGGTCCAATCAGCTTGTGGACTGAGGATCACGTGATACAAAATATGGCCACCCCTGCATGAACCTGGAGCAACTGCCCTGGGTAGGTACCCGTACAAGGAAAGGCAATCCTTCAAGCAATAATCTTTTGGCAGTCTCCCTCACCTCTGTTCACCCCTGGGTATTTTTGGCATTGCTGTTTTTAATGATGGGGTGTGATGTTTCCTCAGCCTGTTAAACTTCATTGTGTTATTTTTTAACTGCTTCTGAGAAACTACTAAAATGCTGTTACCTCCCTTTTTATTGGCCTAAGCCACACTTTTCACATACTGGGCTTTTCATTCATTAGAAAGTAACCACTTATTTTGAGTAAAGGCAAAAATGGAAATGGTTTCAAGGTATTTAAGCATTTCAAGTGAAGCTCAGCACAGTGAATTATTTCAACAACAAAATTTCCATGCAGTCTCTTAGAAGAAAAATGTATCTTAACTAAATTTTAGGACTTCACATTTTGTTTTGTTTTGTCTTGGCTTATTTGTTATTTAAATGTGCGGATCTGTGAAATAACATCATTTCTTTTTAAAAGACAGCAGGTTCTAACTTTAGTACTTCCTGAGCAAAAAGAACTAAGGTTGCAGAAAGCTTCTCTTTCAGGCTGTCTTTCTGGCATTGCTGCAGGCAGTGCTGCCCTTGCTGGGAGGTCTCCACCATCCACATTAGCCTGCATGTCTCTGTCCCTTTGCTTCGTTTCCCACCTCTACCCACCTGCCCACCACACTCTCACACTTCCCCTGCCCAACCAGAATTGCCATCAGGGGCTATTGGTCCAATCCCAAATGCTAGTAACAGAACTGAAAAGCCCAAGTTTGAAGGGAATTTCTTCTTCCGTGAAGTCCCCTGGGAGAAAATTTTCTGGAAGACTCACCATCCCAGAGGCTACACAGCTCAGGACAACCCCTGTTCTTTTAAGGGAAAAGTGAAAGCCTGGACTTGTAGGTTTTCCCCACCAGTTTTCACATGGAGCTGATATCGGCATCTCTGCAAGGCCAGGAGGAGATTGAGTGACCTCTCTGGAACTCCGAAGTTTACTTTCCCTGCGTTTTCGTAACTTGTTCTCAGCTCTTTGAACTGCATCCAAGTGCCTAGTTCATGATGCCATAATTGCTCACCGGGTTCAAGGGCAGAGCTCTGGTTTCATATTGTAAAATTCAGTGCACCTGGGTACCACATAATAGCTGTGCTAAGACATGTGTGCATTACATCAGCTATGATTCATTCCTGTGATCTAGTTTAGACCACAATCTGATAACACAAACCAATTACTTAAACTGTTAGAAGATGCTTAACTGGAAAAAACATATCTTTAGTTTTCCTTCCAACTTTAGTCTAAACCATATATATATATGTTTTTATATATATATATATGTTCATATTCCATATATATGTATTCCAAATACTCTACATGAGTTTTAACAACAAAACTTGGGGGAATGGGATCTAAAATGTATTTCCCAGGTCTAGCTTGGATGGACTTCAGGGTCATTAACAAGCTGTGCCAAGCAGCATATGAAATCGGTGAGATAAGCTTTGATGCATATTAGCTGTGGGACCTTAAGCAAATGACTCATACTCTCTGAGCTAAAGTTTTCTTATCTGTGAAATAAGCATAGCAAGCCCTCCCCCTAAGGACTGTTGGGGTTAAATTAAATGGTAAAAGCTCCTTAGTCAGTACTCAATATAGGTTCAGTACAAATTGGTCTTTTTTCCTTTCCAATCATGGATACGTACCTGTTGGGCAAAGTAGGTTTCTCCTGGCCATGCCAGGGGACTTCTCACTGTGCTGCAGCCAAGGCTTGATTGAGATTGGCTCCTCTGGGTCTTTAGGGACATATCTTGATTGATATCAACCAATCACAGTTATCCTGTGTTAGGGCAACAAACTGCTACCCAAATCTGCAGCCTGGTGGCAGGGATTGAGTTAGGGGTGACCCAGGCAGTGCAAAGCTCAGCCATTTTTTTTTCTCCATTTGGACGTGAGCAAAGAAGCTGTGGCTCTGGTTACTGAAAAGGGTGAAACAAAGAATCTCCAACAGACAGGCGGGGGCTCTGTTTGAGCAAAGTCTCAACGGGACTCTTGTTTTATAGCACTATCTGCCATCCTCAAATACACCAGCTACCACTCTGGGCACCCATAAGAACAGAATGTCACTCATCTCTGGGTTTTCGATCCAGAGCTGCAAGTGGATGAGAATGGAGCTGAATCACATAGGACCCATTCGAGCACTTCCACCAGTTGAGCCTCTTCGAATGGATTTTAAGATCACCTCCTTCACACTAGCTGCATATGTGGAGCTTCCACTGTTAGACACAACACAATGGAATATGGCTGATATGGTTTAGCTCTGTGTCCCCACTGAAATCTCACCTCGAATTGTAACCCTCGAGTATTGAGGGAGGGACCTGTAATCCCCAGGAGTGGAGAGAGGGAAGTGATTGGATTATAGGGGTGGTTCCCCCATGCTGTTCTCCTGATAGTGAGTGAATTCTCATGAGATCTGATGTTTTTATAAATGATAGTTTTTCCTGCTCTCTTTCCCTGTCTCTCTCTCCACCCTTCTCCTGTCTCCTCTCTTCTCTGCCCTCCTCTCGCTCTCTCTCTCACCTCCTGCCATGTAAGATGTGCCTGCTTCCCCTTCTGCCACGATTGTAAGTTTCCTGAGGCCTCTTCAGTGGAACTGGCTGAAGAGGCTGAGGCAATTAAACCTCTTCTCTTTATAAGTTACCCAGTCTTGGCAGTTTTTTTTGTTTTGTTTTGTTTTGTTTTTTGAGACAGAGTCTCGCCTTGTCGCCCAGGCTGGAGTGCAATGCCGCAATCTCGGCTCACCGCAACCTCCGCCTCCTGGGTTCAAACGATTCTCCTGCCTCAGCTTCCTGAGTAGCTGAGATTATAGGTGCCTGCCACCATGGCCAGCTAATTTTTGTATTTTTAGTAAAGGCGGGGTTTCACCGTGTTGGCCAGGCTGGTCTCTAACTCCTGATCTCATGATCTGCCCTGGCAGTTCTTTATAGCAGTGTTATAACAGAGTAATGCAATGGCTATCTCTATTTTTACCTGCTGGTAGGAACCACAGGCAGAATGTTAAACCTCTGAGATCTCTCCAGACCATAAGAGTGGGTATAACACTTTCAGGATTGTGCCGTTTAACCCAGTAATCTAACTTTTAGACACATCTCCTGAGATACAGTCCTGAGAAAGAAAAAGGCTGTCTTTGTGAAAATGTTATTATAGCATTACCTCTGTATATATTTTGATTAAAATTAGAAAAGCATTACACTTAGTTGTAAAAACTGACAGTAGCAAAGGATTGAAAGTGAAATATATTAGCTCATTCCTTCCACATGACCCCTCCATGGCCTCACATCCCAGAGGTAGTATTATTCTAAAAAAATTTATTTACATAAATGAATATATTGGAGACATTTGTGTAAAAGCCTTAATTTGTGTTTAAAAATATTTAAGGGAGGCCGGGTACAATGGCTCATGCCTGTAATCACAGCACTTTGGGAGGCCAAGGTGGGCAAATTGTTTGAGGTCAGGAGTTTGAGACAGCCTTGCCAACATGGTGAAATCCCGTCTCTACTAAAAATATGAAAATTAGTTGGGTGTGGTGGCAAGTGCCTGTAATCTCAGCTACTTGGGAGGCTGAGGCACGAGAATCACTTGAACCCAAGAGACGGAGGTTGCAGTGAGCCGAGATTGCGTCACTGCACTCAAACCTGGGCGGCAGAGTGAGGCTCCACCTCAGGAAAAAAAAAAATTATAAGGGAATATCGAAATAATGAGGGATCCACTAAATTATACTGTAAGCAAAACAAAATAAAACCAACAAACCAACTAGCCCTAAAGCAACCTAAGTGCCATCAGTCTGGAACAGATTGATGAATTTGGTATCATCTAATGGAATGCTATATATCCATGACAAGGAATGAAGAAGACCTACATGTATTTTAACAGAAATGTGTCTAAGATACACCCTATATGCCAGTAAGTGAAAAAAAACAAGTTACAAAATAATATGTACAGTACCATTCCTTTGCAGTATAATGATATGGTTTGTACTATTCTATAGTTATCATAAATCAAGACATTTTTTGATAAATGGAGATATTTTGGATATTATATACTAGTATTAATTGCTGATGTCAGAAGAAGCATGGAAAAAGGTTCTCTGGACTAAGCAATGTTCTGTGTTGCCACAGCTGCTGGCTCAGTGATATGGCTGGGCTCTGTGTCCCCACCCAAATCTCATCTTGAATTGTAATCCCCACGTGTTGGAGGAGGGGCTTGGTGGGAGGTAACTGGGTTATGGAAGTGGATTTCCCCCTTGCTGTTCTTGTGATAGTGAGTGAGTTCTCATGAGATCTGATGGTTTAAAACTGTTTGGCACTTCCCCCTGCATGTTGTCTCTCTCCTGCCACCATGTAAGACAGGGCTTGCTTTGTCTTTGCCTTCTGCCATAATCATAAGTTTCCTCCCTCACAGCCATATGGAACTGTGAGTCAACTAATCCTCTTTTCTTTATAAATTATCCAGTCTCAGGTAGTTCTTTATAGCAGTGTGAGAATGAACTCATACAATCAGGTTCCCTCCTTAGTCTCAGCAGCATGCTGCATACCTGATCTGGCTATCGAAATCTCTATAAATGTCTTTAAATTTTATTGAGTCTAAAAGATGCTGGAAGGGATCCAGATAATATGTGTCAGAATCCATCTTGATTCCTGATAATAAACAATCAGTGACTACTGTTTACAAGAAGTAATAAAGAGAGAGCTAATTAATAGCTTGGCAAAGCAATATTATAGAGAAAATCACTAGTCAATTTTATTAGTCTGTTTTCATGCTGCTGATAAAGACACACCCAAGACTGGGTAATTTATAAAGAAAAAGAAGTTTAATGGACTCGCCATTCCACATGGCTAGGAGGCCTCACAATCATGGCGGAAGGTGAAGGAGGAGCAAAGGCATGTCTTACATGGCAGCAGGCAAGAGAGAGAATGAGAACCAAGTGAGAGGGGAACCCTTTAAAAAACCATCAGATCTTGTGGAACTTATTCACTAACATGAGAACAGTATGGGGGAAACTGCCCCCATGATTCAAGTATCTCCCACCAGGTCCCTTCCACAACATGTGGGAATTATGGGAGCTACAATTCAAGATGAGATTTGGGTGGGGACACAGACAAACCATGTCATTAATGAAATAAGGGACTTCAAAACAAACCAGAGCAAATGTCTTCCGATGTAGTACAGTTATGTAAGAAAAAGGAGATGTTACAAATTTTCTATCATGCGTTCCTTAAAACATGCAGAAAGATATTGCACCTGTGAAAGGCAAATGGGCAGAGAAAGAACAGCGAGATCAGGCAATAATGTGAGAAGATGAAAAAAGCACAATAGTGGAATTTAAAATCCCAGATGGAAGCAGCAACAACAGATTCGAGGCTGCAGAAAACCTGATCAGTGAAGTAGATGACACATGTGACAAACTCTTCTGCCTAAAAATAAAAGTCAAGGGTATGAAAAAGATGAGGAAGTGAAAATGATGGGAGGAAAAAAGACCCATAGTTTAAGGATGTGGCATGTACATGTAAGAAAGTACAGAACACATGGAAAAGAAACACTGAACAAATAGAAACGCTCTTGACCTAAAGAAAGAGTTGGCCTTCATGTTAAAAAGGTTCATTAAAACAAAGTCCAATTATTTAGAAGAGCGGGACACCGAGACTTAGCTTTGTGACACTTGGATGTTTCAGGCACAAAGAAGGGACCCAGAGTAAATAGGAGCAGTAAGTAAATAAGAGCAACAACCGCAATAAAAACAAAAAGTCAGGTAACCCCAAACAACCAGTCAGGCCTGGCTTCAGACTTCCACAGAATAAAAATCCAGCAGGCAGTAGAGTCGTGTCCTCAGAATTCTGAGAGGAGAGATTTTTTGAAAATGCTGAACAGAACTGACTACATAATTCGCAGAGCCTAGGCAGGCAGAGGCTTGGTGGACAAATCACCTGAGGTCAGGAGTTAAAGACCAGCCTGGCCAACATGGTGAAACCCTGTCTCTACTAAAAATACAAAAATTAGGCAAGGCGCATGGCTCACGCCTGTAATCCCAGCACTTTGGGAGGCCTAGGCAGGTGGATCACGACGTCAGGAGATCGAGACCATCCTGGCTAACGTGGTGAAACCCCGTTTCTACTAAAAATACAAAAAAATTAGCCAGGCGCGGTGGCAGGCACCTGTAGTCCCAGCTACTCGGGAGGCTGAGGCAGGAGAATGGGCGTGAACCCAGGAGGCAGAGCTTGCAGTGAGCCGAGATTGTACCACTGCACTCCAGCCTGGGCGACAGAGCGAGACTCCATCTCAAAAAAAAAAAAAAAAAAAATACAAAAATTAGCCAGGTGGTGTGGTGGTACACTCCTGTAGTCCCAGCTACTCGAGAGGCTGAGGCAGGAGAATCGCTTGAACCCAGGAGATGGAGGTTGCAGTGAGCTGAGATCACACTACTGCACTTCAGCCTGGGCAAAAGAGTGAGACTTGGTCAAGAAAGAAAGAAAGAGAGAAGGAAGGAAGGAAAGAAAGAAAGAGAGAGAGAGGGAAAGAAAGGAAAGAAAGAAAAGAAAGAAGAAAGAAAGAGAAAGAAAGAAAAGAAAGAAAGGAAGAAAGAAAGAGAAAGAGAAAGAGAAACCACCTAGAGAATTTAAAAGTCAAAATACCTGGACAAGAAAGGTAAGAGAGCAGCTGAATATTAGAAATGTAGAGGAAAAAAGCTCTTTATTTCTTCATGTGTGCAAATTCCAAAGCACCTCTTACCAATACAAATATTAGTCAAAAAAAAAAGATAAACATCAGAAGAGAGGACTATGTAGCAAACTGGAGAAAACAGTATTTCAGTGCCAGACAGCAGAGAAAGGGAGGGCAATAATTTTCCTTTAAAGCAATTCAGAGAAGTTCTCTTATTTTCTCAACATCCCGGAAGCATGCTTGCCTGTATGTTGTAAGCAATGGCAGATATTGACGAGCCGAATTTTCTCATCCTGTCCAGAAATTGTCTGAGGAAGTGCTCCAAGGCATCTCCCCCTGTCAAACATTCTGGGACACACAGGTATTGCAGGGGCAGCATCTGCACTTTTGCTTGGAGGGACGCTCAGACCTCATGATTCAGCAGATGCAGTGCTTAATTGGGAAGCCACCGTCTTGTCGGAGAGCAGTGAAAGAAGCCCATTTGCCCCACCTAGCTAGCAACTGTGTTCCATCATGGGGCAAGCTCAACAGTCATGCCCAGCCTGCAGCGAGTATGTGATGGCTGAGAAGGGTGTTTTCAGAACCCACCCCAGCACTGCTCACAAGCCCTCTTTGTGCATCTCCTTCCCCAATTCCAGAGGTGCAGCCTGCACCCGAAAAGCTGTTTTGCTCAATGTTATCTGTACATTCATTGTGTTTTCCAACCTCTCGCCTCCGTACTTTTATTTCCACATCTGTAATCCACTTCATCCTCTCAATTTAATGCACCAATTATTTTTCACTTTTTTTGTTAATTTTTAGGGATGGGGTCTCACTCTGTCACCCAGGCTGTAGTGCAGTGGTGTGATCATAGCTTGCTGCAGCCTCAAACTCTTGGGCTCAAGTGATCTTTCTACCTTGTAGCTGGAACAAGAGGTGCACATCAACACATCCAGCTGATTTTTAAATTTTATGTAGAGACGAGATCTGGCTATGTTGCTCCGGCTGGTCTTGAATTCCTGACTTGAAGCAGTCCTCCCACTATGGCCTCCCAAAGTGCTGGGATTACAGGCATGAGTCACTGCATTAGGCCGGATGCACCAAAATTCTCCCCAAGCTTGAAACAGCGGCTGTGCTTTGTCACTACGCTGGGTGGGGCCAGCCCTGGAAACATCCCCTTCCCCGCCAGCCTGCCTCTTTAATGGCCAGTCATGGAAAAAAGTCAGTGCTGGGACATCTTTTCCAAAGGAAAAAGCCTCAACTTTCAGTTTCAGGCTCTTATTTGTTTTTGGTTACAGGAAATTTCTACTTCTTTTCTAATTTCCCATCTGTTTGTCAACTGGTGTATTTTTTTCTAGCTCAGTGCCTTCCCACACGGGTCCTGAGGACTCTGGTCAGGCCCTACCTTCTTAGAGCCACACAGCGCAGCAGGCCAGGCACAGCACCGGAGGGCTTGGTCCTGCTCAGGTTCCGAGATAATACTGACCATGCTGGGGGACAGGGCTGGGAAAAGAAAATCCCAGCCCTGACCCCTTGCCCACCCTTCCTTCTTAGCCCAGCAGCTGGGTACCTGCTTGATATGGTTTAGCTGTGTCCCCGCCCAAACGTCATCTTGAATTCCTACATGTTATGGGAGGGACCCAGTGGGAGGTAATTGAATCATGGGGGCGGGTCTTTCCCATGCTGTTCTTGTGATAGTGAATAAGTCTCATGAGATCTCACAGTTTTAAAAATGGGAGTTTCCCTGCACGAGTTCTCTCTTCGCCTGCTGCCATCCATGTAAGATGTGACCGACTCCTCCTTGCCTTCCGACATGATTGTGAGGCCTCCTCAGCAATGTGGAACTGTAAGTCCATTAAACATCATTGTTTTGTAAACTGCCCGGTCTCAGGTATGTCTTTATCAGCAGCCTAAAAACAGACGAATACACTGCAATTACCACAGGGCTCGTCCAGGCCACCTCTCCCCTGAGCTTGTACTCTGACTTGCTGAACACCATTGTTCTGCCCCTGAATCTTGACCTCTGCTCTGACCCCAAACCCTCTTCTGTGGACTCCCCCAGAAAGACCTTCCACTATCTTCTGTCCTTGGATCCACTGTGACCTTAACACACCCCAGGACACCGCTCAAGCCAGCTTCTGAGGGTTCAAGTCCCTTACTCCAGTTTGGACTGGACATGGCTCTGTTTATTTTCCTGCCTTGCTGTATTCTGAAGTCCCAGTGCCTTCCAGCCACACCTCCTCAGGTGTTCGCTGTGTCCTACCAGTGACACTGAGGCCCAACCAGATGCCCTTTGAGAACCAAGGTTGGGTCATTCTGAAGACAGTCCATTGCCAGTTCTTTCATGGATGTTTCTCTTTCTCTCTGACTTGCTTCATTCTCCAATTTCTAGGCCACCTGCTAGAATTTTCAGCAGGAAGTTAGGCTACTGCTCAAGGTGACAGGTCCTGAGGGACTTTTCTTTATCTCTCACATGGGACACCCCTTGCAGGGAGCCAAAAGTGGGTTCAAACCTTGCCTCTGCTAGCAGGAATGACCTTGGGCAAGGTACAGAACCTCTTTGAGCCTCAGTTACCTCCTCTGTAATAGGAAAATTGTAACTTCCGGGTTACTGTGAGAATTAAATGGGGTTAAACATGTAAGAACACACGAGAGACTCAGTAAATGTTGCTTCTCTTTCCTTCCCTGCCGTGCCCCAGGAGACTGCATCTGGCTATTCAGATAGGGACCCAGAGATATCAGCCTCAATTTTTTAAACACAGTGTGAGTGACTTTGATGTGAAGGTGTTTTATATTTGTCAAGTATTGTTATTTATAAGGCAGGAATAATTACCTTAGTGAGTTTGGGAAATATTATTATTTTTGCCTTTTCTGAGACATACCATTCATGCTGCTCTGGGTAGTTTAAAGTAAAAAGTTACATAGTTGATAATTTTTTTGTAATCAGATTCAAGAAGCAAGCAAGCTTCTCTCTCGCCTTTTATGCCATTTTAAATGAGATGTAAGTTTATCTAGACAATTGATTGTGAAATATTTTGAAGTTCAAAAAGATACAGAAATTGGTTACATTTAATGGAGGACACATGGATGGTCATGACGGGGTAGGGACCACAGGGAAAACAGTGTTTTTAAAATATCTTGGAGATGAAATCTGTGGCCATCTAAACGTGAAACAAGGAGGGCAAGTGAAGATGAATTTGTGTCTCTGGGCTCTCATCAGAATCAATCTAGACTCTAGCCGACAGTTCTTCACATCCTACAATTAGAAAACAACTTGCAAACTGCACAAATCATATTCTTGGAGTGAAATCAGGCCCTTGGATACTCACAACATTTATGGAGATGCTACTGCCCTTGGACTAAAAGCTTCAAAGTGGTTTGAACACCAATTAGTCTTCCCTGCCCCACAGCTCTGAAGGTTTGCTCTGGTTATATTCTATAAGTTAAAAAAATAATTTTTTTAAAGAAGCCTAGGTAAAGCTTGCAAAGGCAAAGTTACTGACATAAAATGGGGCAAATAAATCCCTGCAGAGTTGAAACAGCCTGAAAAGGGCAGCAGCGTTCACTGAGGCTCTAATCCCTAATTCATTGCAATTCAAAGATAGAGGTGAATGTCACACGGCATTATGCACAGACACATTTTGGGATAGAGAAAACAGAGTGTTGTCTGCATGGTCAAAGGTCAGCAAGAAAATCATTAGAACTGCAAACAGTCTTTTGTTGTTCTGGGCGCATTCTCTGAAAGGTGATGAAATGTAGAGCGGGAGTCAATATGAAAGGACTGTGCCTGAGTCTGCTCTTGAGATGATAGTCCTGAGAAGGTGGAAACGCCATCTTTGTACATGAAAACTGGAGGACACTGAGACCTTCAGGCGAATGATTTAGCCTAAGCTTTTTGTTGTTGTTGTTGTTTTTTCTTTTTGAGACAGAGTCTCGCTCTGTCACCCAGTCTGGACAGCTCGCTGCAACCTCCACCTCCCGGATTCAAGTGATTCTCCTGCCTCAGCCTCCCAAATAGCTGGGATTACAGGTGCATGCCAACACGCCTGGCTAATTTTTGTATTTTTAGTAGAGATGGGGTTTCACCATGTTGGTCAGGCTGGTCTTGAACTCCTGACCTCAGGTGATCCACCCGCCTCAGCCTCCCAAAGTGCTGGGATTATAGACGTGAGCCACCGTGCCCGGCCCTAGCCTAAGCTTTTTAGTGAACCATAAGAGGAATTGCACGAAGTCTTGATATTGTTAAGGTTTAGAATCTCTGAATGGGGGTCATTAAAGCTGTGGGAAGTGCTGGTCAGGATCTGTGGGGTACTCAAACCCAGAGCAGCAAAGTCCCTAAACCAGCCTCCTCGCATAAAGATTTATTCATCAGAGATCATGAAAAGTGTAAAGTGAGATCAGAATTTCATAGAATCCTGAATGATTTCTTGAAATTGTTGTTTTGACTTCACTTCTGTAAAATGTCCACTTTTTCTCCTCTCTACCAGATCTTCTCCACCCAAGTGGATGTTAGAAGGACAAGTCGTATGTTTACTAGGATACAGAATAGATAAAGTTGGTTTGAACTGATCAGCAATACATCAGTAGGATGTGGACAGGGAGACCTTTCTTTTCTGGTACCTGAGAAATAGTAAAATAGTAAGAGGTCACCAAAAAGAAGTTTCAACGCTTCTAATTTCACCAGTTAGGCCAGGAGCGCAGGCAGATATTGAGCAGCTATGCAAAGGCTTAAATTAAGAGAACATGAGTGCTGTATATCTGGCATATCTAAATAGCCCAAGGATGGAGGCAAGCCACAGGGACCAACTGCAATGTGATCTGGGGTCTGGGCTACATGGAAGGTGTATGACCACAGGCTTCTGTTTACAGAGTGTGGTGAGAAAGTTTCCATTAGGTGGACGTGTCTCTCCGTGGAATAAAGCCCAAGGCGCAGCTGGCCTCTCAACTCAGGTGTGTGTTTTAACCTTTCCCAATAGCTCAGGTGATCCCCTGAGACACACAAACACACAATGTGCTGCAGGTGATTTTAAGGGACTAATAATAGTAGTGGTAGTATCATTTCCACTTTACAAATGGTACAAAAGGATTTTGGCTATGTCTGCATGCAAAGAATGAACGACAAAACCTGTGAAATAAATGAAGACCATTACTCTAGTATATATAATGCAAGATGGACTGACTTTTTCTTTGCATTTGATTGACTTGGCTTTGGAGGTGAAAGTCTAAGAATGAAGGGAGGAGTAACTGCTGCTACTGCTTTAATACCTTTGAGAAGAGCTGTTATGTCTTGAATGGGGAGATACTAAAACTTAGTCTATTCTCCTAAAAAT
The DNA here is from genome assembly GCF_000001405.40 of Homo sapiens. Taxonomy (NCBI): domain Eukaryota; kingdom Metazoa; phylum Chordata; class Mammalia; order Primates; family Hominidae; genus Homo; species Homo sapiens. Next base: position 234,869,755 of record NC_000002.12, on the reverse strand, counting down.
CCTCTAACACAAAAACAAATTTTTTTTAAAAAAGAGAAAGTGAATTCCAGATTAAGAAAAGAATCAAGTGCAATACACTTAAAGAAACTACAGTGAGAGTGACTTTTGAAATGCTTCATCACATTTCTCAAGGCAATTGATAATCATTAGTTTTTACAAAAGGGAGGTGTTTTGGTGGATAGATGGCTTAAATAGTTTGCAGGGCTTGTGGACCAATTAAGGTCTGTTGAATACGGCTTTAGAAAAGAGAGCTCAACCTGTGTCCCCTGAAAGTAATTTGTATCATAGTTGGAAAGATACAATGCATTACAACCAAGCAAGTCTTATAAACATCCTGAGGTTTATATTGATTATGAATATTGCCACAGGTGGGACAGGTGCAATGCCCAGTTTGTCTTGGCAGACTTGGCTTATGCCTGTTATCCTAGCATGATTAAGAGTGTCCCGTTTCACTCTAAAAGGTGTCCTAAATGGATGATGAATGATTTGGTCTTTTTATTAATGAAGTAAGAGGGAAGGATTATTCCTAACTGGGTAGACTGTAGATTTGTGTAACTAAAAGGGAATGAGTTGGTGATGGACTTATTTTCTAAATATATTCTTGCTGATAATTTCTTAAGGGACCAATACAGAATAGTAAATTTCAAGGACTGTCACTTTTACTGAATTTTTGACCCAATTATGATGCAATTATATTTTTTGTGTCATGTTCTTCATGCTCTAAACATAGCACAATTAGAAAGGATTTGAGAAAAGGCATATTTTAGATGGCATCAAGGTCTTTTTTTGGCAACCTTTTTCTTTTCTTTCTTTCTTTTTTCTTTTTTTTTTTTTTTATGGAGTCTCGCTCTATCACCAGGTTGGAGTGCAGTGGCATGATCTTGGCTCACTGCAACCTCAGCCTCCCAGGTTCAAGCAATTCTCCTGCCTCAGCCTTCTGAGTAGCTGGGACTACAGGCACGCACACACCACCACGCCCAGCTAATTTTTGTATTTTTAGTAGAGACGAGGTTTCACCATGTTGGCCAGGATGGTCTCGATCTCTCGACCTCGTGATCTGCCCGCCTTGGCCTCCCAAAGTGCTGGGATTACAGGGGTGAGCCACTGCGCCCAGCCTGGTAAGCTTTTTCTACTAAACAAACCATAGAATTCTCCTGGTCCCTAAAATGTTTGAATAATGAACACAAAGTAACATAGTTTATTTAGTTACAGACTTTGCTTCAAGAAAGACAGACACACACACACACACAGAGTTTTGTATGAGGAAAATCAAGAAAAACAATAAGAAGTCCAAGTGCCCTGTGACATGTTGGAGGGCCACACATGGACCTCTCCCCATTGGACAGTCCCAGCTGAGTGCCGTCTTCCACCCATTCTCGAAAAAGCACCAAATACCAGTGACCCTCATTATTTGCAGATTCTGTATTTGCAAATTTATCTGCTCATTAAAATTTATTCAAAACCCCCAAATCAATACTTGCAGCACTGTTGTAGTTATTCATGGATGTGTATGGGGCAGCAAAAGGTTTGAGTCTCTCAATGTGCATGTTCCCAGCTGAGGTCACACAAGAAGATACTTTGCCTTCTTGTTATAGCTCTCAATACTGCAATCAACGGTCCTTTTCACCGTCTACCTAGCGCCATGTGTTTTGTGCTTTTTGCTGTTGATTTCACTGTTTAAAGTGACCCCCAAACATAGGGCTTAAGTGCAGACCAGTGTTCCTAAGTGCAAAAAGGCTTTGATGTGCCTTGCAGAGGAAATATGTGTGTCCAGTATGCTTTGTTCAGGCAGGAGTTTTAATGCTGTTGGCTCTGAGTTCAAGGTTAGAATCAACAACATGGTACATTGGGAAAAGAGAAGAGGAAATTTGCCAATCTGTAAGGGAGGCCATCCTAGAAAGTGCTTAAACTAAATCTTTGGTGTGTGATGGAGCTATGAAAAAGATGGGGAAATGGCTAAATCTGTAGATTTTTGAGATTATGACATATAGAAAAAAGAGTAGTGACAGCATTTTTTTGTGAGGCTGAGAGCCAAAGAAATTCATGGACACATTACCCAGGTTCAGGAAAATGATAAACTCTTCCATGCTAGTGTTTCCTTATAAAGAAAATACTTCATATAACTAATTATTTTTTAAGAAATAGATATTCAATAAGGTATCTTTAAACAAAAACACACAAAAACCAAAGTTGCATATTGATCAGTCAACAGAAATGTCGTGAGCTGAAGCTCACGGGAATCGAATCTTGAATTTCCTCAGAAGCAGTGGCTCCATTTGAGTTAATTCAGTGCTTGTGGCAGCCACTGCAAGCAAGAACTGCCTGGACAACACATGAGTGATGCTGTCTCGCACCCTCCAGACCAGTCCACCTCCAGCTGAGTTCCACTGAGCAATATCTATGGGCACATGAGGCACAGAGGAGTCCCCTGACCGAGCCCTGCCTAAATTCCTGACTTACAGAATCTGTGAGATATGATAAAATGGTTGCTGTTGAATCCATTAAGCTTTGGATCACCTGAGATGCAGCCATAGGTAATCAGAATGTGGTACCAGAAGTGGTAGCTTTGAACAGATATTCTCTCTTTTGTTTTGAGGCATAATACTGCAAAGTATTGAACTGCAAAGCCATAGATATTCTCTTTTGTTTTGAGCCATAATACTGCAAAGTTACTTTGAACACTTTAAGAAGGAGGAAACAGATTCAGAGAGTTCAGAATTGGTGGGGTATCAATTCAAACGCCAGCACTGAGGAATTGACGAACTCAGCCAGGCTTCAGCCTTCCTCACTGTACCACAGTTCCCACTGGCATCATTAAAGACAGCTGTTTCATGGGATAATGAATAGGCCTCTTTTGACCTTCAGTGTCAGTCAAGCTGTGTGGCTGTGATTGTGAAGAATACAACAGAGTTCATCCATTTCCAGAGATCCTTTAATGGAGATTTCCAGCAGCACCTGTAGTCACATGGTGATATGGGATGGTTGTGTCCTCACCCAAATCTCATCTTGAATTCTAGTTCCTGTAATCCCCAAATGTTGTGGGAGGGATCTGGTGCAAGGTAATTGAATCATGGGGGCAGTTACCCCCATGCTGCTGTTCTCATGACAGTGAGTGGGTTGTCACAAGATCTGATGGCCTTTTTCCCCTTTTGCTTGGCACTTCTCCTTGCTGTCGCCATGTGAAGAAGGACATGTTTGCTTCCTCTTCTGTCATGATTGTAAATTTCCTGCGGCCTCTCCAGCCATGCTGAACTGTGAGTCAGTTAAACCTCTTTCCTTTATAAAGTACCCAGTCTTGGGTATGTCTTTATTAGCAGCTTGAGAATAGACGAATACACATGGGGACTACACAGATGGCTGAGCATGATATTTGGTGCATAGATTAAGCAGAAAAGATTTGGAAATTAGGGTCAGGAATTGTTTAAGCTTTGAAGGGCAAAGATGGCTTGAGGAATAGCTCCTGAGGCCTGTGGGAACAACTATCATGAGGAAAGACTCAGAAAATGAGAACTGGGCATTGCCATACAACCTGGCCAGCTCTTGTCCACGGAGGGGATTCCTGTGTAACCTCTGTGTCAGGGAAGAGACTGGCCACTCAGTTGTCTCCTGAGAGCAAGGCTGAGTTGCCCCAAGTTGCATAGAAGGGTGTCTGCTCCTGGAGGGGCCTTGGGACTGGGCTCCCAGATGTCCGTAGGGGACATTCCTGGATGTGTGGTCCAGTGCATCCTGGAGTTGCAGTGGAGATGCTGCCGAGTGCCTGTGGTTCAAGAGGAAAGTGGCAGGGTGGGTTTGGGCATATAGTCTGTTATTTAGATTCTATGCTAACAAAGGCAAAAGGAATGTTGGCCTAAGATGACAGATGATTGCTTTCTCCCAAGGTTAGCAGGCTAGGTGGGCAAAGTTGGATAGTAGTCTTTACTGGCACTTGCAGGTCCTATGGGACAATGCAAGACAGGACATGTCTTCCAACTTCCTGGTGTCAGCGTGGCTCATTGTGTCCGGCTTCTGAAGACAGCCACTCAGTTACATGCAGGCCATGGGCCTGCTTGCTCTCACATTACCCCTTCCCCCTCACACTAGGAGAAGAGTAATGTGGTTGGCAGAATAATAACCCACCAAAGATGTCTGTGTCCTAATTCCTGGAAATTGTGAATATGTTACCATACATGGCAAAGGGGAATTAAGGTTGCAGATTGAATTAAGGTTGCTAATCAATGAGCTTAAAATAGCAAGATCATCCTAGATTCCCTGCATGGGCCCAATATGATCACAAGATTCCTTATAAATAGAAGCAGCAGGAAGAAGTCAGAGGGATGCAGCGTGGGAGGACACAGCTGGCCAGTGCTGGCTCTGACGATGGAGGAAGGGGCCATGAGCCAAGGAAAGTGGTGGCCTCTGGAGGGAACGCAGCCCTCCTGAAACCTTGATCGAGCCTAGTAAGATCCATATCAGATCTCTGACCTCCAGAACAATGAGATAATGAGTTTGGGTTGTTCTAAGTTCCTATGTTTGTGGTCTTTTGTTACAGCAGCAATAGGAAACTGATACAGGCATGATTACCCACACTGTAGAGATTCTCAACAAAGACTTACAGAAACCACATAAGTTGCCCAAATCAGCAACATTCACAAGCAAAAATGACAGAGCTGCCATTTGGTCCCAGGCCCTGCAACTCTAGAATCTATGCAGTTCGACCCCCTGGTGCTGGCTGTTTGTCAGGCACTAGTGTTATTTTCTTACTCTGGAATTAGACTCGGCAAAAGTTAGAAACACCCGTATGAATGGGAGATAGAGGATGACCCCCGTGGCTTGGGATGTGTCCTGACAGGGACATTGTGTCATTGTTGCTAGACACAGCCAGGAGTAACTCAATATAAATGCAAAACTGGAGTTTTCTGGGGAAGGATAAAATAATAATAGAATTAAACTCACCATTTGATAAAACTGCAAGGGCTGTGTCTCAATTCCACCTGGCTTCCTGTCCCGGGCAGTGTGGAGGCAGAGTTCAAACTTAGGAATATTCAGAAACTGCTGAGCCAAAGGCCATGAATATTTATGAGGTGTCAGGGCTCGCCGGGTGCTGTCATGTTGGCTGGAGGAGCATGATGTGCCAGGTTTGGGTTGCTCTGCCCTCCGTCCCTGCATAATGAACTGAAGGGTGCCCTGACTTCAGCTTCTCCATCCGTCCATATGCTAAGCTAGCATTAATCCTTTCCCTGGGGCTTCATCTCATATCACTGAGTTTTTTTCCAAATGCCACCAGGGGGAAAGGTTGCATGGGCATCTCTGTCAGCTTCGTTTTTAACAAAATGACCATATTTGTGTTTTTAGCTGTCTTCTTTGTGGCCTAAGGAATTGCCTGAAGCATTCTCAGGGCCAGCCATAAGGCATGGGGCTGGGCTGGGCTGCGTTGGACAGAGATCCCTCATTCCATCTCCTCTTCTATCAGAGGAACTCCACATTTATCTGTTTTGCTTTTTGAGCTTCCCCACGAGGTTTTATTTCAAGAAGACCATCTGCTGCTACAAAAAGCTTGAGAACAATTGATTAAAAAAAAAAAAAAAACCCTATGATGGTGAAACTCTATGGGAAATTTATCAGACAATAAGTATTGACTTTACTATACACCAGGCACTTTTCTGTCACCGGAACGGAGCATCGAATAAAAGAGACAAAGATTCCTGCTTTCAAGGAGCTTACAATTTTAGTAAAGTAAAACATGATACCCTAAAAAATAATCATGGGGGGACATGTGGATGCGCCTGTCTTCTGGGCTTTCTTGGGCCTCCTAGATTGGATGTTAGCTTGGGGTCACTTTCACTCTTGGAGCATGTGTTTTCTTGCCCCTTCCTGTTATTTGATGACCTTAGGCTGCCCCACCCCCAGAAGTCCTGGAAGTCCTGGGAGTGTCCCTTGTGGACTCTGGCCCTCCTTCCCCAGGCACCCAGGTGCTTCTCTGACCCCTGTGGGCCCTTCCTGGGGTGAGGTGGTGGGGGCGGGTCACATATGGGAGCACAGCTGAGGGCTGCTTTGGGAAGAAGCAGGGATGAAGCCCCTCTCCCCGTCTGGCACCCCCAGGGTCTGACTGACTTGTGATGAGCACACCTCTTTTCATCTTGGCTCCAAGTCATTTCTCCCAGGATTTCAGCCAGATTCCATGGGCTGGATCAGGGTCACGTGGGCTGGACTCGGAGTGTGTCGTCCTCGGATGACTAAGGCTTTGTTCCGGCCTGACCTTGCCTGCCTGGCTCTCTTCCCTTGGGAAAATTCTCTTCCAAGAGGCTCGTCTGTCAATCCCCCCTCAGAATGGGCTTCAGCCGGGCAGTCTCACCAGTTTATCAGACAAGCCCTGTCTTGCCCCCATGTCACAGGTGCAGCTTTTCCTCATGACATGACCCCTCCCTACACAAGTCTTCTGCCCTTAACCTGAGGGGGAGTTTCTCTCCTCCCCACGTAGGCCACGAAGTGGAGCAGCTGCCCTCTCTTCACTTCACCTCCATGCTCCCAAACAACATTGTCGCTTTTAAGACAGTCACCACTGAGAACGCTGGGCAAGTCCCAGAGGCTTACGAAATTTTACAGAGCGCATCCTTAGACCTGCAGACTACGGGGGGAATAAAGCCTCTCCTTCAGTTTGCAGATGGAACTGAAAGAATTTCTACACAGTAAACAGATTCACCTGAACTGGCCGAGTCTCAGCAAGGTCTTATTGAATTCTAACACACAGTGTAACAGTCAAAAGTAATTCCGCTTTTACCTGGGCCTCTTGAAGGACAGTAAAGATGATCTAATCTTAGTCCCTGGCAGCTTTCCTTAAACCCACTGCACTCACCCTCCAGTGTTCTCAGACCGCACCCTCCCCTTCCCTGGTCCCCCAGCCTCAGCCCCGGTCTGCACATCGTGTTCCTCAAGCTTTCCTCCCCTCTTGGATTGGAGGATGGAAGGTTGGAAAAGCTCACATTAATACATTATGTTCCGGCTCATCCCTTTTTTAGTTTTATTTATTTATTTTTTGAGAGTCTGGCTCTGTTGCCCAGGCTGGAGTGCAGTGGCATGATCTGGGCTCATTGCAACTCTGGCTCGAGTGATCCTCCCACCTCAGCCTCCTAAGTAGCTGGGACCACAGACATGTGCTAGCATGCTCAGCTAATTTTTGTATTTTTTTAGAGATGGGGTTTCCCCATGTTGCCCAGGCTGGTCTCGAACTCCTGGACTCAAGTGATCCACCTGCCTCGACCTCCCAAAGCGCTGGGATTATAGGTGTGAGCCACTGTGCCCTGGTCCCTTTTAAAAATTCTTGGTGGAGCCAGTTCAAACTCCCAATGTCGCTCAATCTGGTTTCTCTCTCCTGTGAAGTCGCTTTCCTCTGCCACTGCAGCTCCAGAGGCCTGAGGACAAATGTCAAGGTCAAGGGTAGCAGAGCTGCTGTCTCGTGGCCCAGACTGACCTGCTGGCTTTCCCCTGGTCCTTGCCTTTCTTTCTTAAGGACAGTGGCTTGCGGGGGAGGTGGACTGGTAGGAACAAGTCAGATGTTGTTGGCACTTGTGTCTTGTTTCGTGCATGTGATGTCTTAAACAATTTTATTACATTCAAAGCAGTGCATTTTACATGAAAACCCAGGTTTCTGGCATGTCTTGAGAAGCTGGGACATTTGGTGACTCCGTGTCCCCAGGGAGCAGTCAGCTGAGAAGGTTCCCTTAGACCCAGTTTGTTTCTTCAGTTCACACAGTCCTGCTTGGCCCACGCGCTCCTTTTCCTGTCCAGCCCCTGCAGGCATTTGAGTTTTCAAGCTTGCCTTTGTTGTAATGGCTTTGGAATAGCTTGCATTATTTATAGTGCTCCCATTTAGTTTCTGTAGGCCACACACATTTTGACCCAAGTAAGAACTGTATACCCAGATATTAAGAGGGGCAGGGAGGAGATGAAGGTCTCCAATTGCCTACCCTTGTAATTCCTTACTGCTGGTTCAAGTCAGGGAGATTCTTCCAACAGTGCCCCTTCCTCAAAATGCAGGTGGCTGGGGAAGATGATGGCATGGCTTCTCTTGGACCAGGTCCTGGCTGCCCTGGACATCATTTCTGTTGCTTAGGTTGAGTCGTGGGTTCATGTGGGGTCTCGAACACCATCAGGCAATGGTGGTGAACCCCACCGCCCCTAAACGCGATGCAGCCTTCTTGGAGTGCTTTGCTCAGTCTCCTTCCACCTGAGCAAGGCAGCTCTCCACAGGCCCCTGCCCCGGCACTGGCATGCAAGAAGCAAAAAGAAAGCCTTCACAGCATTATTTCTTTCTAAGATTCAAGTGAAAGTCGGCACCTAATGGCTTTTGGCACAGTTGTTTCTTCTTTAGGGACACACATATTGTACAGTGGAATTCAAAACATTTCTATGGTTAGGTTGTGCTAAACAGTATAAAATTCTTCCACATTTTAAAAGAAGGCATAGCCCTTAGCTAAACCATGGATACTTCAATAGAATGTTTTAAAACTTTTTGTTTTTAAAAAAACTATAGATTCATAGGAATTGCAAGAACAGCGTAGAGCAGATTTGTGTGTGCTTTACCCAGTCTCCCCCAATACTAATATCTTATAGATTTGTAATATGCGACGGGAACTCATGTTAAAACCTAATCCCCCCTGTGAAAGTATTAAGGGGTGGGAAATCTGACTATGGTATTGGAGAGGTGGGACCTTTGGGAAGTGAGGATGGAGCATTAGTGGCTCTTTTATAAGAGGAGAAAGAGATACTTAAGCCAGCATGCTCAGTCCCCTCACCATGTGATGCCCTGCACCACCTCGGGACTCTGCGGAGAGTCCCCACCAGCAAGAAGGCCCTCACCAGATGCAGCCTCTAGACTTTGGAATTCGCAGCCTCTGGAACTCTAAGGAATAAATTTCTTTTCTTTATTAATTACTCAGTCTTAGGTATTCCAGTTATAGCAACAGAAAATGCACTGAGACAGTACAATATCAAAACCAAGAAATTGACCTAGGTACAATCCACAGATCTTATTCAGATTTCATGCACTCGTGTGTGTGTGTTTCTAAGCAATTTTGTCACATGTGTAGATTTCTATAACCACCACCTCAATCAAAATACAGAACTGCTCCAACCCTCCCAATATCTCTCATGCTGCCCTCTTATTGTCACATTCGTTCTCCTCTACCAACCCTATGCAACCACTAGTCTGTAAATAAAATTATATCATATTCACCCTTTTAGAGATTGGCTCTTTTAGGCTGGGCGCGGTGGCTCATGCCTATAATCCCAGCACTTTGGGAGGCCGAGGCGGGTGGATAACCTGAGGTCAGGAGTTCGAGACCAGCCTGGCCAACATGGTAAAACCCCCATCTCTAGTAAAAATACAAAAATTAGCAGAGCAATTTTTTTTAACTGCTGATTAGTATTCCTTCGTGTGGACATACCACTGTGTGTTTAACTCTTCTTCCATTGATGGACATCTGGGCTGTTTCTGTTTTTGGCCATTATGAATAAATCTGATATGAACATTTAAGTACAGATTATGGTGTGGACATTCCAATATGACATTTTGTTTATCATTTTCAAGAGAAAAAATACATTGTTCTTTGTAGAGAAATTCTCATAAAAAGACTGACCCCTGACTTACCTTTTACAACCCACCCCACATCTCCTCCTTCTCTCCTCCCTGTTAGAGTCATTCACTTAAAACACTTTCATTGAGCATCTGTTGTAAGTGAGGTTGTTTCACAAGCTGTAACAAATCCTGCTTCCTGAAGCTGTATTCCAAACACAAACAAGATCATATCAGGTAAGTGCTCTGGAGAAGATAAAACCAAGCAACGAAGTGGAGAGTAGGGTTAACGAGCGGTAGGATGGAGAAGAATCACTGGCAGAACTTCCAGAAAAGTCTGTGCAGCTATGTTTCCTAGGCAGGGATGTTCACACCCTTCACAACACATGGCAGAGCAACACCTCTCAGATTTTGATGTACAAATGAGTCACACCAGGATCTGGTTAAAATATAGATTCTGGCCAGGCGCGGTGGCTCACGCCTGTAATCCCAGCAATTTGGGAAACTGAGGTGGGCGGATCACAAGGTCAGGAGTTCGAGACCAGCCTGGCCAATATGGTGAAACCCTGTCTCTACTAAAAATACAAAAATAACCCAGGCATGGTGGCAGGTGCCTGTAGTCCCAGCTACTCGGAAGGCTGAGACAGGAGAACCGCTTGAACCTGGGAGGCGGAGGTTGCAGTGAGCTGAGATCACACCACTACATTCCAGCCTGGGTGACAGAGCCAAAGTTCATCTAAAAAAAAAAAAAAAGTGCAGATTCTGGTTCTCTGGGTTGGGATGGGGCCCAGATCCTGCATTTCTTAGAGCTCCCAGGGCATGCTGAGGCTGCAGGTCAGGGATCAACACTTGAGAGTAGCAGGTGCTAAATTAAGTTATGAGATGAAGCCCCAAGGAGCACACAGCACCTTAATGGTACTTGATGGTAATTTCTTGGACGTTGTTAAACAAGCATCTCTGTGTGTGTGTGTTTATGGAATTGGATTCAGGGTTCCTGTGAATTTTAAATATAAATAAAGAGACCTACTTCGTGCCAACTCTTTAGGACTATGACTCCACCCCTGAAATATGTGTTCACCTTTCTGTCTGGAATGCTTTGGTGGAAGTTTTTGAGAGGCATTGCCTGTGGGCCTTTGCTAGCACACTTACTTGGGAAGAAAGCCCAGCCCTGGTTGCTGGACCCATGGCTTCTCAGGACCCCATCTCCTCCTCTGAGCCTGGCCCCTTCAGAAAAGCCCTCTGCCATTCCAATGGGCGTGGAGCTCAGCGCACCTCTGGAGGCCACTTGCTTTGGGATTTGCCTTTGGAGCCTGAGGCACGTTTACTGAATCTCCTCTGTAGGGCAAACTCATGTCCTCTGAGGACCCAATTAAACTTTAAAGAGAGACTCGACTTCAAAACCCTTTCTTTTCAGTAGCAAACTCCCCAACCTCCCCTGAGTCAGATTTAAACAATGCCTGCATTTTAGTTTGATATGCAGTTCTTGCCTAGGAGCTCATCATAGGCTCAGAATTAATTTGCCCCATTAATTTACCCCAGAATTAATTGTTGCACCTTCTCTTCCAACTTTTTCCTCCGGGATCTCGCTTGGGTGAGGCCGTGTTTGGGAAGGCTCTGTACATTTCATTCTATAACCAGACGACTTGGCCTGAAATGGTTGAGCTTAACAGGGGTGGAGGTGGGGTGGGGTGGGAGTGGTGGGGGGCAGGGCAGGACAAGGGCTTCGGGAGTGGGAGAGGCTTATCACTTCCCCAAAGGCCTGCAGCTCCGGCAATGATAAAAGCTAACTCTCAGTCATCAGCTTCCTTGCTATTCATAGGCGGGTCCAAATCCTCCTTTGCCTTCCAGCAAAGAGAAGCTTGGAAATTCCTTCAGAGGAGAGACCTTGTTTGTCACAGGCAGAAGAGCCCTGGCAGCCGGAAGCCTGATGAGGATTTGGGTCCACACTGCTGGGGCTCACAGACCTGAAGTAGACAAGGCCTGGCCTGTGGATGGCGGATTCTGCGCAGCCTCCGGCAGGGAGGGGTTGGGAGGTGGTGGTGGCCCCCTTGTTCCCTTTTCCAACCATAGGACTCCGCAGGCCCCACATAAGCTTGGAGGAGGTGCCTTTTTTTTTTTTTTTTTTTGAGATGGAGTCTCACTCTGTCACCCAGGCTGGAGTGCAATGGTGCGATCTCGGCTCACTGCAACCTCCGCCTCCCTGGTTCAAGCGATTCTCCTGCCTCAGCCTCCTGAGTAGCTGAGATTACAGACGTGCACCACCACACCCAGCTAATTTTTGTATTTTTAGTAGAGACGGGGGTTTCATGATGTTGGTCAGGCTGGTCTCGAACTCCTGACCTTGTGATCTGCCCGCCTCGTGCAGCTGTGTTTCTTAGGCAGCTGGGATTACAGCCATGAGCCACGGCACCCGGCCTTGAGGAGGTGCCATTTTTGAGGGTTGTTAGGCCCCGCATGCTGGCACTCAGGAAAAGCCGTGCCTCTCTTCTTCTGGGCATCTGGCTGGACTACACTTCCCAGGCCCTCGCAGGCAGTGGGAACCGAGTAACTGAGATGGGCGGAGGAATGAAGGCAGAAGCGTGGAACCCCACGGCCAGGCAGGATTCATCCTCTTTCTCTCTTTCTCTCTGTCTCTCTCTCGGTCTCTTTCTCCCTCCCCTTGCTCCCTGAGAACCCTGTAAGCCACGTGTTGAGGATGGCAGCACCCCCAAAGAGCAGCAAGCTGGGTCCCTGAAGGAAGGTGTGGAGTAGAGTCCCCCCAACCTCTCCTCCCCTCTGCCCTACAGATTGAGCTGGAAACAGAAACTTCTGCAGTGTTAGACCAGCGAGGTTCCAGTGCTGCTCCTCCCACCAGCCAGCCTTCCCTGACAGGTACAGCCGCTGAAGTCACAGGACAGGAAAGGCAGACAGACCCTTTGTGGGGAGTCCATCGACACCTGGGGTTCATGCTCCCCTGGGTCCTGACTGCCTGTCGTGGCGGCATAACTGGGCGCAGGGCGGGGAGAGTCTAAGGTCTAATAAGGGTCTTAGCTGCTATTTTCAGATTATTTCCTGCATAGGCCTTCCTGTTCTTCATTTACGAACATGATAATTCTTAGCTGGATATAAAAGTCTCTATATTCAGTGTAGAAAATGAGGGCCATATGTAAAATTAGAAAGAAAAAATAAAAAATCATCCATTATTTCCTTATTCAGAGATCATTGCTGGCAACTTTTTGCTGTTCCTTTTCCAGTCTTTGCAGGCATGTACATGCAGGTATATTTGTGCACATATGTGTGTGTGTTAGAGAACAAATACATTTATATATAGTATCTCGCTCTCGCTATATTATATTGTATTTTCTTTCTTTCTTTCTTTTTTTTTTTTTTTTTTTGAGACAGACTCTCACTCTGTTGCCCAGGCCGGAGTGCAGTGGCGCAATCTCGGCTTGCTGCAACCTCTGCCCCACTCCCGGTTCAAGCCATTCTCCTGCCTCAGCCTCCTGAGTAGCTGGGAGTATAGGTGCATGCCACCATGCCCAGCTAATTTTTGTATTTTTAGTAGAGACAGGGTTTTGCCATGTTGGCCAGACTGTTCTCATACTCCTGACCTCAGGCCATCCGCCAGCCCTGGCCTTTCAAAGTGCTGGGATTACAGGTGTGAGCCAGTGTGCCAGGCTGAGCATTTTCTTATGTCATTAAAATCTTGAAAGATAGTTTTACTGGATGAATAACATTCACTTAATGGCTATATTCTGATTTGTTTAAACCTTTTTGCATTGTGGGCCTCTAGAGTTGCTTATAATCCACTATATGCAAACTGCTGAGCATCTTTGTACGTGGATCTTTATTCAAATCTTTGCTGGAGCCCCAAGATACACCTTCAGGCAAGGTTCTTAGGAGTGAAATTAGTAGATAACAGACTATGATAGTTCTTTTTGAACCTCAGGCTAAACTACTTTCTGGAAAGAATATGATTTATACTCTCACCACCTGGGCATGAGGGGAATGATCTTCACTCTCTTTAGAACTGAGAATACTTTTGCATAATTTTTTTGTATATTACCGTATTGAAAGAGTCAATAGAAGTAGAAATCTTATTCAAACCACTGGTTCTTAATTTATTTGAGGGAAGGGGGTTTAGATTCATTTAAAGTCCTGGAAAAATAAATGGATCCTCAGTTTTCCTTTATTCCCCCCGACCCCATGCACACATTCAGCGTTTAGAATGGATTAATGGGGGAAGAGGAGAAAACAGTGAGACCAATGAGGACACTGGTGAGGGAGAATGGAGGCTGGGAGGGAGTGGGGGCAGTGAGGATGGAGGGGAGAAGATGCGTCTGTGTGAGAGCAAGGGGTCCTGCTGACCACTTGGACCAAATGATGGGAGAAGGGGAGAGAGGAGCTGACATTTGGGCTTTGGACTTTTCAAATTATTATGTTATTTGTTAACACTGCACCAAAACCCTCACTGCCCCAGAATAATTTGCCTTCCTCCCACCCCCTCTGTTCATTGTCCTTGATCCAGGCCTTGTGTTAAGTGGTGTGAATACAACACTGAGTTCACCGACTCCCCCTTCCCCCATAGGAGGAGGAGAAGATAAACAACAAATAAAAAATGAAAAAATAAAGTGTTCAGCTTATGATAAAGTGGAATAAGAACAGAGAATGGGCACTATGCTAGAGAATGCTGAGGGGCATGTCAGTTATCTATTGCAGTGTAACAAATAATCCCAAACTTAGTAACTTTAAACAACAAACATCTATTATCTCAGTTTCTGTGACCCAGAATATGGGACAGGCTTAACTGGGTGGTTCTGACTCAAGGGCTTTTATGAAGCTTCAGTCCAGCTGTTGCCCCTGGCTGAGATCTCATCTAAGGCTCAACCGGGGCTGAAGGATCTGCTTGTAAACTCACCCATGTGGTTGTTGACAAGCCTGAGATTCTCATGGGTTGTTGGATTAAGGGGCTCAGCTCTTTGCTAGGTGTTGGGGAAGGTCTCCTTCAGTTCCTCAACATTGGAGCCTCTTCACTGATTAGCTCATAACATAGCAGCTGCCTTATCCTAGAGCAGGTGATCCAAGGGAAAGAGCAAGAGGGCAAGAGAGAGTGTGCGTCCAAGAAGGAAGCTGCAGTCTTTTTATAACCTAATCTTGAAAATGGCATACTATCACTTTTGCTGTCTTCTGTTCATTAGAAGTGAGTCTCCAAGTTCAGTTCATATACAAAGGGAAGGGAACTAATCTCCACCTTTTGCAGGAAGAAATAGCAAAGAACTTGTGGACATATTTTTTAAACCAATATAAGGGGAGAGTGGGGATTGGCATTACTTTACATAGGGTGTTCCTATAGATTTTAAAAGATATATTTAAAATACTATTGAAAGTTTATTGCAATAAACTTGTACCAGTCCATTAGCCCTTAGTTAAAAATCTTAAGGCAGATATTTCAGATTTCAGAATTTTTGAGATTTTAAAAAAGCAATACACTGCACAAAACATATGTTATGTAAAACTCCCTAGTGAGGTCTGAGGCCTGACCGTGAGGAATCAGGGTGTGAGGAGAGGCATGTGGTTGTGGTGGTGGGCATGGGAAAGAAGGGTGAGCCAAGGCAGTGAGGCATCACAGGGACTCTGGGCTTGGTGAGAGAGGGAGGAAGGGCAGATGGGCCCTGAGGTCTCATGCCAGTGAGAAGGAAGGTCCTGTTGTCAGACCCCTAAGGGGAGCTGGTTTCAGGGTAAAAGACTCTTGGATTAGATGCATTGAGTTTGAGGAGCTGAAGGGGCCTTCAGGGTAGAGAAATGGTCCCAGTCACTCAGAAGTTATCATGAAGACAGCCCTGATTGGGGTGATGGTGGCTTCACCATGGGATATTAATTAAATACATTAATATCTCTACAGTGAAACCTATGAATATTCACACCATGCAGGATAAATATAGACTTTGAATAACCTCATGTTAGTTAAGGTCAGATTTGCATACAAACAAATTTACGTCAAATGTAGAAAAGAACACTTTTTGTTTTCCAGAGCATTTGGATTTTGCCATTGCAGATAAGGAGCTGTGGACCCATAATAAATCTTTAATAATATACTCATCTAAAGTAAGGAATACTTTGTTGTAAAGTAAGGAATATTACTTGTTATGGTCTGAATATTTGTGTTCCTCGAGAATTCATATGTTGGAACCTAATCCCCAATATGATGATATTAGGAAGTGAGGCCTTTGGGAGGTGATTAGGTCATGAGAACAAAGCCCTCATGAATGTCATTCCTACTCTTATTAAAGAGGCCCCAGAGAGCTGCTGTGCTCCCTCTACCACGTGAGCACACAGTATGAAGTCACCATCTATCAACCCAGGAGTGCATTCTCATCAGACACTGAATCTGCTAGGAACTTAATCTTGGAGTTCCCACCCTCCAGAACTGTGATAAATAAACTGTTATGGATAAGCCACTCAGTCTATGGCATTTACTATGGCATACAACAAGATATTGCCTAAATTATTTCTTTATCAAATATCATAAAAAATTAATAAAAATCATTTTAAAAAATCCTAAAACCCCTCAGGGGATTGTGAAAGGAGTTTTTAATTACAAAGATTGGAATCTCCAGAGGCAGGAATAGAGAGCGATAACCTAAGAGAGGGAGATTGCAGCCATACCTTGAAGGTCTTTGAATGGGGGCCTGAGATCTCTAGCCTTGATCTTGGAAGTTATGGGGAGCCCCTGAAGTATATCAACCAGAGTGCAGAATTGTGCCTTCTGAGCCAGCCTGGGATGTGCAGGGGAATGGGAGTCAATAAGTCTTCTTACATCTGGATTCAGCAAATGCTCTTTCCATGTGTTCCTTGCACTCTGTGGGACCAGCACTGCAGACCTGCAGCAGGGCGACCTGGTACTCCTCCTCTCCCGGCTCTCTCCGTAGTGAACGAATTGTTTAAATGGAGGCTTCCTCACACAAGTTCCTCATCTTAGATCCTTTAAATCTCAAAAGTCTCCCCAGAGCAGACACTTCCCCATAGGCACTGGAGCAGAGAGGGATGGAAGCTGTGACCAGGCAGACCTGTGAGGAATCAGGGTGTGAGGAGAGGCATGTGGTTGTGGTCGTGGGCATGGGAAAGAAGGGTGAGCCAAGGCAGTGAGGCATCACAGGGACTCTGGGCTTGGTGAGAGAGGAAGGAAGGGCAGATGGGCCCTGAGGTCTCATGCCAGTGAGAGGGAAGGTCCTGTTGTCAGACCCCTAAGGGGAGGTGGTTTCAGGGTAAAAGACTCTTGGATTAGATGCATTGAGTTTGAGGAGCTGAAGGGGCCTTCAGGGTAGAGAAATGGTCACAGTCACTCAGAAGTTATCATGAAGACAGCCCTGATTGGGGTGATGGTGGCTTCACCATGGGATATCCCTTAAAAGGCTCACCCACAGGACTTTGGTGAGGCTCAAGAAAGAACCTGCTTTATAAAAGGAAGCACAAGCTAAATAAAAGCTAGTTTTGCTGTGAGCTAAGCTGATTTTAATTGTTTCTTTATATTGGAAAAGAAAGAAAGAAAGTGTGTGCTGGGTTGTGCCTTGGTGAAGCTGGGAAGGGGACACCAGTGTTCCCATTAGAGACTCTTCCAAAGTCTTTCAATGAGGAAAGGGCAGGGCAGATGGTGAGGAAAC
Source organism: Homo sapiens (assembly GCF_000001405.40). Taxonomy (NCBI): domain Eukaryota; kingdom Metazoa; phylum Chordata; class Mammalia; order Primates; family Hominidae; genus Homo; species Homo sapiens. The sequence goes on along the minus strand of NC_000002.12, from coordinate 234,852,565 downwards.
AGACCAGCTTGCCTCTTGCTAGCTACCCTGATGACAAGTTTAGAGAGAAGCTGAAAAGGGACAGAATCATATATTGAAATATTAATTTATGTTTTATTTTGCCTCTGTGAAAGGGTCAGGAAAAAAGAGAAACATTTTTCTTCTCCCTCTTTAACTCCATCACCATTTTCTTCTTTAAGTTCCAGAAAATCTGGACTCCGTTGGCACCCAGGTTGGAGTTTAGAAGTTTTAGAAAAGAGCTGAGCTGCATGGCCCAAAGGTCATGTGGGGCTTTGGGAGCCATGGGACATGGGTGGAATGTGGCCAAGAGCTTTGCCCAAGTTGGGAAAGGGGGCAGAGGCTTTTGTGTCTCAGGACTTGTGGGCACCTTGCCTTGCTCTTCACAGCATGAGGGAGCTGGCAGGTGCAGGGTGGGGTGATGCTTCCAGGGATGGCTGGACCCTAAGCTCAGAATACTCCAGCCTGCATGGATATCCCCATGTCTATGCTTGCACATGGAGCCTGTCAGAGGTGACTGGTGGTCATGGACACGAGAAGAAACAGATATCAGCTTCCGGACAATGGCAGCTCCATGGGTAGAGGAAGGAGACTCAGAAAAGGCTGCCACTGGATTTACCATCAGTTCAGTGCTGGTGGCATACAGAGAGCATGTGACACTTGTTTCATTGAAATACCAAAAAAAGGCATTTCTCACATCTTGTGTGTTGGAAAAAGCCACGCTGTGTACCAAACCCTACTATAGTACTCTGTCTTAGTCCATTTGTGTTGCTATAAAGAAATACCTGAGGCTGGGTGATTTATAAAGAAAAGAGGTTTCATTGGCTCGTGAGTTCTGCAGGCTGTACACAAAGCATGCTGCCAGAATCTGCTTCTGCATGAGGGCTTCAGGAAGCTTCCAATTATGGCAGAAGGCAAAGGGGGCGTCGGTGTCACATGATGAGAGAAGAAGGAAGTGAGAGAGAGAGGAGGAGGTGCCAGGCTCTTTTCAAAAACCAGCTCTTGGGAACTCATAGAGCAAGAACTCATGACAGCAAGGATGGCACTAAGCCGTTCCTGAGGGATCTGTCCCTGTGACCCAAACACACCTCCTATTAAGCCCCACCTTCAACATTGGGGATCATATTTCAACATGAGATTTGAAAGGTACAAATATCCAAACCATATTACACTCCTTTCAAGTTACCTTTTCTATCCCAGTGCTCTGAGAGTGGTCGAACTGTGGTTGCTTTTGTCCCTTATTCTGTTTGCGTTCTCCTTATCAACCTTGAAGGATATGATTGCTCTTCTCCAGGTAGCTGAGCCCTGTAAGTAGTTTGCACAGTGTCTATATGCTTCCTTCTCCTTCTTCAAGCTCTCAGGTGTCGCATTTGCCTCCTAGTTACCATGTTTCAGCAGAAAGTTTAGTAGTTGTTGAAGTGACAATATTCAGACACCAGATGTGGAAGTCCTGTGACGTTGGTTGCAAAAATGACTGCAGCTCTCCGCTGCTTCCTGTATGCACGCCCTTTCCAATGTGACCTTGGAGACTGTCCTGTCAGGGGGTGTGTAGGGGGATGGAGTCTGTTTCTCATTCCTGGCACCTGGACTATCTTTGTCCCTTGCTCTAGGCAGTAGAGTGTGGCAGAAATGAAGGCAAGCTAGCTCTGAGTTAGGCCTTAGGAGGCAGTGGGCACTTCTAATTACCTTTGAAATCTCCCACTGCCACAAGCTCAAGAATAATCCATTCTAGCTTGCTGGAGGTCGAGATCCACATGGAGGAGAGCTGTGGGGTTCCAGCCACAGACGTCAGAGACCAATCAGCCTGTAGCTGACCCATCAGTGGAGCAAGCCTAGCTGAGATCAGCCTGGCCGTGCCCAAGCACCTTATAGACCCATGAAAAACAATAAACTGTTGTTGTTAAACATCAATAAATCTTGGGGTGGCTTGCTGTGTAGCAACAGTTGACTGCTAAAGCTTGCATACCTGGTGACAGAGTTTGGATGTTTGTCCCTCTAAATCTCACGTTGAAATGTAATCCTGAGTGTTGGAGATGGGGCCTGGTGGAAGGTGTCGAGGTCATGGGGGTGGGTCCTTCTTGAGTGTCTGGGTTCTGTCCTTGCAATAGTGAGTTCCCTTGAGATCTGGCTGTTTAAAGGTGTATGGCACCTTCCTCCTCTGTCTTGCTCCTGCTCTCACCATGTGACATGCCTGCTTCTGCTTCGCCTTCTGTCATGAGTAAAAGCTCCCTGAGGCCTCACCAGAAGCCGAGCAGATGCAGGTACCATGCTTGTTCAGCCTGCAGAACTGTGAGCCAATTAAATCTCTTTTCTTTATAAATTGCCTGGCCTCAGATATTTCTTTATGGCAGCACGAGAACAGACCAACACACCTGGGCAGTCCTGGATTCTCCAGGCGCATCACAAACAAAACCAGTTAGACATTCATTCAATCCCAGAGCGACTTCCTTTCTCATTACTTTTTTAAAAAATAAATTTTTAATAATCTCAAGCCTTCCTGGCTCTCCATAGAATTCTTCCTAGCACAACATTTCTATTTTAATCATATAACCTCCAGGATTCAGATGCACCAAATGCAACAATTGATGAACGTCTGAATCTCCACTGGTTTCACTTTCCAGATCCAGGTTGATCTATGATTCTTCTACAGAATCATAATCTCCATATATTTATCCCCAAGAGAGGTTAAATCAGGTGCTTCATTATCTGGAGTTCTCAGGAAGTAAACCGTCAGCCAGATGCTGCTTAGATTTATGCTTCTCTGGCATGTGGTGCAACCGGCCGAATTTCTAAATTAACATCTAAGATGTGCTCCAAGTAGTCTTAATTTGCTTTCTTTTCTTCTTCTATTTTTTTTTTTTTTTTCACAAAAATAGTGCTGAGATGCAGGCATCCGTGCCTGGTTCCTGCCTCTGTGAGGCTCAGGACCAGGCTGTCTTGCTGGCGTTTGATTTCTCACACATTGGAAGTTCTTCAGTTATCAGCAGAGGCAAGAGGCATATTTTTATGCTGGGGTCTTTGAGTGTCACAGCAAATTAAATGGTGGTCCTTCTGGTAAAGGAAGAGGCTAAGTGGGAAAATATATGAAAATTAAAGCAATCCACTAGATGTTTTTTTCTTTTTTTTTTTGCAGTAGGAACAGCATGCCGAAGTGAACACTACTGACTTCCTTTAAAATTTTTCACAATGCCTTCTGTTTTATCTAGAAATTGAGCTTTAAGGGAAAATAGAGTGACAGAGACAAAAGGAAAAGTGTAATCCCTTTGGCTTCTTCCAGTAAGCTTTAGAACTCAGCACCCAACCCTTCTGTAAGACAACAGATAGGAAAAGATGCCATGGTCTGAAAGGAGAAGAGAGGAAACGAGAAACTAATATTCATTGAATATCACTATGCAGTGATATTCAGTGATCAGATGCTGGGTTACAGATATTCTTCCATCAGGGCGTCACTGAGTCCAAACCTGATGACTCTATGGATTTTAAAATGAGGGCACAGTTGAGACGCCAGCAGTTATGGTTTTGATATCTGGGTCTCTATGGAAAAGGGAAGCACTGGGTCATGTTTAAAAGCCAAGAGGCCTCCCACTAGGATGAAGAGCAATATTTGATTAAAAAAGTAAAGTGAAATTGAGAAATTTAGATAGTGAGTAGTAGTTCTGAGGTCTCCAAAGAATGCAAATTAAAATTTCTGATGCTTGTGAAAATATCTGCCCTTGAGATTTGTTCTATATTTATACCCCCAAGCCTGACCTGGGAGAGTGGGTCAGATTGTATTTCAAAGTACTTCCTTTCCAAAACATTCCTAGCAAAGGATGAAAGAAAAGGGGCAGCCCATTGTGTAGAAGTTGAGTGTGGCAAGGAGAATGAATTAGGACTCCAAGATTTTGGGTGCACTGAGAGAGGCCACCATGATCTGAGTGGGCAGAAGGAATCTTTCAGGGCTACAACAGGTTCATTTTCAACTGCTGTCTGGAACTGGGGCCTCCTGGGGTGACAACGGCAGGCAGCCCTCCCCTGCTGCAGCTGCTGAGAAGGGAAGAGAAATGACTGATTGAAGACGGGCTTCGGGCTAGAAACTCTGCTAAGCACCTTCATATTTACAATCCTGTTTAACCCTAAAAAGAAACCCTATCACACAAGACTAGTTACCCCAAATTTGCAGATGAGATGAAGTAACTGAGCATCAAAAACATTTGGTAATATGCCTACCTGAGTGAAGAAGCAGCATTAGGATTTGACCTTGGATTTCTGTTGCTACAAAGCCTGTGGCCGTATCATAAGACATGGACAAGAGGTATTAGAAAACCCAGAGTCCACAGGCCCAAGAGGAATAAAGCCCCTCCTCCTTTTCCCCAACCTGAGAAATTGTGTGTGTGTGTCTGTTTGTCTGTGCGTGTGTGTGTGTGTGTGTGTGTGTGTGTGTGTGTGTATTTTGAGAGGGGAAGGAAGAGCTCCCAGGCACGAGAAATGTGAGCGTCTCTGGAGCTTGGTTGATGTTTGGCATCATCAGCTTTGGAAGGTGTAGATAAGGACAGCTGGGGGTGAGGACATGGGGAAAAGTCTGTGGACAGAGCCTGGGGCACACCCACACCTATGGCTGGAGAGGGCTGACACTGGACTGCACATCAGGGGCCCCAGAGTAAGTCAGCATGACAGTCCTTGGGTGAGTTTTGTCTCAGTTTTCCCAGCTGTACAATGGGAAGGTGGCCGAGGAGGTGAACGCAAGTAGGGCTTATGGGATGGGACTGAGAGCATGTGGGGGAGATATGGATGCTGTGAGGTTAGTGGGGGCTGAGAAGCAGAAAAGCGAGACGGGGAGTCGGGGTCCTGTAGCTGATGCTGGTGGTGGCAGGGGCCACACATGCATCCTCACCACAGCCAGCGGCAGGGTCATGCTTAGAGTTCAGTCAGTGAGCAGTTCTTCAAACTCAGTAATTATCTGGTTTTCGTCGGCTGGCAAATGCCTATTGGGCATCTGCTCTGGCCCCGGCATTCCACGAGCAGTTGGGCTGCACAATGACAAGATTGGGCCCTATCAAAAAGGACAGGCATTTCAGTGGGGCGACAGGAACGCAGACCAGTCCTGCAAGAGGAGGCCCTCTCCTCATTGCCTGATGTCCTTTGCTCTCTTTTCTCTTGTCTGAGCAGTAAGTTGCTTAATTGCTTGGCCACCTGTCCCCCACCCCTTGCCCCAAGGTGGTCATGAGACGAAGCACAGGGCTGCGTTTTGGGTGCCTCTCTCTTCACTCTTCTGCCAAACAGGCCTGAACTCATGATGCAATCCGCCGCCTGGGGCAGGACTAGTCAGGTGTCTCTTTTTCCACATCTTCTGGAACACACCTAGGAGGAGTTTCAGAAGGACCCAGACCTTCTGTGCTGACCCAGGGCCCTTCCTTCTCCTCTCTCCATCCCCTGTGGGATTTGACTATGCTGGTCCAAGGATTTTGTTTTAAGCCTAAGCCAGGGGTTTTATTTCAACTCTTACCTGAGAGCCCTGCAGTAGGGGTGTCTGGTGCTTCCTCATGAATACAATAGGGTCATATCTGTGCCCACCTCATAGGACAGCTACAAGGGTCCCAGGAGAAGGTCGCATAAAGCCCTTAGAACAGGCTCTGCACAGAGGAAGTGCTGGTGACTGTAATCAGGCCGTAATTACGCAGACTGGCTGTGAGTAAAGAGACTCTGTTGCCTCTTTGGCCATTGCTTGCGAGTTTAGCCTTATTAGGAGGGAATTCCATGGTGAGGAGATGAATAGCAGCCCAGATGCTGGCTTTCCTCTGGGCCCCTGACCACAGCAACAGACCCAAGAAACCTCCTGAGCAAGGAAAAGCCAGTGCCGAAAACAGAGATTATGTGCGGGGAGGGAGGAATGGAGTCTACATTGAGAGCACCCTGGCCTTGGGACTCCCATCAACAAAAGGAGGTTTAATTTCAGAAGGAAGGTGATCCTGGGGGCCTGCATTTATAGCGCTCCCAACTCATGTAATTCTCAAAGTAAGCTCAGGAGGTTCACAGTTATGAATGCAGGGGCTCAGACAGGTCCCTCCACCTCATTCATTGTCACCCGCCATTGTCTCTCCTCTACCCCAGGCTCCTGCCCAGGGTGTGGGGGCGACCAACTCTTCTGTCTCCAAAATGCTATTCTATTCTCTTTCTGCCTCAACAGATAATACATTTTTCTTTGGGGATGGAATGAAATGAAAACTTTCTGAATTTTGGCACTGTGTCTCTTTATCCTTTTGAAATGCCAGGCTCTTTGCTATTTTTGCTTTTAGCTGAGATATTGTATAAAGGTCCCCAAATGTGACAGGGCTCTGGTTGTCCGAGAAGGTTTGTGGGTTGATAATATAAATAGAAGCTGGTCCTTTCATCCAGCCCAATCTTTAGAGCTTTTTGCCAGGGCTCCTGTTTGGCTCATGTTCATGTTTGCTGAACTCCCTATTTATTTTGGACTTTGGTTTTTAGACCGGGTGACTCTGAATATCAATGGCTTAGCAACGTGCTATTTTTCATGAACACACCCCCAAAGTTTACTCTTTTGACTGATATTTGTGTTCTTAAAACAAAGACATTTAAAAAATAACACTATGTGCAAAAAGATGCTTATCTGTATTTATGTACAGATGGTTCTCGACTATCTTGGTTCAACTGAACAATTTTTTGACTTTACCATGGTGTGAAAGCAATACAGTGGAAACTGTACTTTGGGCACCTGTACAACTACTCTGTTTTTCACTTTCGGTACAATATTTGATAAATTACATGAGCAATTCAGCACTTTATTATAAAATGGCTTTGCATTAGAGGATTTTGCCCAATTGTAGGCTAATGTAAGTGTTCTGTGCACATTTAAGGTAGGCTGTGCTAAGCTATGATGTTTGCTAGATGAGACATAAAATGCATTTTTGACTTACGATATTGTCAACTTACGACGGGTTTATTGGGATGGAATCCCACTGTGAGTTGAGGAGCATCTGTATATATCTCTCTCTGTAAATTTCAAAGCAGACTAAATGTGCAGATAAGTCAATGACAGTTCCCCATGAGTAGAATATTATAAAGCCACTGCAAAACAACAAAGCACTACAGGCAATGCTTGTGACAGGTGAAATGGGCAGAATACCAAAAGAGTGTGAAGGCTTTACCTCCAAGTAGCTAATGTTTTGCATTATTCACATTCAACAGAGCCACCATTTATTGAACATCTGTTGTGTGCCAGGCACATAGCAAGGTGTTTTCATGTGCCTTTCTCATGAATGCTTGTGGAAAACATGAAACGGGCATCATGACTTCTGTAGACGGAAGTGTTCAGGCCAATGGTCAGGGTCAGGGTATATGGAAGGAATTCATTTGTCTGGCAGGGATTGGTTAACGGGACATGAGGGTCTGTTCCAAGCTGAGATTCCATGATCTAGCCATAACTCATACATAAATTCCACTCATCTCTCTCTGGAAGTAGGATTCCAGTCACGTCTCTCTGGACCCCTCTTTGCTTTCATCATAGTCCTGGTAGCAAAGCAACTCCAAGTACACTGAAACTAAAGGTGTGTCTGGGAAAGTTGGCCAAAGTGGACTGGCCAAAACTTTATTTATTTATTTATTTATTTATTTAGAGACAGAGTCTCACTCTGTCACCAGGCTGGAGTGTACTAGCGTGATCCTGGCTCACTGCAACCTCCACCGCCTGGTACAAGCAATTCTCCTGTCTCAGCCTCCCAGGTAGCTGGGATTACAGGCATATGCCACCACGCCTGGCTAGTTTTTGTGTTTCAGTACAGATGGGGTTTCACCATGTTGGTCAAGCTGGTCCTGAAGTCCTGACCTCAGATGATTCACCTGCCTCGGCCTCCCAAAATGCTGGGATTACAGGCATGAGCCACCATGCTCCACGTATTTTTAAAATGTAAACAGACCATAAACAATGTACAGATCTCAGAAGAGATGAAGGGGTAGAAAGTAAATGCTTGTTCCTTTTCTGTTGGCCCCAGACCCCCATGTCCCTGGCTCCCTTTTTTAGTAGCAGTCACTGCTGCCACTTCTTGCCTCACCTTCTAGAGAGTCCAAGCATATAAAATATTCTAAATATGACTGTCTTTATCCCTTGCTTTTTACACCCAAAAGCAACACGTTTCTTTTTCAAATGGTTTTCTCCCTTCTCCAATGCGACATCTAGGAGCTCATTCCACATGGGGGCATATCAATCTGCTTCATTCTTTTTAAAAGGCTGCATAGATTCAATTTATTAATTTACTTAAATATTCCTTAGCAAAGGGTCTTTAGATTGTTTCCAATTTTTCCTAATGCAAACAATAGTAGAATGAATAGCACAGACACGTATCATTTCGATACATGGGGACGTTTGTACGATAAATTCCTGGAAGAGACATGCTTTGTCAAAGGACATGAGAATTTTTAATTTTCCAAATTACTTCCATAAACGATGGGATAGTTTAATCCCCCATCCCCCTCAGTGGTATTTGAATTAGTCTCCAGACTGTTCACTTTCTGGTTCAATATATGCTAGTGGGCTGGGAAGAACACAGGTTAGTGCCAGTGGAATGGACCTGGCCAATTCACTTCTCCGTGAATCTCAACTTCCATCACCGCAAAAATGAAATGCCACCTGTCCAAGCAACATCACAACTTCTGTAAAGACTAAGTCAGAAAGCGTTCAGTGCCATAACTTGTCAACTCTGGGAGTGTTTGGGAGTGCCTTTGGTCAACTGCAAAGCTTAATGTGTGTGCTTCTCCGGGCCAGCATGGAGGCTTTGTGCTCTCCTCTCATGCGAGGTTCTGTTCAGTGGGAGTCATAACACCTTTGAGCATCCTCAGAACCAGATAAGGAGGCCAAGTGAGTGCACGGTGCCACCGTGGAAGGGGTTTGTAGAAGTCATAGGTTGGTCTGATTTCCCTCTTAAGGCTGCAGGCTGGGAGAAGGTCAAACAAAGCTCAGAGCGGCTGGATGTGTCATCCCAGCAACCTGGCCATGCCTGGTGAAATATGACAATGCCACCCTCACTAAGTAAAGAGTACAGTGACCATTGAACCCTACCCATGGCATCTGTGAAAAACTGCTTGGCTGCCGAACACCACTGTAGGAGCTGGGAAGCATAAATTTCAAATGTTCATGTCCTTTTGGGGAGAAAATGTGAGTTGAATTCTAACTTGAACATTACATTCAGAATAAAGTTATTAGCTGAGTGCTTGTTTTCTTGCAGATTCTACTGTAGTGTTACAAAATAGAGCACCTAAATAGCTATTTTTTTTGGAAAAAAATCATTATTTTTTCTGGGGGGAGGGGGTGGGGGCGGGAATGGAGTTTCACTCTGTTGCCAAGGCTGGAGTGCAATGGCGCCATCTCGGCTCATTGCAACCTCTGCCTCCCAGGTTCAAGTGATTCTCCCACCTCAGCATCCTGAGTAGCTGGGATTACAGGCTTTCACCACCATTAATTTTTGCATTTTTAGTAGAGAAGGGGTTTCGCCATTTTGGCCAGGCCGGTCTTGAACTTCTGACCTCAAGTGATCTGCCCGCTTGGCCTGCTAAAGTGCTGGGGTTACAAGCATGAGCCACTGCGCCCGGCCCATTGCATGCCTTTTAAAAGTTAATATTTCATATCTTAAGCTTAAAATAGTAAAGTAACTATATATTATACAAACTTCAGTCAATATAGAAGTGTGTGAAGTGTGAGACTCCTCAATTCCTTGTCCCTACCCGCAGCCCCAACACCTACATGCACTAGCAGGGGAAAGTTAGATCTTTACCTTTTTGAAAGCTTTTTTGGGGTGCATATTAAAAACTATGAATATGCACATGTATAAGACTATATAACCCTTTTACAAAAATGGAACCCTAGCAACACAGCGACGTGTAGGTTGGTTTTTTATGTAGATGATATTTTGATAGAGGGTGGCGATCTTTAGCTCCTAGAACCAAGGATGCATCATTTGCATTTTCCTTTGTGTTAATCCTGCACATACAGAGTGTGATGTTGAATTTTTCAGGCACACTCACCATGGTGGGGGGAGGGGTCAGAGAGTCCAGGCAATACCCTAAGAGAAGCGAGTGACCAATGCTGTGTATCCTAGAGAACATAACAGAATTCAAGAGGCATAATAGTCATCTTCAAATACCTGAGAGATTGTTAGAGGGAAGAACCGTTGCTCCATTCTGGTGGCTCCTGGAGGGGTGTCTGTGACCAGCTGATGGAAGCTTCAGGGTAGCAGAGATCAATAGACCCGAAGTGACATCCTAAGAATGTTGGTTTTGAGTCCTACTGGCTGAGTTCCAATCTTAGCTCTTCTACCTAGTAGCTGAATAAAGTCCCTGTGCCTCAGTTTCCTCATCTATAAAATGGGGTAAGCAAATACTTCTTCTGTGCTGTTTCTATGAAAAATAAAAGATATTCCATGTAAATCTCTCAGACTAGTACCTGGTGCAGAGTGAGCTCCCCCCATAACCATAATGGTCCTCCCAATGCTTTTGGTTGGTCAGCGGGCTATCTATGAGCTCTCTGGTCATTGATGGCCATATTAGCTTTCAGTGCTCAAAAGACTGACAGTCTATATCCCTATGCAGCACGACTTCAGAAAATCCCATCTTTTACCAGGTTTCTGTCATTGTGAAACTCCCCAATTCCTCCCCATTTCTGAGAATACCCTGCCTCCAGATGTGCCTGATCCTCAAGTCTGTCCTTGTTCTTTCCCTGTTGCTCAGCTGGCGGCTGACTCCTCCCCTGCTCTCTCAGATGAATGCCATTTACTGAACCAAAGTTGGCTTCCTCCAGGCTGGGTGGATCTTCCCTGCCCTGCTTCACCCAAGCATGATCCCAGGCTTCTCTTAATTCCCCACAACACAGCAAAAAACATACTGGATTGTTTAACAAAGCTTACTCCATGTAGGGAATGCCTTGGTTCCTGTACCCACCCCTGACGTCACCTGTACTATGGTCATAGTTGCTGTCTACCCAAGGGGACACATCTGCAGGTGTGGCGACACCATGGAATCAAGGCTGGGTTGCTTATGTCCTTTAAACTGTGGTCACTTGGCTCAAAGTCCAGCCCCTTGGGGCCCTTGGCCAGATCCATTTCCTTATTCTTCATTCTACTCCAGCCTGGGCAACGGTAGGCTGGTAAATTCTGTCTCAATAAACAAAACAAAAAGTCAGAAAGCCATGACTGTAGCGTTTGCCATTTTTTTTTTTTGGCATGTAAATACTCTCACCATGGTCTGTTTCAAGCTACCAACAGCTTAACATCTTGTTTGGAAAATTTCTGCCTGTTTGGTTATTGGCCTTCCAGGATGCATTGCTAGGCAGAGGCATGTGTGGTGTTCCTCGTGGCTACGTTGGTTCTGGGTATGATATGGGTACTGACAAGCAAGAAAATTGGAAGCAAGGAGCTCATTTCACCCTGCACAGAGTTTCTGTGGCAATTTCTCTTGTCTTGAGTTTCCAAACTAGAGGTCTGGGATTGAATGAAGTGAATGGGCTAAACTATCTTTTTGTTTTTTTTAACTTTAATATCCTGTATCATTGTCACAATGTAGCCTTCTTTTCGTGTATCTGTGAGACTCCTCCCTTGAACGAACCTCAAAGCTCTAGTTTGGGGATGGCAGATAGGGCACCAGGGCCAGTTTTCTGGAACCATCTATGCTATTTTTATGTGCTGGATATAAAAGACTCATGCTTTTTGACCTTTGCAGGTACTTGTGACCATCACACATGCTTCTTCCATAAAGTCTTGTCCATAAACTATTATCCACCAATTGAAATTTTGTTTAAGAAATAAAAAAGGAGTAAAAGTCCTTGGGACTCAATACTGAGGACTATTTTCGGTTCACATGCCTTTCCCTCCAAGAATCCTATCAGTCAGATTTCTGGGTTAAACTTTATTTTCACCCAGTATTTTCAATCTCTAACAGAATAAACAGCAACCCCAGGAAATAGATACATCTGCAGCTCTGCAAAGAATAACATTCCCTCCCCTCCCAGGCGGGGAGAGAGCACCGCAGTCCCCACTCCCCCAAGAAGGAGGCCAGATGCAAGGGAGTTTCCTTTCTTTGGCTGGTCTTCTAAGCAAAGTGAAGAATTCTTGGAGCATGAGTCATCTGTCCTGATTCCACGCGGCACTGCATGGCCAGGACCTCCTGGGGAAGAGGAAAAGTGAGAAAGAGGCTGTATTAGTCAGGGTTCTCTAGAGGGATGGAACTGATAGGATAGATGTATATATGAAGGGGAGTTTATTAAGGAGTATTGACTTACACGATCACAAGGTGAGGCCCCACAATAGGCCGTCTGCAAGCTGAGGAGCAAGGAAGCCAGTCTGAATCCCAAAGCTGAAGAACCTGGAGTCTGACATCCTTCAATCCAATCAAGTTGACACTCAATATTAACCTACAGAGGCGACCCACCACTCATGGTTCTGTGTCCCTGAGTAGGGCTCCCAGTCACTGCCCATCTTCTCCAGAGCTCTGCCCAGTTGTCACTTGAGGGTTGTAGTTTTCAAAGTGAGACTTAAGAACATGGGACTATATATATTTATGTATATATCCAGCAGTGTAGAGCTCAGGGTTGTCAAGAGGCCCAGAGAAGAGGGGAGCAATCTGTGCCTCTTTCTGCCTTGGTCCTGGGCCAAGGGCCATGTGCGATAATGAACGGGTCATGGCCCTGATGGGTGCATCTTAAACTGCAGTGAAGAACTCACCCTCCTCTTCTGCAGAGAGTCACCAGGGCCAACCCAGAGGCTTCGGGAAGCATACCTTTCAAAAGAGATGAGGAAGTTCTGGCCCAGATTCTCTGAATGCAAATATTCTCTATTGGTAAAAAGAACTCATTCTGGGACAAATCTTCATTCTGAGTTGTAGGCAAATTACCTTTGTGGTCACCAGACAGTAGCTCTGCCAGTTTGTTTTACAGCAAGTATGTAATTTAAGAGGTGGACATGCCCATTCCCAAAGGATTCTTTACTTTGTCACGAGATTCTTGACACAGGATTGCATAAGGTTTTCCAAGGTTTGCTGCAAGTTCATTCACTACTTGGATGGCCAGAAAAGCCTGCGATGTCAACGTCACTGTCAATTAAGGTCAGTCAGGAATGCAGGAAAAGGCCCTTTGGAATTGCCACCCAAGTCTTCCATCTGGGGTGGTTTTGCTAACAAACAAGTTCTGCAGGACCCGATGCCTTAGGACATTAGTGCAGTCTTCCTTGTCATTTAACTTTGGAATTGCTTAAGTGGGTTTCTTCACCATGACTCTTCTCAGGACTCTGCATATGAAAATTTGTGCGTGTCCTAGAGCCAGTCATGTTACAATTTCCACAATCTTATGTGACTATGTCACCCTATGGATTTGCATCTATTTTTACTGACCCTGTTCTGAGGAATCCAATTAAGTAGCTCAACTACCAATCATGCTCCACAAATCAGCTGGTGTTTAGTGCAGGAAAAGCTCTTCTGAAAAGTGTGCTTGTTTGTTTTTATACACATTGTTGATAGGGTAAATAACTCTTACATATATGCTAGAGACTTCCTGAGACCCCACCTGGTGGAGCCCGATAACCCCAGAGAAGGATTTGCTTACCCTGCTGGTCTCATTTCTCCCTTGGAATCCTGCCCTATCTGAGGAGCTGGTCAGGATGCAGCGGGGAGCTGGCATCTGTGCAAATGTCACACTCACCATCATGTCATCCACCCCACGACCCCTTCCTGAAGAAGACACAACCTCAGTTTCTTCAAATGCCTGATGTGTTAGCTTGGATTCTATCAAACAAGGACAGTGGCAGAGTTTTGGTTTTGTTATAAGAAGAAACGCTGCGTTGTGCGAGTGGTCCCAGTGTGCACGTCTGGGGTGTGCTTCAGGAAAACGTTAGGCCAATGATCAATTCCCAGGTGTCTTGACCCAATCAGTTTATTAGAAACAAGCTTTGTTTCCCTTTCTTACAAATATCTTCTCCACCACTCGAAGTCCTGGACCTGCCTGGTTTCAGTATTGTAGTGGGGTTCTCTTCCTGTAGGTGCTAAGTGGGAAAGGGAATTTGACAGCCAACCAGGCTGTTTGTTTTAAAACAGTCATCCAGGTTAGGGGTGGTGAACATAAAATATGTTCCAGAAAGGTTGTAAAATGATCCTTCCCTTGGTCATCTCCGGGAAACCGTCTTCTGAAGGTCATTTTTAGAAACAGGATTCTAAAATGAATTAAAGCAGCTCACCAAATAGCCCCTAGAGTCAGAATCCACTTGCACTTGTTATCATAATGAATTCTCAGACACAAGAGTAAAGTCAAATACTAGAAAACGGTTTTAAGGTGCTTTATTTAGCTCTTTCTGTGTGTGCATTGTTTATTGGCAGAATTCTCAATTCTTCTCTTCTGCCATTAATATTGAGTGAGCATGTGTGTGTTAATCAAAGAATAGCACTTTTGGGGGATACATTTTAAGGGTTTAAGTGTAATTATTTAGTTTAGAATTGGCTGGAATATAAGCTCCTCGGTGGAATATGTGGGAAATTATACAATGTGTATTATTGATTCACCATTGCAATACAAAGATGAACCCCTTTTTTGTGTAAAAATCAGTATAACTGCTACAATATGAGATATGCAGTAGTCCCTCTGCTGATGCTGAGGAGACTGTCAGCTCTGTGTATCCGAGGAGGCATTGGTTCCAGAATCCCTATGGATACCAACATTCATCGATGCTCAAGTCCCTTCTATAAAATGGCACAGTGTTTGCATATAATCTATCCTCATCCTCCCATAAACCTTCAATCATCTCTAGATTACTTATTATACCTAATACATGTAAATGGTTGTTGTATTGTTTTTAAAATTCATATTATTATTATTATTATTTTTCCCCTGACTATTTTTGGACCACAATGGGTTGAATCCTTGGATTCGGGTCCTGTGTTTACTGTACTGAAAATGTCAACAGCAAGGATCATGGTAGGATGGAGGGGTGTTAGGGGTTGGGCCCTGGAGTCATAAAAATTGCACTGTGTCCTGGCCTCTCTGTTTACCAGCTGTTGAATCTTGTGCCTGTTACTTAATTTCTGTGAGTCCCACTTCCCTCATCTGTAAAATGCAGAGGGCACTAGTAACTTACCTCATGGTCTGAGAATTCTTTCACTCGCTCGTTCAATAATTGATTATGCACCAACCAGGCACTGTCACCAGCTCGGGGAAATAGGACAGAGGCAGCATCTTGTGAATATTCAATACATATTGACTCTTTTTTTTTTTTTTTTTGAGACGGAGTCCTGCTCTGTCGCCCAGGCTGGAGTGCAGTGACGCGATCTTGGCTCACTGCAAGCTCCGCCTCCCGGGTTCACGCCATTCTCCTGCCTCAGCCTCCCGAGTAGCTGGGACTACAGGCGCCCGCCACCATGCCTGGCTAAATTTTGTATTTTTAGTAGAGATGGGGTTTCACCTGCATATTGACTCTTACTTCCCAAATTAGTAGGAAGAAGAGGAGAGGTGCTCTTGCCTTATAAATATCCCTTCCCAGGTGGGCGTGGTGGCTCACACCTGTAATCCCAGCACTTTGGGAAGCCGAGGTGGGCGGATCACCTGAGGTCGGAAGTTTGAGACCAGCCTGGCCAACATGGAGAAACCCTGTCTCTACTAAAAATACAAAATTAGCTGGGTGTGGTGGCGCATGCCTGTAATCCCAGCTATTTGGAAGGCTGAGGCAGGAGAATCACTTGAACCCAGGAGGCAGAGGTTGCCGTGAGCCGAGATTGCACCATTGCACTCCAGCCTGGGCAACAACAGTGAAACTCCATTTCAAAAATAAATACATAAATACCCCTTCCCTCTCCCTCTGGGGTTTTCTTGTGTATATATTCACTATAACTTCTGTAATAAAAAATTTCCATTGTGAGGAGGAGAAAGGTCGCAAGATGCTCTCCAGTGAGTTATAGCCTGCTGAAGTGCTTGCAAATGACATCCTGTAAAAGCAGTGTGCGAGGAGCAGTTACGGAGATGTTTCTCTGAGGATTTATGTGTCTCATGGCCCTCTGAGCACACACTTGCTGGTGCCCCTCTCCAAGGTCCCTCTCTGAGGCCACACCAGTTTGTAGCACTTACTGCCAGTCCTGTGGCTCCAGGGCTCACTACGTACACTGCAACTGCCCTTCCTTCCCAGGACTCACTCTGTGGCTCGTGACCTCAGATAACCTTGGACGCCAAATAGATAGGGAAGCCCTGGGATTTGTGCCTGTCAGGGAAAGAGAGAACATACCCTCTACTTTGCTCATAATCAAGAAATCTGATTTCACAATTGGCTACAGCTAAAGCCCTTTGATGAAATGTTTCCAAAACACTCATTAAACTGTTTTGGAAAATGTAAAGATGGGCCTGTAGCGCAGACTGAGGTGTGTGCATATGTGTGTGGAGTTGAGACTCAACTGTGCTACTGGGAATTTAAGATGTTAGAGGCTGGCTGGGGGTGGAAGCAAAGGGAGAACAAGAGGAAAGAGGGTGGTGTATGGAGATACCTGGCAGAGGCCAGGATCTAACAGGAAACAGTAGCCATAAACAATGCCCTGTGTAAAACCAGGCACCACATGTTTGGGTCGAGGAGGCCTGGCATTGAGTATGAAGTTGGCTGCCTCATGATGGGCCACTAATAGCCTTGCATCCGGGAAATGTGAGGGACAACCGGGGAGGAGTGTGTACAGCAGGGCAAGCTGACTGCAGAGGGAGGCTGACAGGGGCTGCAGCTGAGCGCCACACTGGGCTGCTATCTTTATCTCTATGCTCACAGGTAATTTTAAATTTGATTGTCAGGGGAAAAGCTATATACATGGAAATGCTCCTCATGTCACTTACAATGACAAAAAAATAGAAGCTCTGGATTTCTATCCATATTGAAATGGTTAATTAAATGTCAGTATTTAATAGTCATGGACTGTTGTGCGGTCATTAAAGCAGATCATTATGAAGACTGGGGAGCAACATGGGAGACAATTATGGTACACGAATGAAAGGAGGATATAGCATCTTACACCCAGTACGATGGCAACTAATAACACTCAGAACCGTGTCATCGAGCACCTACCTACCATGTGCCAGGGAGGAATGGATTCTGGACCATCAGAAAAGGTCTTTGAGAATGGGGCATGCTAGGGAGTAACAGAGCAAATGAATATGCAATGAGAAATCATGAAAAATTCTAAATAAATGGCCAAAAAGGTAATATGTAACGAAAACATATGAAAGTTCTATGGATATAAATAGGGCACAGTGGATTCAGAATAAGAGAGAATAGCCTACTTGAGAATAGCTGGCTGGGAACCAACCCTGCAAATCAACAAAAGGCTGGAAGGAACACATGCAAGTCAGAGCAAGGAAACAGAGGTTTTGTGTGGAGGTCATGTGGGTGCCTCCTTGGGTTCAAGTCCTGGCTTCTCTACTTACCTGTGTGGGACCCTGGGCACATTCCTTAACTTCTCTCTCAGTTTTCTCATTTGTAAAGTGGGGTTAACAGTATCATCTACCCCTTAGGGATGAAGGGATTAATGCAGGAAATCACCAACAGCTAGTATATAGGATACATGTTCAATAATTGTTAGCTATTATCATTGTTGTATTATTTTTTTAGTCTTGACTTTCAAAAACAATGTATTAATATTGCACAGATAATTATAATGTCTAAATATAAAGAAAATAATTTTTAATGTGTTAGTCTGGATCTTCCAATTCCTGGACGGTTGTGAGTGTGTGTGTTTGTGTTGGGGGAGCATATCCTTTGGATGTGAACGGAGAAGTTGGGGCCTTGGTTGTCGCTGGCAGCTGATTCATGAGGGTAACCATTTTATCTTGTGAGGGCAGCCATCTTCTATCCCAAGGGCAGCCATCTTCTATCCCAAGGGCAGCCATCTTCTATCCTGAGGGAAGCTGGCCTGAGGATGAAGCCAGAATATGGAGAAGAGGAGAAGGAGATGGCTGAGAAGCAGAACGGAAACCTGAACTGCATTTTTCTTAGAGCAAGAATTACATCAATTCTTCAAGCCAAGTTGAGCACTGTTGGTTTCTGCTACTTGGAACTGAATAAACTCTGACAGATACTGTACAGGGAACAGTACTTGGGGAGCTCCACTTCATCTGAGGCCTTCGTGAGTGGCTTGTGTCACATTCCTGGCTGTTCAGGCATCAGTCCTGGTTTCCTGGTGAGCTCTCTGCTGACTCCACCCAGAGCTCCCTTGCTTCCGTCTCTGCAGCAGCTACCTCCGTTCTCACACATGGCTTCTTCTGAGTTTTCTTATTTCAGCCAGTACCATGGAACTCTCCTGACCTTGTGGGCTTTGGGCAGAAATAACTCCACTCCCCACTTCTCTCCTAAATTACTGGCAATGGTGATACTGACCATGCAGGGAGAAACCTGAGCTGTTAATGCTAGGAGCGTCAAGCTGTTGGTAGTGAAGCCATCATCCTCTCCAAGTTCCCAGGTAGGAAACATTCCTCTCTTCTTGCTCTCCACCCAGTCATAAGGTCTTGTCAATATTTTTCTTTGCACTGTGTTTTTGCACTATGTCTTTCAGATACTTCTTTGTGAAAATGATGCACCAGACTCTCATTTGTCATCACTGGGATTACTGTGATCTTGTCTTGAATTTCTACGAGTTTCACATCCACGGTGGTAACTTAACCTGTCACTGTCTTGTTGCCTACACCTGCATTACCCAGAACTACAGCCCAGGCACAGGCCCCTTCCAGGATTCAGGTGGTCTCCAGTGAGTGAATCAAATATTTTTTGTGTGAATCTGTTCCCCCTACCTCATGGCTCTCAGCTGTAGACCTTCTTTCATGTTTGGCAGGTAAAGCTGTGGGACCAGAGGTGGCTTCATAGTGATGCTATTGAAACTGAGCTTTGCTTGCCTGGATCCCCTCCTAAGATCCCGGAGGGGCCCTAGCTTTGCGTTCACATGGTCATACAAATTTGAAAATTTGCTAAACTAGACCAGGTGTGGTGGCTTATGCTTGTAATCCTAGTGCTTTGGGAGGCTGAGATGGGAGGATCATTTGAGGCCAGGAATTCAAGGCCAGCCTGAGAAACATATTGAAACCTTGGCTCTAGAAAATATTAAACAAACAAACAAAAAAATTAGCTAGACACGGTGGCACATACCTGTAGTCCCAGCTACTTGGGAGTATAAGGTGGGAAGATGGCTTGAGGCCAGGATTTCGTGGCTGCAGGGATCCAGGATCATGCCACTGCACTCCAGCCTGGGTGACAGAGTGAGACTCTATCTCTAAAAAATAAAATAAAACGAATTTTTTTTTTTTTGAAACAGTCTCACTCTGTCACCCAGGCTGGAGTGCAGTTGCATGGTCTTGGCTCACTGCAACCTCTGCGGTGCAGGTTCAAGCGATTCTCTTTCCTCAGCCTCCCTAATAACTGGGATTACAGGCACCTGCCACCGTGCCTGGCTAATTTTTGTATTTTTAGTGGAGACAGGGTTTCACCATAATGGTCAGGCTGGTCTTGAACTCCTGAACTCGTGATCCACCCACCTCGGCCTTCCAAAGTGCTGAGATTACAGGCGTGAGCCACCACGCCTGGCAATAAAGGGGAAATTTTTTTAAAAAGAAAATTTGCTAAACTAAGATGTGGCAATGGGAACAGTTAATACCATTGACTCTTTCCATGTAGATGCCTCCTATGTCCACACTCACCTCACATCAGGCGGGTGTTGGAGAGTGTGGGAATGTTAGGGATCCTCTAAAGAGAAAAAAAGAGAAGCTGGGTTGTGGATTCGTTTAGTTTGTGTTTAGTGATATGTATATATATGCAGTGTGCAGTCACTTTCATGTAGAGCCAAATGATTCTTAGCAAGGTTCACAAGCTCATTAGTGGCAGTTAGGGCTGGAAATCTGGTCAGTCTGATTTCAGCGATAATGACCTTAGCAGTGGCTTTCATGTGTTTAGGTCTAGAAATAGGCCTTTGATTTCTTAACTAAAAGGATAATGGTCTTTGTTAGCCATGTGCCAGTATTTAGCACAGCTTCCTACCTCCTTACTTGATCCCAGCAGTTTCTTGTTCGCTCATCCACTGTTACTTTACTTAAACTGTATTCTG
Organism: Homo sapiens; assembly: GCF_000001405.40. Lineage (NCBI taxonomy): Eukaryota > Metazoa > Chordata > Mammalia > Primates > Hominidae > Homo > Homo sapiens. The sequence goes on along the minus strand of NC_000002.12, from coordinate 234,832,489 downwards.
TCAAACTGAATTCCTTGCTTTTGCCGAACTCTGTCTCAGCAAAGAGCATGTTCCTTATGCTCTTCCCTTGGCTTGAAATGGCCTTGCCCAGACATATCTGTATGGGAACTTATTTCTTTCTGATTTGATACAAAATACCAACACCGATGAAGATAACATCAACTCACAGTGTATTATTATAATGAAGACGTTGGTGATAAGCTGGTTAAAAAGTGTCATCAATTCAAAAGGTATTTAGCATAAGTTAATAGACTAGAAACACTGAAATGCCCCCAATTCTTTCTTACAACTCATGTATGAAATACATTTTATAGAGATTCCCCCAAACCTAATAACACTTAAAAAATTTACATGATATTACCAATAAAGTTTTGTGAAGTAGAAAGAAATTTTCATAAATGATCAATATTAAAAAACTAATTTCCTTCAACCATGCTAGAACTAAGGCTAAAAATATGTTTCTTGCTTTTTATAGAAAATAATATTATAAAGTTGTTGACATTAAAAGGCAGTGAGAGTATACAGCTAAAAATATGTGGAAAAAAGAAGATCATTATACAAGTGTGTCAGCTGGTTAATTAAAATATTGTTATTCTCGGTTATGTGACGTTTGTGTTATTTCTTGGTTATTTATTTAACAATTATAATTTATTATAATTTCTCCTCTTATTCAAAACAAGAATTTATTTTTATATCTAAAATATTAAATTTTGTGTTCTTTTTCTGAAAGCCTAACCCCATTGTACAAATGTCAGCCTGCATGTGACCTAGTATTTCTTCTGGTGCAGTGCAGCGGGAGGAGGACACTCTTCCCTAAGCATGTTTCACTGCTTTTCCGGCAATGTAGCTGACAGCTGAAGCCAGCCCAGATCCTCACAAAGGCCCCCACAGCCCTTCTGGGTTCTGTCTGCGGCTCCAGATCCTTGATTCTTGGGGTTGGCCTGGGGAAGTCAGACCTTGTCCCCTCTTGGGTTCCCTTTTCCATCTCCAGGGGCATGAACACAAAGTCTTCCCCGGAAGGATTCCTGTCTCTTTCACAAACCAAGTCATGTCCACAGAGCCCGAGGGTCCCTGCCTCAAGAGGCCTTGCCACAGCTGCTCCTGGTGACTCCATTGTGCCATTCTGATGAGTTCTGATGAGTCCCCCGTGATTTCTTGTCCACCTGTCATCTAGTGCACACTGCAGCCAGGTTTATCTCCCTGAAACATCATTTTTCATGCATCAGACCAGGACCCAAAATCTCCAGTGACACCTCCCACCCACTTCTCCAAAAGGAATAAAGTCCATACTTCTTTGCTTGGTGTTCCAGGTCATTCACAAACTTTCCTTGTCCTGACTTTGATGTGGAATCACAAATCCCTCTGCCTCCTCCTCGTCTCACATTTCCTTCAGCTGCACAGTCTTAGTCATTGTCCCCCAATTGGTGACATGAAAAGTTGTTTGTCCAAGTCTTGCCTCCCAGCTGACCTTGTGCTCACTGTCCTCTCCAGAGATCCACCGTGGTGAGTTCCCATGGAATGGTGTGTCCACTCCCTTCTCTCAGATGTTTACCATCTTTCATTATCTCCATGACTACTTTGATGATGAATTTTTATTATTTTTATTTTTGATTAAAAAAATTTTTGGAGACAGAGTCTCTAGCCCGTTGCCCAGGCTGGAGTGTGGTGGCATGATCAGGGCTCACTGCAGCCTCTACTTCCCAGGCTCAGGTGATCTCCCACCTCAGCCTCCCGAGTAGCTGGGATTACAGGCATGTGCTACCATGCCCAACTAATTTTTGTATTTTTTGTAGAGATGAGATTTCACCACGGTGCCCAGGTGTCTCAATCTCCTGGGCCTCAAGCGATCCTCCCACCCTGGCCTCCCAAAGTACTGGGATTACAGGTGTGAACCACTGCACCCAGCCTGATGATGAATATTTAAATTCCAAGACTGTGTGGTCTGAAATGTTGTGCTTAAACAACTTTGCTATTTCTTTAGAAAGTCTATTACATATCTAAAGAGGAAAGAATTTTCACAGATCTCTAAGCATGTCCACTTTTGCTAGATATCATTAAATAAGAAGACTTGCTAATCTGGCTCTTCAAACTTTCATTGTAAGCATTTAGTATTTATTTCTACTTCCCCAATAATCTATGTATCTGTGTATCTTTACACTGCATCTAGTGAAGCAAGCAACTGTATATTTAATCTACTGAAAAATCTTGAAGATACAAAAAACTATAAGAGGCCGGCCGCAGTGGCTCATGCCTGTAATCCCAGCACCTTGGGAGGCAGAGGAGGGTGGATCACTTAAGGCCAAGAGTTCGAGACCAGCCTGGCCAACATGGCAAAATCCCGTCTTTACCAAAAACACAAAAAAAATGTTAGCCAGGTGCGGCAGTGCACGCCTGTAGCTCCAGCTACTTAGGAGGCTGAGAATTGCTTGAGCCTGGGAGGCAGAGGTTGCAGTGAGCCTAGATCACTCCACTGCACTCCAGCCTGGGTGGAAGGCACGAGACTTTGTGGAAAGAAAGAAAGGAGAGAGAGAGAGAGAGAGAGAGAGAGAGAGAAAGAGAGAGAGAGAGACAGAAATGAAGGAAGGAAGGAGGAAAGAGAGGAAAGAAAGAAACAAAATTACAGAAGAAGCTTGGGATATATACGTTGTTTCTATTTACACTCATACTGAATCAGATACCTCTGCCCAGCATGTTTTCAGTGAATAAACAAGTCCTTACCATTAGCCTAGGTGTATACTGGTTGAGGAAAACCTACATCCTTACAGTCATTGTGCCGCTACAACCTTGAGACCCTTGAGCATGTACTGTCAGTGGCTGATGTTGTCTCTGATAAAGTGAGGCAGTAGAGATTTTATTCACCCAGAGGAAATAAACAGGCTAGTTTCCACATTGTAATAAGGTGAATTCAGAATCCCAGGTCTGAAGCCAGATGTTCTAAATGATCCCTTTGGGAAAAAATTAGGTAATCGTAGGCATGGTCTGCAGTGGCAGGCCTGGCCTGGGTACTTTTGGGAAGGAAAGAGAATGTTGATGAAGGTGAGAATGCAGGAGGCAGGAAGAAAAGAAAATGAAGAAGGCAAGAAAGACAAAAGAGAATACTGAATGAATAAGTGGATCTTGGCTTTATTAGTCTAGACTCTCTTAATTACAACTGATCGAAATACATTCAGACTACCTCAAGCAAAACAAAACAAACAAATGTTCCTCCCCTGAAGCATAATTGACTCATGATGGAAAAGTCTAGGTTGCCAGATTTCAGACATAGCCGAATCCAGGCACTGAAGTACCATCCTCAGGGCTCTGTGTCTACCCCTGTCCTTTGGCTCTGTTCTCAGCAGTGATTTGATTCTCCAGCCATGGCAGCAAGAATGGCCGTTGGCAGCTGCCGGTTTATGAGGTCTTTCTAGCTTGAGAACCCTGCAGGGTGGGAGGCTACCCGTTCCCGGTCGTGTGCATATGTCAGTTTTCATGCAGGATACCTGTTGGTTCTGCTGACGCCTGTGCCTACTCACTGGAGAGGGTTTAAGGAGTCACGACCGGCCAGACCTGGCCACATGACATCCTGGAAGCCAGGGGTGGATGAGACGGAAGCTGCCTTTGCAAAAATTGTGACTGAGAGAAATCTGACCTAACCGACTCCATCTTGCTTCTAACCTCCAAGCGGCCCTTGTTCATTCCTGGGCATAGGCCAAAGTAACTTTGGGAGGAATTTAGTTTATAGTTCAACTTTGAAACAAAGATGATAACAGCCCCTCCCCAAAACAAGGTCTGGTGACCAGGCAAGGTCACCAGATTGCCTTTGTAAAACTAACAAATTAGCCACAAGATTAGAAATTATGGCTCAGGAGTTACACAGCCACAACCCACAAGATTCCTAACCTCCCTAGTTGCTCCTGTAGATAACGTTACCATTGTGAAAGCTGAGATTGGTGTGGAAGGTATTTTTCAGATCCTGCATTCCAGTGGACCAGCTGGCAGCACCCAGACCAGTAAACTCACCTGGCCTTGTGGACCCCACCCAGGAATGGACTCAGTGCAAGAGGACAGCTTTAACCCCTGTGATTCCATCTCTGACCCAACAATCAGTCTTCCCCTTTCCCTAGGCCTTGCCTGCCAAACGATCTTTAAAAAATTCAGCCTCCAGATTTTCGGGGAGGCTGATTTGGGTAATAATACAACTCTGGTCTCCCATTTAGCTGGCTCTATGTGTATTAAACTCGTTCTCTATTGCAATTCCCCTGTCTTGATAAATCAGCTCTATCTGTGCAGTGGGCAAGAAGAACTTGTGGGGTGGTTACTACATAGCAAATGACACCAGAACCATGCAGAATGGAACAGAGACTGTTCCCCCAAAGGAAGTGAGTTCATTTCCTGGTATAAAGTATAGGTGAATTCAGTTTTTGTGATTATGGCGGGGGTGCAGGAAGGCATTTCAATATTTCTCCAACGGCCCCAGCAGGAGAGGCACACTCTTAAGGAATGCCCTGAGGATCCTACCTGCTTCTTGAATGTTTATTACAGGGAAAACGGAATGTGTGTGCTGCTGAGCATACTCTGTTCCTATGGCCTCCAGGTGAATTTTGCTCAATGGACTAGAATTAAATTTGGAGTCTTGAAAAGAAAAGTGAAACTTATTGGGCATAATTGTTACTTGTTAAATATTAGCTGGAAAAACTATTATGACAAAGTTAATGAAGAAATAAAAATCATTAATTGAGCACAAACACACACCCTGCTAGTCTAGTGTCTGATTTTATCACCTCTGGGTTACCTGGTGTCAGCAGGGCAGGGACCAGGTGAGTCAAGGGAGGCACTCTGGGCACAACATTTAAGGAAGCACTCACTCTTAGGCTCTCACAAATGCAAGATCTGCTCCTGAGAGTGAGTGCCTCTTTAAATTTTTCCAACCTGAAAGCCTCTCTTAAGGAAGCATTCACTCTCAGAGCTGAGCCTACATTTGTAAGGGCCTGGGAGTGAGCACCTCCTTAAATGCTGTGCCCTGAGCACCTGTCTGGGCTTGCCCTAACCTGGTTGTGGGTGGGACAGGGATGCTTCCTAGAGATGATGGTGGGATGCAGCGTGGCTCTTATGGAAAGCTGATGTTTAAGTTGGTTGCACAAGTCAAAAAAATGGTCCAGAACAGAAACCAAATCCAAATATTCATAGATTTCAAGACCAAGTATTTCAGTGCAGAAGTCATTGCAAAAGCCAAGAGTGGGATCCAATGACAGAAGAAGTGGTAACAGAAGCTGAGTCCAAAAGATGAAGGGGTAAGTGTAGAAGCCAGGTGTTAAATAGGAAAGGCAAGACCCAAACATGCAGATCAAAGCACAGACCACCATGAGGGGGGAGATAGACAGGATCGTCACAATTCCACACTTTATTTGTTGTGTAATATTTCATCATGAGAATATAGCATAAGTATTTTTGGTAACAGCCTTATTGAGGTATAATGTTATTTTGAGACAAGGCCTGCCTCTGTGACCTGGGCTGGAGCGCAGTGGCGTGATCCCGGCTCACTGCAACTGTTGAGATATAATTGACATGCCATATAATTCACCCATTTAAAGTATGCACTTCAGTGGTTTTTAGGATAATCACGGAGTTGTGCAACTATCACCACAATATCAGAACATTTTCATCACTCCAAGAGAAGCCATACTCCTTAGTTATCACCTCCAGCTGTCCTATTCCCCTCAGCCCTAGGCATCCACTAGCATAATTCCTTTTTAAATATTTGCATTGTTGATTATTTGGCTTGTTTGCAATATTTCACAATTACAAGCAGTGGTCCATAGGATAGTCGTAGAGGAAGCATATATTTCCCCTATGACCACTGCTGCTTTCAGGTGGGTCCCATCAATGGAAGTGCCTTGCGCCTCGATGAGCCCCATGCCGGGATGGGGGTGGAGAGGAGGACCAGGGGCAGAATGTGGTTGCCAGGGTAGTGAGTCCTGGAGTAATGTGAGAAGTGTTTCCAGAGTGGGAGGAGGTGGAAAGGGTTGAGGGAGCAAGATAGGAAAGGACAAAAAAAAAAAAAAAGAAAAAAGAAATCCACAATGAAAGGATTGAGTGGAAATTCTTCAGTGTTCTGGTGAGTGGTCAAAGGATATTTTTAAAAAGGAAAGATGCCCAATGACCAGTGCAGAGTTGGTCATGTTGCTGTGTTGCGGATCCCTCTTCACGTTGCCTCCTTTCACCCATGCCAGTCTTCTGTGGTGGCTGCGGCACTCATGAATGCTTGGAAAAGTGTGTGTGTGTGTGTGTGTGTGTGTGAGAGAGAGAGAGCACAGGCGTGTGTGTGTGAGCACAGGTGTGTGTGTGTGAGCACAGGTGTGTGAGCTTGGAAAGGTGTCTGAGCATAGGTGCGTGTGCACAGGTGTGTAGGTGTATGTGTCAACGAAGACACTGAGTTTCCTTTCATAGTGGACATGATGGCAGTGAAGTCAATGTGTGCAGAAGCAAGAGCCTGAGGACTGAGGTGACCAGGAGAAGCTGCGTCTCCTTAAAATGCACAAAGTCCTGGCAAGGCTGTGGTGGAACTGAAGAGCTCAATGAATGCTAATCAGATCTCCTCAAGCAGCAGCAATGCCTTGGCTGCTGTCTGGATTACATATCTTTGTGACAATATTGCTTCCAACACTAAAGATGCTGTTTCCAAAGGCATTTTCCCAGGACTGAGATTACTGATCCAACACGAAGTAAGACTTTTGTGACTTGTGAAATGTGAATGGTGTTCCCAAAGGATCGCATCAATGTCCAGGACCACCAGCAATGTATGTGTGCACCAGTTCTGGCACATCTGCTCCAGACACGTGACAATTCAGGAGTTAAAAATCTCTTTGCGTTGCTGTTTTCAGTCATGTTTCAGTGATTGACACCCCGATAGCCTTCATTTCTAAGGTAGGGGATATTTTCTCTGAGAAATTGTCACCTTCATACAAAGTCTCAAGAGAGTAAGTTACCAGAATTAAGATGACATATTTGGATCTTAGATTCACAGTGATTTGTGAGTTTTTCACTTATACTTCTCAGACACAATTCAGCCCAGATCATGTGGAAAGACATGTTTGGAAAGAGGAAAACAGCTGGGATAAAATCTTTATTTTGACAGGCAAAATAAAATGGTGCTAATGTCCAAACACGTCTGGACTGTTAATGCTTCTAAAAATGGTCTCCACTTTAGGAAATGATATACATTTTTACACTAAAGGAAATAAATATTTTCTCATAGTCAAACTTAATGTCATTAACTAGACAAGTGAAGAGGGTCATAGATCTTTCTGTAGTTTATACTATAGCTTTGCTTAATAAGACTTAGAGATAGCAACTTGAACTTAATCACATATTATAGTTTTTTTTTTTTTTTTTTGCAGGAAATTTCTTTTAGAATGTAATAAATGCTTAAAGAAGAATTATACTGTGAGTAGAACAGCATGCAGCCTGGCACTTAGCAAGTGATCGAGAAATAATTCATGAGTGAATGAATGAACAGATGACAGATGTAACCAAAAATCAAAACTAAAATCACTTCTGAAGTCGAGGATGCACTTCTCAGTAAGTAACTTTGGTTATGATATCTCTGGTCCTTAAGGAAGAATTCTGGCTGGGCACAGTGGCTCATGCCTGTAATCCCAGCACTTTGGGAAGCCAAGGAGAGTGGACCACTTGAGACCAGGTGTTTGAGACCAGCCTGGCCAACATGGTGAAACCCCATCTCTACTAAAAATACAAAAATTAGCCAGGTGTGGTGGTGGGTGCCTCTAATCCCAGTTGCTTGGGAGGCTGAGGCAGGAGAATCGCTTGAATCCAGGAGGTAGAGGTTGCAGTGAGCCGAGATCATGCCACTGCACTCCAGCCCAGGTGACAGAGACCTGTTTCAAAATAATAATAATAATAATAATAATAATAATAATAATTTCTGAGAGTATATTGTCTCTTCTCCTTAGTTACAACACTGTGCTCTTTCTGGAGCTTAGTTTGATGGTCTTAATTTAAATTATGCCAATAACAAGCATTTTTGAGGAAGTGAGTTGATAACACAAATGCTTCTATGTGTGCAACGAGATCGCATTCTTAAAAAAACACATAACTTATTCTGTATCTGGGAGCAGATTCCATGTTATGAGGCTGTTTTTCAGGCCAGTGCTCCTGCTGTGTGGGCCCATTTAGCACAATTCCTCTGTGGGATTGCAGATGTGTCATAATTTCTAGGCACAAACTAATGTCAATCTGCTTGCACTTAAGTCCTCTGTTGTTAAACTAAATCATTTCCTCCTTTTCAGGCATTTTTCTCATCTGGATTTAACATAGATCTGTTCTCACACAAACATCTGTGGAATGAGCCTGGACATTGCTACGGAGGGCTGGTTAGAGGAGGAGGAAAGAAAGAATAATGGCTAATCATTAAGTTGCAGTGTGGGTGTTTGGTTGGGAAGAACCAGCTGGCGGAGGAATGGATACTACCTCTGACTCAGAGACATGGGCAGTGACCCCTATTGTCTGGCCAAGAAGGAGTCACATGTCTTTGGTGACTTCTTTGTTTACACTCAGAGTTTAACTATGAGGCAGAAATGGTTTCTTTGCCAAAGTCTACATTTGATGAAACATGGCTAATTTTAATTTTAGAGCTGAGCTTGGACCTTTCTTCTAGTCATTGCTCCAAAGTGGTGCTTACGGGAAAGGAGAGTATTCTTCATGATCAGCTCTGTCTTACATTCAAGTGCAGTCAGGCACGGAGGGACTAGAGCATCGGCCCTAGGCCACAGCTGGAAAGTCCTCTGCGTTGCTCAACAGGGGTCACAAAGCAAACTGAGATCATACGTGGGCAAAGGAAAAAAGAGAAGGCAAAACATTCAAAATCTCAAACATTTGAAACCAGATTTCAGTTGAAATATATAAGTTAATCAGTATCAAGCAAAAATGTCAGTCCCCAGAAAGCCAGTCTCTCCTTCACATTTATGTAAATACAGTTTGGGTTCTGATATCATTGGCTGCTGAATTTAATATTGAGACAAAGTGTAGTAGAGTAAAAGGCCTCCCAAAGCCACTTATTCCACTCATTCAGTCAAAAGAAATTTACTAAATGCTTTCCTTGTGAGCAACGCACTAAGCCAAGTTATGGCACTTCACTCTGTCAGCTTTCAAACGCACCATCCTAACACCATCACCATAAACAACATCATCACCAGAACCATCATCATCACCATCATTATCACCACTGTCATAATAACCAATACCATTCCCATTACCCAACACCCCCATCACCATCACCATTCCCATCCCAGCACCTTCATTATCACCATCCCCATCCCCATCTTATCACCATCATCGTCACCATCATCATCTCCAACACCATCCCCATCACTGACACTATCATAATCACCATAATCATCCCCATTCCAACACTATCATCACCATCATCAATACCATCACCAACACTGCCCTCATCTCAACACTATCACTATCCTAACCCCACCACTATTCCAACTCAATCACTATCACCACCACCAACACCATCCCCATTCCAACACTATCATCACCATCACTACCATCACCAACACTGCCCTCATCTCAACACTATCACTATCCTAACCCCACCACTATTCCAACTCAATCACTATCACCACCACCAACACCATCCCCATTCCGACACTATCATCACCATCACTACCATCACCAACACTGTCCTCATCTCAACACTATCACTATCCTAACCCCACCACTATTCCAACTCGATCACTATCACCACCACCAACACCATCCCCATTCCAACACCATCTTCATCACCAACACTATCATCACCATCACTATCATCAACACCATCGTCATTACCGTCACCATCACCATCACAATCATATCAACACCATCTCTGTCCAACACTACCATCATCACCAACGCCATTCTCCTTTGGAACTCTAGGCTTTCTTCGTACATTAGCTCATTGATTTTGGCCCTATGTGGTAGATATTATGGTCCTCATTTGTTTTTGATAGAAATGGAGCCTCAGAACAGTGACATTACTTGCCTGAGCCACATGCTAATAAATGGCAAAACTATATCCATTTTCTACTTCCTCAGATTCTCAGTTTTCTGTGGGATGTATCAGGAGACCACACCACATTAATCATGAAGATAAAAATGACCTTCATAGTAATGTATTATGTTCATATCAGTGCTGAAATGTTTTGAAGCACCTTTAAATTTATTACATCATTTAAGCTTATAGTAATCCCTGTAGAATGACAAGAATGTGTTATTATGGTCAAATTTAAAGCATATTTTGTTAAATATCTCATTTCCAAAATGAACTTGCAGTAAATTAAGTATCTGGTAACACATTTCCAAAATTAATCATTGTCGTCTGATGACACAGAAGTTATTCCAGGGCTATTGGTCAATTCTGGGTCAGTTTCCTCATGGAAACTGCATCTGAAAAGCTAAACTGGAAGGTACCTGTATTCAAAATGGCTAAAGGACTGATTAGGATTAGGATTGATTCCTAAATTAGCAATGACATTTTTTCCCACAAAGGATTATGCTTGGGGTTCCTGAATAACTGATTCCATCAATCATTGATTAACCTCCTCCTACGTGCCTGGTGTTGGGCTGAACTCTGCGGATACAAGAGGAGTAAGACACAGGTCCCGGCCTTGAGAGCTTACCATCCTGTGTGAGAGGCAGACACACAAGGAGAAATGTTCAATGCAGTGACCTGGCTGTGATAGTCGCATCCCAAGTGCTCTACGGGGACAGAGGAGAGGCCCTGAGCTCGCCCATGGGTCTGCCAGCATAAAGGCAAGAGAGGTGTCCAGCCTCAGGCACCTCCTCAGCCCAGTCTAGGAGCATAAATGAGAATTAGCCCAGTAAAAGGCTGGATGACAGAAAGGATCTGGGCAGAATGGACAGCACAAAACAACACTGTGGGTGGGGAAATAGCTGAGGGTGTGTAGGGAGCTGCGCTGGAGTCAAAAGCAACTTGTGTCAGTTTGCCTCAGACTTTCTTAGTTTTAGCACTGAAAGTCTCACATCCTGGCCATCTCCTTAGTCCCAGGCCAACTGGGATAGATGGTTAACCAAGGTAGCAAGCAATAAAGTTAAAAAAGATAGCCAGTGGCTGCATTATGGAGGGTTCTGTGTGTCAAGTGAAAGTTGTTTGGTTTTGTGTTATGGGTGATGGGGATCCACCGAAGGGTTTCAGAGACACTGCATGGTCAGGGAGGGACAGGAGAGATGTGACTTCCTGGAGGGGACAGGCAGCCTCATAATAAGTATGGAGGAGAGGGAGCAAGTGAGAGCATTGGAAGGGTTAAATCAATGGCTACTGTATGAGAGAAGCCTGACTTGGGGAAGTGAATTGGGTTGGAAAGGACAGGTGTGCAGAGAGTTGATTAAACTATGATAGTTTGGTTTGGAATATACTGTGTTGAAGGCATCTGCGTGTCCTTCGTATGCATAAGAGCACACAGATTGAGCATCAACAACCTTCCCAGGGTGCCGCTTTCCATTACTCTTTTAGGTCTCATTTGCCAGGAACTGAAAAGATGTGGAATTCCAGCTGAACTGCGTTTCTGGAGAACTCACAGTGAGCCAGGCATGAGGTTTAGATGCAGGGGATACAATGCTGAAAAGGCCAAGTTTTAAATAGGGTAGAAAACTTCCCAGATTGGAAAAAATAATTACTAGCATTGAAATCTAATTTTTAAAGCAATGTTTTCTCCAGCTCACAGCTCGTGGAATCCATTTCCTTTTGTGAAGCTCAGATGCGTAGCATGGGCAGGAATTGTACCATTGGGCATAGAGTTGAGCTCTGGGAGGCATGTGGAGGGATGTGCTTTGGCATGGCTGGAGAAGGCTTGTGGCTGGTTCTCGAGAGAACTCAGCTTGTTCTCTGTAGCTCCTTCCTGCTCATGTGGGTGTCCCCAACCCACATCAGTCCTAGTACCTCGTTCTTTCCACCACAGCACACTTCATACTTTCGAAACGTCTATTTATTTGTATATTTAAATAATTAAATTATCTGGCTGCCCTACCAGACTACATACTCAAGAAGGGCACGAAGCATCTATTTTACTCACCATTGTAGCTGGCATACAGTAAGCATTTCTTGAAACAACGGATCTCAAGCTTGGTTGCACATTGGAATCAGCTTGAACATTTAAAAAATTCTGATGCCTGAGTGCTTGCCCTGAAAGTTTTTGATTCAGTTGATCTGGGGTGTGGTTCGGACATTGTTTTGTTGTTGTTGTTGTTGTTTTGTTTTGTTTTTGTTTTTTGAGATGGAGTCTCACTCTGTCGTCCAGGCTGGAGTGCAATGGTGCGATCATGGCTCACCGCACCCTCTACCTCCTGGGTTCAAGTGATTCTCTTGCCTTGGCCTCCTGAGTAGCTTGGATTACAGGCATGCACCACCACACCCAGCTAATTTTTGTATTCTTAGTAGAGACTGGGTTTCACCATGTTGGCCAGGCTGGTCTTGAACTCCTGATCTCAGGTGATCCACCCGCCTCGGCCTTCCAAAGTGCTGGGATTACAGGTGTGAGCCACCACGCCCAGCCCAGACACTGGTTTTCTGTGTTTGTCTTTCTTTAAGTTCCCCAGGTAATTCCACTGTGCAACACATTTTAGGATTGTTCAAACTCATATTCTGGCCTACCAGATTTATAGAATCAGGGTCTTTGTAGGTAGGGCCTAGGGAATTTGCACTTTTACAAATTTCCCAGGAAATTGTTATGCAACCTTGAATTTGAAGCCCATGGGTGCAGAGAGCTGTCATCAGTGTGGCCGTGGAAGAGACCTCTGTAGGCAGCATGTGGGAAGGGAGGAGGGTGAACGTCAGGGAGGCTCTGGGGTTGGTGCAGGTTCTTTTACTCCCACTGTACAATTACCATCATGCTCACGACTCAGCTGCTGCCCCCGGATGGTCTTTTTAAGTTGGTCTTTGGTGAAATCCTGGCCTCAGTATTGTTTTAAAACTTTCTGTAATTCTGATGTGCAGCCAGGGTCAAGAATTGCTGGTAGAAGGAGCCAATCAGAAGAGGTGTAGACAGTTGGGGGCCAGGGTGAGGAGGTGGGTTGTAGGTGGAGTTGGCAGCTAAAAGAAAGTGGAATAACCCAGAGTTTGGGGATTTGGGCTGAACCACTAGGTCCTAGATCAGGATCCTGTTAATTTCCTAGAGCTGCCATAACAAGTTACAGCCCTGCATTGCTTAACAACAGGGGAATGGTTTGAGAAATGTGATGAACGTTAAATGATTTCATTGTTGTGTGAACATCATAGAATATCTAGATGGCATAGCCTTCTACACACCTAGGCTATGTGGCATAGCCTGTTGCTCCTAGACTACAAACCCGTACAGCATGTGGCTCTACTGGGTACTGCAGGCAACTGTAACATGATGGGAAGTGTCTGTGTATCTAAACATATCTAAACATGGAAAAGGTACAGTAAGAACCTGCTATTATAATCTTATACGACCACTATCATATATGTGATCTGTCATTGATGGTATCACAAACATGATGGCTTAAAACAACAGAAATTTATTATCCCACAGTTCTGGAGGTCATGAATCCCAAATCAAGGCTCACGCAGGGCTGGTTCCTTCTGAAGGACCCGAGGGAGAGTCTGTTCCAGGCCTCTCCTGGCTTCTGGTGTCTGCAGCCAGTGCTCGGCTTGCAGACATGTCACTCCAGTCCCTGCCTTTGTCTTCACATTCCCTTCTCCCTCATGTTTCTCCTCTGTCTCTGTGTCTCAAATCTCCCTGTCCTTTTTCTAATAAGGACACCAGTCACTGGATTTAGGACCCACCCTAAATTCAGGTTGAGCTCATCTTGGGATCCTTCATGACAGCTGCAGACACTTTTTCCAAATAAGGTCACGTTCACAGATTCTGGGAACTAGGACCTGGACGGATCTTACTGGGGGACAAAATTCAACCCACTACCAAGGTTAACAGACTTCACAGTTCCCACCCAACAGTATGGCTGAGACAGGTGAGAAAGCTCCTGACAGAAACAGCCCACTTGGCTGTACCTGGGGTGGGAACAGCATCTCCTTCTCCTTCAGAAACAGAGTCCATGAAGACACAGCACGTGGGGAGAGTTAATGGTGGAAGGTGGGGCAGCAAGACTTTTAGGTTTGAAATCAACAGCTGTTGAAATCAACAACTAAAAAAGGTTTTACATACACACACACAGACACACATACACAGAGTTAATTAAAGTTATTCTAGGTGGATAGCTGGGATTGCATGGTTCCCTGCTGCCACTATCCTGGGAGGAGATGACAGAGGAAGTCCACTCTTGCTGCCCATCTTAGATTTAACCTTTGTCATCACCCTTATCCTTTGGTTAGTTTTTTTCTATATGAAAAGTGCTTTCTTCACATGGAATAAAGTCTTTGGACATCAATGAACGTGTACACATTTTAAAGTTTTAAAGGAAACTTAAAATACTTGGCAGACATAAAGGGACTTTTTCTTTCCTAAAGCGAAGAGCGGAGGCAAAGTTGGGGGGAGTTTTTACTGCAAGGTGTGGCTGGCATTTTTATTTACAGTAAATTTAAAAGGGATTCTCTGGCAAAGCAAATGCTAAACACACTTCTCCAGGTATGAAATCATCCTGTGGCTCTGCTCTTCTACTTTGTGGCTGAAAAGGGTCCTTTTCACACCCAGAATTGCTGTGATGTTATTTATCAAAGGAAATACCTTGAATTTCAGGTACTTGGATCCAAATTAAAGGGCACATTCCCCCTTCTCCACCCAATAGATTTATGGTTTTATTTCAACATCAAAATCCAAATCATGAGTTTCCTTGGATTACATTCAATGGACTGAAAACTGTCAGTTTAGAGAAAGCGAATGTTTACAACCATTTCGATAGACGCTTTAGGCAGTGAGCTACTGTCGGAGGTTCTAAGATGAACCAATTCCTATCTTGAGACTAACATCACTACTATGAACGCACCCCAGAGAAACACACCCACAGTATAGACTGGACGTTTTTAAACCTGCTAAAAAAAAAAGGTAAAAATACATTTCAGAAGATGTAAAAGAACTTGCCCTTGTTACCCAAATACGCTTAGAAACTTATTTTCACATTGCCTTGTAGATGGTGTGAACTTTAAAAGGTCAAAAAGTAAATATGTCCTTATTTGGAAAATAAGACATGTTTCTTGTGAGGAATATTGGCCGATCCAGAAAAAAATATAAAGAAGAAAAGAAAACAGCCAGAAATCTCAGCAACTGGTAAAAATGTGTGTTTCGTGGGGCATCTGGTCTCTCGTCGTTGTCTGGGTGAAGGAGTCTGTCCCCAACCTGTCGTGGGTAGACTCGTGGGCTGGGGTGGGACCCCTTTTTGCTCTCAGCGTTTCCTCCCAGCCGGGCATCACTTTTCTTTTCCCACTCACTGGGATTCAGCACTCACCCAGAGCCATTTCCTGTGAATTCTTGTGGGACCGGATCTTTTTCCTTCCTCTTGTAAAAAAAATTCTGACCCTACGCCATGGCTTAACTTTGATTTCCAAATTTAAATGTATAAAACCAATGTTATTTGGGATGAGTGAATACCAGGATGGTTGAAGAGGTGGAAGCAAGATGAAGGCAGCCGAGCAACCCCTGGAAGCTGAGAAATCCCGGAGTGAATCCTCCTTGGGTCTGTGCCCCACCTTGGGAACAAATCAACCGCACTGAACTCTTTCGGGCCATAAGGGGGCCATTCACTCCATGATTTCTGCAGGATGTATTTATACCCTTGAAGAAGCTTAAAAAAAAAAAAAAAAAAAAAACAGTCCGGAGACTGCAGGGAAAAAGAAACCAACCCCCAAACCAAATACACCAGGGGCTTTGTGCTCCTACATCCCGTGCTCCCGCCATTCATCCGTAACAAAATTAGTGTAATCATATCTGCAACGGAGGAGGAATCAAATTTGCTCTTCGGTTCTGCTGTTTGGGTAGAGGTTTCCTCAAGGGGACAGGAAAGATGGATCTTGCCCTTTGGGAATTCAATGAAATTTTTTCTTGGCAAACCATATTTTCTAAGATCAGCAGTTAGTTGAAAAGGAAATCGTATAGTGGTCTGAAAGGAGGTAATCATTACTCCAAGGAGTTCTGCCTCTACATGGCACATTTCAAATCTTCCATAACAAAAAACCCAGAGGTCAGATGTTCCAGAATTGAGTGGTTGCAGGCTCAGGACAGACATCAAGTTCTTGCCTCTCCCTGCCTCGGGGCTGTGCCTCCCTCAGCTGCTGGCTTGGAGCTCAGGCCTGTCCCCTAGGGTCATAGAACAGCTGTAATGGCTGCCCTGGCATGACCTTCTCCTACCGTCCTGCAGAGCAGCAGAAAAGCTACTGCTCCTTCCTGGTCCTCTCTCTCTCACTCACCATTGTGATATAATACACATGATACAAAATCCCCGATTTTAACCATTTTAAAGATACTATTCAATAGCATGTAACACATTTACAACATTGTACAACCATCACTACTCTCTAGTTCCAGGAAATTTTCATGACCCCAAGAGGACATCTTTACTCATTAAGCAGTCTCTCCCATTCTCCCAGCTCCAAGCCCCCAGAAACCACGAGTTTGCCTTCTGTCTGTCTAGATTTGACATTTCTGGACATTGCATAGAAATGGAATCATACAGCACGTGGCTTTCATGTCTGCCTTCTTTCACTCAGCATCGTGTCTCCGAGTTCACCCATGGTATAGCATGTACCATTCCATTTTATGGAAGACGATATTTCCTTGCATCGATGTACCACATTTTGTTTATCCTGGTTGTCTCTTTTTTAAGAGCAAGAAAGGTCTTTCCCAGAGCCCCTGGCAGACATCTCTCCCTGTCTCACCAGCCAGACCTGAATCTGGAGGTGATGCCTAATCCAAAAACCGGTGGGAGGACGGGATGATTAGGGGTGCTCTCTGACTCTCCTGTGCGGGAAAATGTCTCTTCCCTGGGCTCACGGTAGTCTGGAGGAAGCTCCCTGAATGACACGGGACTCCGCCATCAAGCGTGGCATGGGGAGTGGATTTGGGGCGGCCATCCACAGTGCTGCTGCAGCACCTGGCTCCTAAGTTCATGACCCTCTAGATCTACAGTAACTACAATGAAACGGGTTGTTAAAATGGAAATTTCACAAGGGTTCCAATATGATAGATGTCATTTACTAAACAACCTATGGATTAGGCCGTTCTTACTTTTGCTATAAAGAAATACCTGAGACAAAGTAATTTATAAAGAAAAGAGGTTTAATTGGCTCACGGTTCTGCAGGCTGTACAAGGATGGTGCTGACATAGCTTAGCTTTTTGGGAGGCATCAGGGGCTTTTACTCACAGCAGAAGGCAAAATGGGAGCTTGGTATCACCTGGTAAAAGCAGGAGCAAGAGAGAGTGCGGTGGAGGGGGAATGTGTGTGTGTGTTGGGGGATACACCCTTTTACACAGATCTCATGTGAACTCAGAGCAAGAGCTCACTCATCACCAAGGAGATGGCTAAACCCATTTATAAGGGGTCCACTGATGATCCAAACACCTTCCACCAGGCCCCACCTCCAACCCCAGGGATCATGTCTCAACATGAGATTTGGAGGAGACAAACATCCAAACCACATCAACCTATGGGGCCAAATCTTCATAGGTGGAATTTACAAAAGGAAGCCTTCTAAAAGAAGTTTCACCGCTCCTAAGCACTCAAACAGAAAATGGAAAAAAAAGATGTGAAGAGATTTCTTTGAAGATAAAGACTGATTGTCCCCCACCCCTGTCCCACCCCACTGTTCTCCTCCCTTAAGCTGGGAAGGGACCACTCAAGCACGGTGACAGGACGTGCTCACAAGGCTGCCCTGCAAGGTGAAATGTGTCTCTGCAGCTGGAGAGGCTGACGCCTGCACCTGTGGTTGTGAGAGACCCCCTGGAGCCTGTGGCTGCCAGAGAGCAGCGGGCTGGGACTGACTGGCATTCCCAAGTGTGGTCAGGATGAGGAGCCCTGTATTAATCGTGTTTTTTAGCTTCTGTATTTTATGATGCTTTGACATGTTGTGGACTTGCTGATGTGGGAGAGGCCACCCCATTCAAGCTAGCTGATTCCTAGAGAGAGTAACTCCTCCTGCCTCCTGCAAGCCTGCCTGCCATATGCAAACCAGTCCATCCAAAGCCTGTATCCCCCAGTTGCCTTCTTTATCAATCTCTCCCACTCCAGGCCGGCATTCCCCAGTCCTAATCACTCCAAGGCCAGGTACCAGACAGCGAGGGACAGGTCCTATACCCCAGAGCCTGCTGACCTTATTCAAACTCGCCACCCTAGCCCTGCCCACCCTGTTTTACCCATTTCTCTCCACAAAAAACACAATAAAGACTCTTGCTACACTCTCCCTCACTCCTGCCTCCTGGCCACCCCAGTGCTTCCTCATGTGACCCTGCATGGGATGGTGGCCTCCTCTTCTTGGCAACTGTAACAAACTTTTCAACAGCGGCTGTCTTCTGGTCTGTTTGCCTCACCATACCCGAATAATAATAAAGCCTACATTTTAAAAATAAGCATGTAAATGCTTCCTGGGGACCTGATGCAGCCCACACAGAAGAGACAACTGGTGTCAGTCATCTTGGATCCTGTCCATAAGGCCCCCGAGAGGGTCAAGGGGCCCCACCCCAGCAGTACTGTGCATGCCACAGATCTGGGGCTAGGAGGAAGGAACATGTCAGCCTGCGTGCATCAGCCTGGGTCACAGGAGCCACAAAAGGGAGACGCCCAGGACAGAGTCAGCCCAACAATCGGTGGCCCCAGCAAAGGCAGCATCATCCTTACTTCTCCGATGAATTCTTTTTTTTCTAAGATGGAGTCTCACTCTGTGGTATAGGCTGGACTGCAGTGGTGCAATCTCGGCTCACTGCAGCCTCTGCCTCCTGGATTCAAGTGATTCTCCTGCCTCAGCCTCCCGAGTAGCTGGGATTACTGACACCCACCACCATGCCTGGCTAGTTTTTGTATTTTTAGTAGAGACGGGGTTTCACCATGTTGGCCAGGCTGGTCTCGAACTCCTGACCTCAAGTGATCCACCTATCTCAGCCTCCCAAAGTGCTGGGATTACAGGTGTAAGCCACCAGCCCTGCTCCAAAGAATTCTGCACAGGCTGGTCTTTTCCTGGCATTCTTTCTCTTTGAAACATTCTGACCAGCCGAAGATACTGTGTCCTGTAAGTGGCCCTGGCTGGGAACTACTGGTCAACCCTCCCTGCAATAGTAATATTTCACTAATATGTCTGGATATTGAGCATCTAATAGAATTTTGGTATTTTTCCCCACCAAGTGTCTCTTTTTGCTGTTGTAACTTAGGTTGGAGCATGAATGAATAAGTTGAGCAAGATCTTGGAAGTCACTTCTGTAATTCTTTCTTGTTTCCAATGAGAAGTGAGGCTGA
Organism: Homo sapiens; assembly: GCF_000001405.40. NCBI lineage: Eukaryota > Metazoa > Chordata > Mammalia > Primates > Hominidae > Homo > Homo sapiens. The sequence continues at coordinate 234,813,069 of NC_000002.12, read as the reverse complement.
GACAGGCTTCATGGTTTTTCCTTGCTCAGCAGATAGCTAATCGGTGGCTGAGCTCAAGCCAGATCCCAGCCCTGAACATAATCGTGTGAGGGAAGAGAATATAATTAGGTGGTCAAATAAAAATGATGCCAATAGGCAAAACTGAGCTTCATTGCCTGGTGCCTCTAAAACATTAGATGGATTTTGTTACAGGGATGGAAAAAGAATGATCAGCTGATCCTTTCCTCTCTAATGTAAACTCCAAACTGGCAGTCACCTTCTCTCTCCTGGGTATTGTTACGTCCCTAGCAATGTGCCTGGCATATTGAAGGTGCTACAGGAAATGTCTGTTCAGAGATTAAATGAAGAGTAACAGGTTTAAAGCCTTTTTATCTTACCTATAAAGTTATTGGGTGTCTGCAAAGAAATTTCATCATTGGAAATTTTGTTTCACAGTTAATTAGAATTTCATAACGTCATTCATGTTATCCCTTCAAGAATGTACTAAGCATATTCTTGAGCATTTTTATCTCTCTTTCTTGACATTTTAAAGGTTCAGATACCAAAAAAGGCATTTGCTGTGATTAAATGTTGCTTTAGGTACAAGAAGAAGGGGACGCAGGCTGAGGCATGGTGGTCAGTGAGCTTGTACTCACCATGTCTGGCTGCCCAATTCGTCCTGGAGCTTGGAGCTTGGGTGTGATGTGTGTGTGTGTGTGTGTGTGTGTGTGTGTGTGTGTGTGTATCTGCTGGGAACAGGGTGCCTTTGCAGTTAATTTGATTAATGTAGTAGGCAGAATAAAGGCCCCCCAAAAGATGTCTTAAGCCCTGACCTGTTACCTTACCTGGCAAAAGGGAAGTAAAGTTGCAGTTGGAACTAAGATTGCTAATCGTCTGACCTTAAAATTGGAAGATTATTCTACATTACCTGGGCAGTCCCAATGTAATCACAAGGACCCCTAAAAGTGGAAGAGAGGGCAGGAGAGGAGTCAGAGTTGGAGAAGGAGAGGTGACAGTGGAAGCAGCTCAGGGTGATGTGCTGTGAGAAGGACTCAGCCCAACCTCGCCAGCTTTAAAGATCCAAGAGGGCCATGTGCCAAGGAGTGCAGGGGTCCCCAGAAGCTGAAAACAAGAAGAAAGCATGTTCTCCTCTAGAGGCTCCAGAAAGGAACCTGGCACTGCTGACACCTTGGTTTCAGCCCAGCGAGACCCAAGACCCATGCGGGACATCAGCCTCCAGAATTCTAACACGATGGACACATTTGTATTGTTTTAAGCCCCTGACTTTGTGCTAATTTGTTACAGCAGCCATGGGAAATTAATAAAGTCAACTTGGATGGACAGTGAGACATGCATGTCAAGCCTACAAACATGAATGATGATTGATTTGTCAAAACCAAAGCGTTGAAGCTTACTCTGTACCACTGAAGGTAATTGTGCTCATCCAGGCACTGGAACTATCTGGAGGGGACTCTGTATTATGGAGAGTTATTACCTGTCTTCCCTCTGTAGGCTGTAGGGAAGGTAAACCAGCCAGCATGTTTTTATTAGGTTAATCAGATCTTTACCATCGAATAAGAAAAACCAGAAGAAGAGTGGGTTAGAAATCTGAGGCCCACATCAATCACAACTTTTGTGTAAGCGGCATATTTTATTGCCTTTTATCATTTGTAAAAGACGGAACTGCCAGCGTCTGATGACTGTCAGATGTACAAATTATATTCTACCTGCTTTAAGAAGAGTGCGGTTGCAAGTCCTTAACGGTGTGGAGGCACACAGCAGCTCTGATGGGGTTTCCCAGTTTTACTCTCCATCACCTGCAATGACGGTGAAATGAGATGAAAAGTTCAACCCAAGTTGCATGAGGATGTTCCCAGGCTAATGCAGGGAATCTTCGGTGAGAATGAAACTCTGGTTTTTTTTCCTGAGTCTGGTATACCTTGGGTCTTTGAAGTTTGTAAGATTAGAATCTTACGTGCAAAATGATGTATTATCGATTCAAGTTTCAGAAACTTTCATACTTTAGCCTTTTAGCTAAAGTTTTAAAAACATCATGTTTTTGATTTCCATTTTTAATTCAATACCATGTTTTAAAGAAGCTTTGTTGGCTCTAAAGCTTTGAGTCGAGCTTTTCCTGCAAATACTCTGTGATGCCAGTTTCTGAACCTGAGCTTTATTAATATGGACAGCGAGGCCGCCTTTCAGCTAAAGGTTTTGCCCTGGGCAGTAGGGGAGTACTTTATCAGCCTGCTCTCCTCTTGCTTAGGCGCTTGGAGTATTTAGTCAAATCAACACTGGCTTCTCTCCTGACCTTCCATTCATTATTCCTGACACCAGAACCCGGCTGGAGAAGGGCACATCGAGGCTGCCTCCAAGTCATGAAATTGTCCAAACAGGATTTCTCAGAAGTCACGAGAGCTGGAGAGAAAAATCAAATTGTGTGATATAATAAATACTTTTTTCCTTCTCACAAATTGCAGATGACGAAATGTGACTCTCTCCCAGGCTGTAGTAGTTTGTTGAGGTCTCACCTGATGTGTTGGCAAATGGTACTCATTTCCTTAGACACACCACACGTCACAAAAACCCAATGACTTCTTCAAACTCAAGAGAGGCTGAGCAGTGCCACTGTTAGCATGGCCTGCTGAGTCACTTCTGTTGGGGACTTGAGTGGAAGGAGAAAGCTCGAATCCATGAGTGGGGTTTCATCCATTTGCCGTATTGGTTCACGTGCACAGTCTTTTGGGGACACGTTTAATGATGATGGCCGCTGATGGAAGGCATTGTTCAGTAGCTGAGGGTAAGATCTGAATAGAGCAAGCCCAAGCTCTGAGCTCATGGAGTTTCGTGCAAGCCAGGAAACAGATTGGAAGCAAGTCAACAAGGTGCTGTGTTAGATGAGGTGTTCAGGAAAGGTTTCGGCGGGGGGGGCAGACATCTGAAGAGAAGGGTAAGAGAAGGTTTGAGTGACACATACACCTGCGGGCAGAGGACAGCATATGCAGAGACTCTGAGGTGTGTGCATAGGGCTGGAGGCAAAACCAGGAGCAAGGCTAGGGCGCAGCAGAGCAAGTGGGAGGGGTGTGAAACTTCACTGGAGGGGGTTTGGGAGGCTGTGATGAGGACTTGAGACTGTGATGGAGACTTGTTGGAACCTCTGAGCAGGGTGGTGTCTGGACTAGATTGCTGTTTTAAAGGAATCACTGTGGTTGCCATTTGGAGAAAATATCAGAGGATCAAAAGTAGAAATAGAGAATGCAGTAAGGAGGAAACTACAGTGATTTGGGCAAGAGGTGATGGGAACTTAAGGGGAGAGCAGAGGAGGTGGTCAGACACAGATGAGTTCTGGTTCTGTTGCATAGGTTGAACCTGTAGGATTTGCTGAAGGATTGGATAGGAGACACAGAGAGAGAATGTGAGAAAGAGAAAGTTGGGGGCAGAAAGAAACAAGAGGAAGAAGGAGGAGAGGAGAGGAAGAAGGAGGAGAGGAAAGGAAGGAGGGAGGGAGGGAAATCTCCAAGGTTTTTGGCCTAGAACCTTGGAAATCTTGATGTTTATTTTCTGAAATGGACAGACTGACAGTGGGGAGGGCAGTCATGTGGAGGGAGGGAGGGACCGGGAGCCTGCTTTGGCCATGTTAAATGTGACTGCCCGTTCGATGTCCAAGCAGCATCAACAATGCCCGGTGTGGAAGGACGTTTTCTAGCCCTGGCTGAAATGCGTGCAGGTCTTTGGTTGGTTAAAAGAGGGGCTGGTATCCTCATTTGCATCTGCCCTTCTTTGCTCCTGCCACCCATTATGGGTGAGCCTGGGGCCATTGGCTGCCTTTCTAATGGCTTTTGCTGCTGCCTGGCTCACCTCTCTCCACCAGTTCATCCTTCACTCCACTGCCCAAATGATCTCTCTGCAACATGAATCTAATTGTGTTACTGCCACTGCACGCTTTTCTAAGGCTCAGTATAACCTTTGGAATACAATTCAAATCCCGGGCCTCTCCTGGCCTGGCTTATCCACTCACTCTTCTCTGCAAGTCATGCTCCAGCAACACTCAGGAATTATGATCATAACAATGAAAATAACACACTTTCTTGAATGTCCCTGTGTGCTCAGCTCCATGCTGAATGCTTTTCATGAATTATCTCACTTAATGCTCACATAAACTATACAAGGTAGTTAGTATCATTACCTGTACTTTACAGATGAGAAAATTGACATTTAGAGAATTAAGAATTACATTAAGTAAATTTCTCAAGCTCTCATGGCTTGTAAAAGACTATTAGAACTTGATCCCAGGTTCTTTTTGTAAGGTCCAGACCCCATGCTCTTGACCACTGTACCTGTGATTCCCAGATCAGCAGCAGCAGCACCATGCAGCCACTTGTTAGAAATGTAGCTTCTTGGCCTGGCATAGTGGCTCACACCTGTAATGCTACCACTTTGGGAGGCTGAGATGAGAGGATCACTTGAGCCCAAGAAATCAAAACCAGCCTGGGGAACATGGTGAGACTCCCTCTCTACAAAAATTAAAAGACCAGCTGGATGTGGTGGCACATGCCTGTCATCCCAGTTATTCAGGAGGCTGAGGGAGGAGGATCACCTGAGCCCAGGAGGTAGAGGCTGCAATGAGCTGCGTTTGTGCCACTGCATTCTAGCTTGGGTGACAGAGAGAGACCCTTTCTCAAAAAAAAGGAAATGAACAAAACAACAATAACAAAACAAAACGAAATGCAACTTCGTGAGGCCCCACCCCAGATCTCCTGAATGAGAACCTCTTGGGTGGAGCCCAGCAACTTGAGTTTTCTCAGGCCCACAGGTGACTCCATGAGACCACTGTGCTGCACTATATTGCAGTTACACTGGCATGCTGTGCTGTGTATGCTGTATTAAGCCTTAGGTCTTTGCAGATGCTGCTCATCTGACAGCAAATCCTCTTCCCTATGTCAGCCTGGTGGACTCTGAATCTTCCTTCAAGACTCGTTTCCCAGGCCCTGAGAAGTCTTCTTTGGTCTCCTGACCCATGAAGGCATCTCCTTTCCATGCTGCCAGAGGATGCTGCATCCTAAGGGTTTCTTGCTGTCATTAGATACAGAGTTTGTTCTGGTGACTTAATTTCTCTGAGCCTTCTCTGCTAAGGGGCAACAATGATATTTACCTGCAGGGAGTTTGGCCCAGGTGATCTTCTGAATTTCTTTCTTGTTTTAAGAGCAATAATTAATGTTTGAATTTAAAGGCTAAATTAGCAACAAATAGCCTCCTCATTCCCAACCAATCTCTTAACACGCCTGTAATCCCAGCACTTTGGGAGGCCAAGGCAGGCAGATCACTTAAGGTCAGGAGTTTGAGACCAGCCTGGCCAACATGGTGAAACCCCATCTCTACTAAAAATATCAAAAATTAGACTTTTCTGACTAGGCTTAACTGAGTTAGGGACACCATTTGCAGGAACATAAACAATGTAGGGTGTCCCATAGAGTAGAGGGGAACCTCTGAGCAGGGTGGTATCTGGACTAGATTCCTGTTTTAAAGGAATTATTGTGGTTGGGTGGGTAGAGGGGTGCTTGGAGGACCCAGATGATGAGGTGAAGATCTGAGGTACTCCCAAAAGTGTTTGGGAGATGATACTTACAACACTGATTGCCATTTACAGCATTGTGCACCTATAATCCCAGCAACTCTGGAGGCTGAGACAGAAGAATCATTTGAAGCCAGGAGGCAGAGGTTACAGTGAGCCAAGATTGCATCAGTGCACTCCAGCCTGGGTGACAGAGTGAGACTCTGTCTCAAAAAAAAACCAAAAAACAAAAAACAAATTGGAAGCAAGCAAAACAAAACAAAACAAAAAACCATTGAGAAGAACCGTTTCTAGCATAACATCAAGGCTAAAATTATTCATATATAACTGCACACAACTTAAAAAAACTTGTTTTAGTTCATTTTCTGCTGCTATAATAAAATATCACAGACTAGGTAATTTATAAAGAAAAGTAATTTATTTATCTTATGGTTCTGGAGGCTGGGAAGTCCAAGACCTTGGTGCTGGCTTTTGCTTTGCTTCTGGTGAGGGCCTTCTTAATCTGTCATCCCATGGCAGAATGTGGAAGGGCAAGGAAGCATGAGGGACAGAGAGAACACAGGAGCTGAACTTCAACCTTTTTATCAGAAGGCAACTTCCACAATAACTAACCCACTTCTACAATAAATTAAGTGAACCTCTGGCAGTGGCCAGATTACTGGATTCTGCGGGTGACATGCTCCAAAGCACAGTGTCTCTGCTCAAAGCTCACGAGAGTGAGCCGACATTGCTCAGGTGCCCAGGCTTGAAGGGTGTCCACCAACACACAGCCAACACTCTGTGTTCTCCAGAGTGCAGGGCACTAATGGTGATCTCTGGAGTCCTGGGAAAGTCCTTGTCCTCCCTCTCATCTTCCCCCAGCACAGAACACCACAGCCAGTCAAGAAAGAGTGTGGCAGGCTGTGGGTGACCGGATGTGTAGACTCATAATCTAATTACCTCTTAAAGGTCCCACCTCTTCATATTGTTATAAAAAAAAAAGGCAATTAAATTTCCATATGAGTTTTGGAGAGACATTTAAATTATAGCAAAACAAAACTAAAATAATACAATAACAACACAAAACTTAGGAATGGTAAAAGATGCTAAAAATACATAAGATGCATAAAAACTGGAGAAAATATTTGAAACATGTCTGACCAGAAAATCCATAAAAAAAAGAGGCTAACTAAAAACTGGTAAGAAAAAATTCACAAAATAAATCCAAATGGACAATAAACTTATGAAAAAAATGTCCAGGGTTACTGTTAATCAAATAAATAAAACACTTGAGAAATGAGGCCCTTTTCACTTATATTGGCAGAGAGAAAATAAGTGAGAACTAATCGTTGGTGTAGATGGGGGATGGGGACTCTCCTGTATGGCCCACAGTGGGCTGCCTGGGCTCTTGGCTCAACCTTCTTGGAAAGTGATTGTGCATATTCAGTGGTGTGGTCAGGAAGAAGAATGTTTCTGCCTCCATCCATCAGATGCCATAATCAGAAACACTGATGGCCCATGGGCAGACAGCTTCTGTGGTCATTAGTGTGGCTTTCTCCTCTAGCTGGCCCTTTGCTTCCCACACCACTCACTGTGTTGACAGCCCTCTTCAATAGGCTTTGTCATTCTCATTCTTGGCAACAAAATCTATTTCATGTCAATTCCACTGTTCTCTTAATTCCTGGATGTGCCTGTTTATTCTTCTACCTTTACTTTTCTGACTAGGCTTAACTAAATTAGGGACACCATTTGCAGGAACACGAGCAATGTAGGGTGTCCCACAGAGTAGAGGGGAACCTCTGAGCAGGGTGGTGTCTGGACTAGATTCCTGTTTTAAAGGAATTATTGTGGTTGGGTGGTAGAGGGGTGCTTGAAGGACCCAGATGATGAGGTGAAGATCTGAGGTACTCCCAAAAGTGTTTGGGAGATGATACTTACAACACTGATTTCCATTTACAGCAATGAAATGAAGCTCTGTTATTCATTTTCGCTCTCACAACTGCTGTGTCCCTTCAACCTTAAATGGAGAATCCTTGAGTTACTTAGCCTCAGGAGGGGAGAAGGCTAGAGAAGTCCCAGGGGATGGAGAATGAAGATTATAGACCAAACAGCCAGGGCTGTGAGGCCAGGCTAGGATGGAGGTGCACCCCCCTTGATTTAAACTATGCAGGTTGAAAATTTAGCACAGCCCGGGCCTCTGAAGAAAGAGAGTCTGGACATTGAATACTGAAGTCTTGTTTGTCAGCTCTAGACAAGAAACCGTGTCCAGAACAGGCCTGCCACCTACTAGGTTCTCAGTGAATGTGTTGGGAAATGAATGAGTGGTTGCAACTGAGATGAATTCACACAGGTGTTAAAGCAGATGGTTGTCCATCGCCCTCCCTGCCTCATCCTTCTAGCTCCTACATTCTTCTGGCTCCTACATTTCTGTGTAGTCTGTGGACTTTCAAATGCCACCATCTACACCTCTCTGTCCACTCTGCCCACATGCCGGATAGGCTGGAAATGCCAGGGAAACCTTCACTCCACCCCAGCAGCCCTGAATGAGAGAAGCTAGTTGATAAATGTTCTGAGCCTTCACCCCTTCATGGGACAACCCCTTGGCATGATCCCAGCTGGCTCTCAGAGTTCCCCAGAACATCAAGACACAGTGGCCACAGTGGAAACTTATTTGGTAACAAACCCTTTATTGGCTTCTTGCTCATCCCTGTTTCACTTCTCCCTCCTGCACCTCTGTTTCCTGGTATCACCTTCTAAATACAGTACTTGCTCTTAAACATTTCTGATTCTATGTCTAGGGGAACCCATGTAAGAAGTGGTAGAGTCCTTAGATGCTCCAGAGCTGGAAGTGTATCCTTAAAGTCAGCAGCATAGCCAAGCAGTGAAGCACATGAGCTGGAATGCACTGACCTGGAAGTCATTGGCTTATTTTCTGTGTCTGAGAATCTTCCTATGGATTGTTATAACTTGCTGACAATAAGACAATATTTGCCACGTGGCACAAGGACTTCACATGGAAAGGGCTTCTTGAATACATGTATAATTTCTTTAGAACCTCACTCAGGCAGAATATGCCATCACCAGTGATGTGAGAAGAGGGTCTTTGCCCTTTTATCCCTTGTTGTCTATCCAATGCCTAGAACAGCAGTAGGAATTAGGTAGGTGCAGAATTCATATCAAATGAATGAAACTGATTCACCACAAAGGACTGGATTCTGTTTTGCAAACAGCATTTTCATATTTTTCATTTTGCGGTGTGCTCTGTCTGAATTAACTGTCCTATAACATCACTTACAATCACAACTCTCTCTTTGTGGCTCTGACTGAATTTTTGACCAGCTTTTATATTGAATAACACATTCTATGATTTGCAAAATGTTTATTTCAACCAATTTTATCAAAATTATATTTCTAGTCTTTTGTACAATTTAAGTTTGTTCATTCCCCATGAAGGTGTCACTTTATAATAAGTAGCGTGTACTCGCAGAGATGAATTCTGAGGAACTGAGGTCTCCTGCCAACAGCCAGCATCAACTTGCCAGTCTTGTGAGTGAATCATCCTGGAAATGGATTCTTCAGCCACAATCAAGCCTTCAGATGACGGTAGCCCTGGCTGAGAGCTTGACTGCAACTGTGTGAGTGATCCTAAGCCAGAACCACCAGCCAAGCCACTCACAACTTCCTGACCCACAGACACTGTAATAGATGTTTATTGTTGTTTTAAGCTGCTAAATTTAGAGTCATTTGTTTCACAGCAATAGATAATGGATACATATCCTAATTACTAAATAGGTAGAGATGAGACAAATGATCTGTAGGAAAGGAATACAGTTGTACAACAGCAAATAAACAATGAAACTGAGTCTGAAATGTGTCCTTATAAGGACAGAATTTTCTTTCTTTTCTTTCTTTCTTTCTCTTTCTTTCTTCCTTTCTCTTTCTTTCTTCCTTTCTCTTTCTTTCTTTCTTTTTCTCTCTTTCTTTCTTTTTCTTTCTCTCTCTTTCTCTCTTCTTTATTTTATTTTTCAGAGTCTTACTCTATCACCCAGGCTGGAGTGTAGTGGCATGATCTCTGCTCACTGCAACATCTGCCTCCTGAGTTCAAGCAATTCTCATGTCTCAGCCTCCCGAGTAGCTGGGATTACAGGCATGCACCACCACACCCAGCTAATTTTGTTGTATTTTTAGTACAGACAAGGTTTCACTGTGTTGGCCAGGCTGGTCTTGAACTCCTGGCCTCAAGTGATCTGCCTGCCTTGGCCTCCCAAAATGCTGGGATTATAGATGTGAGCCACAGTGCCTGGCCTAGGAAATAATTCTTTAAGGGAATTAATTTGCTGGTCTCTGGGGGCTAGTCTTGAATGATTGTCACTTAAAATCTTGTGCATCCAGGGAACCAAATATGTCAATATTTGCTGAGCATTCTTAATGGAGGTGGCATGAAAGTGAAAAAGGATTGTGTTGATAATACACTGTCCTGGGTTAAGAACCACACTCTGGTCATGTGAGTACAATCATGTGCAACAACCAGGAAGACTACTACTGTTCACTGGGTGCCATTTCTTCTGCACAGGGAGGTGGTGATAGCTCTTGTCCCATGTGGCAAAGGGAATCATCTGAGCGCTGAACCATCTGGTTTTCATTTCTCCCAATTTCTATTGATTGTCTCCCTGTGCCTCCCATGGTTCTTATCCCATAGATATTTTGCTAAAAATATAGCACTTTAAAAAAGTTTTAAAAATAGCTATTTGGGAGTAATTCTTAGCCTTGGCTAATGCAATAGCTGAAAGTTCACTTTCAGTGGAAATCAATAGATTGTGTAGAGGCTTTGGCTCCCTCCGGTCTGCCCTGTAAAAATGCGGGCTGCCTGCTTGACTTGTTTTCACCAAAGTAACTCCTCTTATCATCTGAGTAGTCTTTGTTAGGGTATCTGTGTTTCCTGCACAATCAATGCACATTCCTGGTCTGTGGTGGTGAAGGGGGTTGTTTGACCTGTTCACTCCCTTTGGGAAGAGGAAGAGTTTCTCTGTTGGAGGTCCCAACTGAAAACGAATCCTTCTTCGACATGGACCATCATGCATCCTATGGAATGCCAGCCAGTGCTGCCCATGAGCTGCAGCACTGGGTCTGTTAGGGTGCCCCAGCACCTAGCATAGTCTAGGCATATGAAGGGGCCCAATAAATGTTTGTTGAATGAATGGTTGATGTTCAAGCATTCCATGCCCAGTATTGTGTAGTTCACCTATATCTTGTCTCAAAATCTGCAATCAATGCAAAAAGTAAGTACACCTTGCAAATAATGTTTGAATATTCAACAAGTACTTAATGATCTCCTAATGTATTCCAGGCACCATTAGGTGGTGAGGCTCCAGGCCTGCTCATCTACCAAAGGAGGACAATAATATCAGCCTTTCAAGGGTGATAGGAAGATCCAAGGGTGGGTTCACTGCAGTGCCTGGCACAGAGTAGGTGACTATCTTACATGATAGTCGTCTGTCTGACTTGTATGACCTGTTTGGTTTTCTGGCCACATGGGTCTCCTGGTACTAGATAATTCCAAGCAGCAGGCATCTTTGTACCACCAGTGATTGAAAGTAATGAAATGGGGTGTCAGCCTCACGTGTGCTATGTACAAGAGATATGGCAGAAATCCTGGGAGACCCAGGTACATGTTTGCAGGACTGGCTACATAATTGGCATGTCCTAGTGCACAATGAAGATGCAGAGTCTTTTATTAAAAAATTATTAAAAATTTTAAAATGACAACAGTGGAGAATTAAACCAAGCACAGGCCCTATGAGCATGGGTCCTTGAGAGCTGGCACAGGCTGCCTGCTGGTGAAGCTGGCTCTGGTGTGCTACAGCCTTCACTCCTCTGGGCCCAGCAGGGAGCTCAGAGGATGCCCTGGGCTGCCTCCTCAGAGTGGATCTCAGTCACTGGTCTCAAGTTTTGAACCTTGGAGTTTGGGTGGCTGGACTAGTCCAGGATGATTCTGCCCTACACAAGCAATTTTTTCATGATCTAGCTTGGCCCCTCCAAAAGAACCGAGTCAAACCTTACGACAGGCATCCTGGCCTGGCGGCTGAGTCAGTTTAACAGTTTGAGGAGAAGGGAGCAGGAGGGGGTGTGTGCCTCATACCTGCTTTCCCTGTGGTCATTAATCATCCCAGACCCATCCTCCCTGCTCTGCTGTTATCTTCAGCAGCCCCTCTAATCCCATCCACCCACCCGGCTGCTGGTTCCCCAGGACGGCAGGGCTCTTTGATTCCAGCCATGCCATACTGAGTGCTTTACTGAAGCTCCAAGAAACATATCAGCCTTCTCATAGTAGGTACCTGTGAGGGCCAGCTCTGCCCATTCCCACCATTGGATTTGTCCCCAGATTTTTCTGGTGGAACCATGGGAAGCCAGGCCCTTGTTTGATGTCTGTGCAACATTCACATCCAAGGATTCAGGTCACTTTCCTATCTGGACCTGGGCCCAGCAGATAACTATACTGACCGGCAGGTCCGGAACATTCATTCTCTCATTTAACAAGTATTTATTGGACACCTACCGCGCCAGGCGCTGTTTTAAGCCTTGCAGATACAGCAGAGAATGGGAGAGAGGAAGGCATTTGTCCTAATGGAGCTTGATGGGGAGACAGGTAATAAATGAAACAATAAGTGCATTGGGGTGATCCAGCCAAGCTCCTCCACCACAGCCGGGCTAATCTCCAAAGCAGGCAGCATACAGGATGTCAGACAGGAGTGGAGGCAGCAACAAAAATAAAGTAAGGGAGGTGGATGGGAGGTGCTGGTGTGGGAGGCAGAATTTTAAAGTAGAGAGGCTGGGGAAGGGCTCCCGGGGGTCATGGGTGAGTAGATCTGGAGGAATTCCAGGTGGCCACAACCTGGGGGCATGGTCTTTGGTCCTGAGTGCATGACAGCCTACGCTTGACACAGAGGTGATGCCCTTTGTAGTCTTCATCTCCCACTCTATCCCAGCACCGGCACTTGCTCATTGGGGTCCATGATCCTACAACACTTGGAATACTTGGGCTGCTGCATCATTCTGTCCTGTTGCTGGTCCCTGCAGAAGGGGATAGTCCTGGCTTATTGGGCAGCCTTGGCAGGAAAGCTGTCCCTGTACCAGGCATGGGTTGAGCCTTTGGAATTGGTGGCCAATGTCCCAGTGCTGCTGCTAGTGAGGATTGTGAAGGTCCATGTATTGTCAAAAATGAACCTTCAATAACACTTATTGACACACACTTATTGGCCGTGTGTTTCAATAAAAAGGAAGAATGAAAGGCATATTCCAACCCATTGGGTCTGTTCCATGCTCTGAAAATGGCCTGACATTCATACCTGGTTTCTCTCTGGCCTATAATGGTCCCAGCTCCATCCTCCTTGCTCTGCTGTTATCTTCAGCAGCCCATATAATGCCACCCACCCACCTGGCTGCTGATTCCCCAGGACAGCAGGGCTTTTTGATTCCAGCTGCCCCACGCCGAGTGCTTCATAGAAGCTCCAAGAAACATACCAGCTGCCATGTAACAATGCCATGTAACACTTCTTTTCTCATCTTGCAGGCCAGAATTTAGTCATAAGGCCACATCTGATTTCAAGGGAGCCGTGGAAAGATAGTCTTTATGTGCACAGTGGAGAACCAGGGCCTTATCCCAAGGAAGAAGGGAGAGCAGGCATTGGGGGTGGGTAACCAGCCGTTATACCCTACACCTGGTGAGAACACTGACACCATTTGTCCTTTGGTGGAGAAATGAGGCACCCCTTTCCTGGGATAACACCTGGCCTTGTAGAGACCAGCATGGGTGGTCTTGGACCTAGACAGCCTCCCCAGTCTGATGACCCAGAGAGGCTGGTGGTGGACAATGCAGGACACATCAGATTTCTGGGGACGTAGAGATCTGCCCTCGTGCCTGGTGAAAGACCATTCTGGAAAGGCGACGTAGTGCACAGTGCTCTCCTGGTCTTTTTTTTTTTGTGAATTGTCCCCCCAAAAAGTTGGCCTTTATATTAGCTAAGATTAAATTTGGCTACCTATAACACAGAAACCCAAATAGAAGATGTCTGAAAGAAGAGAGAAATTTATTACTCTCTCATGTAAAGGAAGTTCAGAGGTAGGAAGTCCAGCCCTGGCACGGAGGCTCCCTGAGGTTTTAAGGGGTGCAGACACATTTCAACACTTTGCTCTGCTACCTCTGGGATGGAGGCTTCATCTTCTGGTTGAAAATGAAGGTTAGGCTGGGCGTGGTGACTCATGCCTGTAATCCCAGCACTTTGGGATGCTGACATGGGAGGATCGCTTGAGCCCAGGAGTTCAAGATCAGCCTGGACAATATGGCAAGATCCTGTCTCTACTAAAAACTTAGCTGAGCAGGGTGGCACTTGCCTGTAGTCCCGGGTACTTGGGAAGCTGATGGGGAAGGATCCCTTGAGCCCAGAAGGTGGAGGCTGCAGTAAGCTATGATCACACCATTGCGCTCCAGCCTGGGTGATAGAGCAAGACCCCATCTCTAATTAGAAAAAAATAGAAAGTGGTGGCTAGACTTTCAACACATCTATATTTTATGCTGCATGGTGGGACAAGGGGTAAGGGGAAGCAAAAGGCATGTTCCTGCTGTCTTTTAAGAATATTTTTGGAAGCTGCCATGTAACACCTCTGTTCTCATCTTGCTAGCCGTAATTTAGTTGTGAGGCCACATCTGACTTCAAGGGAGCCTTGGAAGGAGTCTTTATGTGCCCAGTGGAGAACCAGAGCCTTATCCCAAGGAAGAAGGGAGAGCAGGCATTGAGGGTAGGTAACTAGCAATTACGCCCCACACCTGGTGAGAACACCGACACCATCTGTCCTGACTCTGGGTCACAACTCAATGGATTGGGGGTGGACCCTGATCCAAGCCGGGCAAGCAGTTTCTCTCCCCCAAGAAACTTTAAACTGGGATTCAGAGGCATGAATCAGTCTCTGCAAGAAGCTCGAACTGTGGGTAGGTGGGCTTCAGAGAAGGGTATCGGCTTTCTTCCTGGGGAGATAGAGAAAGCTGGACTGCATAGAAGAATGAAAAAGGGGGCAAAAAAGAGGAAGGGAGGAGGGGATGAGAGAAGAAAGTGGTTGCAGGTGGGTTGTTAATGTGCTCAGCAGTTTTTTTTTTTTAAGTCTGACTCTTCTGCAGGGCTTCCCAGTAAGCACAAAGTGCACAGTGAGCTTTCTACGTGTTATGGGTTGAATGGGAGTGAGCAAAAAGATGTATCTATGTCCTACCCCCAGTACCTGTGAATGAAACCTTATTTAGAAAAAGCCTCTTTGCAAGTGTAATTAAGTTAAAGAGCTCAAGATGAGGTCATCTTGATGGGTCCTAAATCCAAGGACAGGTGTCCTTATACGGAGAAGGGAACACAGAGGGGAAGGCTGGGTGAGGATTAGAGTGATGCGGTGATTAATCCCATCTGCGTCCCTAGATGCAGCTCGTTGCTATGCAGCATCTTGTACAGACGGCTCACACATGTCCAAGTCTTCAGATAGTTGACCGAGGCCTTGCAAACAAAGGCAAACTCATACCTAGAATATACGTCGATTTCAGTCAAGACGAATCCCCTGTGCTGTCCAGAGTGTCAGGGTTTTATGTAATCACCTTGCCCCCAGGTGGCTGGTTGGACTGAAATTGTACCACATCCGGGCTCAGCATCGGTTTCTGTGGCTGGCAGACATGACATCTGGAAATAGCAGCAGCTAGATTGGCCTTAGTGAATTGAAGTTCCTTGCTGTCGAGCCATGCATAGTCTCCATTGCTGTCACGGTAGCTATTCCTTCCACAAACCCCTGGGGCCAGCACTGGGTGGATAATGACAGAGACTGACGTTTACTGCCTGAGTCCTTCTCTCTGCTTGTTGCTTTAGTCCCTCCCCTGCGGCAGGTGCTCTCTGGTGGGCATTAACTTGTGATATAAAGGTCTTCACTCTTTATGTCCACTTCCACAGGCCCATCCACACACCTCTCTCCCTGACTTCCTGTCTCCAGTCTTCCAGTCTTTCTACATGAATCTTCAGTCTCTCAACCTTGTACCTTCCAGGCCACTAACTATTCAGTTCAGCCATTTGCCACTGCCCATGAGTCAATGTATACTCTCAACTTGGGGTACATTTCTTTTCCACACAAAATGGATGACCAGGAAGGCGTTTATACCTTTAGGGTCTCCCCATCACTGTAGTTTTACTTTTAGGAATGTATCTCTTAGATCAGTATTGCCCAAGAAACTTGTTTCCCAAAATATTCTTTCAAAAATGGGGTTCGTGGTCAAAGATATTTGGAAAATTCTACACACTCTAGGTGTCCCTTGGAGAAATATGATTCATATTAGCATGTTCATGATTCTGAGAAGTCCTAACATAAAGATATTTTAAACCCATCGTCCCCAACTTTTATTCATAGAAATCTTTTTCTTTTATTAAGAGAGCAAACATATGTTGAAAATTACTAATTTTAATTAACCCCTAAACTCTGGATTTGAAAATGCATATACCCCTGGAGAGGTTACTGAACTACGTCTCACTTTTTTTTTTGTTTTGTTTTGAGATAGGGTCTCAATCTGTTGCCCAGACTAGAGTGCAGTGGCGAGATCTTGGCTCCCTGCAGCCTCGACTTCCTAGGCTCTGGTGATCCTCCCATCTCAGCCTGCCAAGTAGCTGGGACTACAGGCACGTACCACCACACCTGGCTAATTTTTTTTATTTTTTGTAGAGATGAGAGGTCTATGTTCCCCAAGCTGGTGTCAAACTCCTGGGCACAAACTATCCCCGGCCTTCGCCCCCCAAAGTGCTGGGATTACAGGCATGAGCCACCACACCCAGCCTACATCTCACATTTTTGTATAGATGAATGTATTTAATATTTTCTTTATGGATAGAGTGAGTTAATGCAACCTAAAAATTCTGGTTAGTGTAGTAGGAATTAGGAAGAGCAATTCAGATAGAGGAGGGAGACACATCCAAGATGACTTTTGCCCTGTTGACCATTTATCTTCTTTGGTCCTCTGCCAGTCACTCTGTTTATTAAAAGCAGGCTCCACTGACATTTGTGCAGTGGTGGCAAGTTGTAAAAAGACTTTTCTGAGCCTAAGATTAGTGGCGGAATTTATAGCAGTGCTAGAAATGGCAGCATAGAAAACAGAGCTGTAAATTACAGCCAGGGCTGTTAATAAGGAGGAAGATTCTTGCTGTCTAGGATTACCTTGGAGACTCATGGAGGCTGCAGCCTGGTGATCGTATGCAAAACCAGTGAGCTGGAGGGACCATTCGAGCGGGCACCTCCCAGGCCAGTGTCAACAGCGGCACAGTGCGGCTGGCATTCTGATTATGGGGCAAATCCGAGCCCTTGGTCTGTCTTTTGTTTTGAGCTGAGTCTCTTCAGTAGCAGCTGGCTTTAGAACCTTCACTGAAATTGCCGGTTATAAACACAAGCTTTTTGCATTGGTTATCATCTCCCCTTTAACATAGGGAGACTATTCTAGACCTGAGGTTTTGCAGGATAGTTTGCATTAATATTGATAATAGGTTAATAAATCTATGTCTGCAGACACAGGTAACCTTCACATATGGTGACTATATCTAGATTTTAGTTTTGTATTTAAAAAGAAGAGATATTTCGGAAAGCCTGTAGAGACAGAATCCCATGTCTTAGAAATGCACACTGTACAGCATGGATTGGAGTCTAGAAGTGCAGAGCAGAGAACTGTGCAAACAGTAAGTCAATGTGTAAACAGCAATCACCAAGGCATGGGGACTTATGGATTTAGCCCAAATTCCACTTAATACTGAGATCTATTTGTTTTTTTAATCCTTGTCTGGTCAGCAGCACAACACAATTTTAAAATACACGTTAACTCTTCTTTTGAAAGAAAAACCTCAGGCTGCTGTTGCCATGGGAAAGAGTGGGGAGTGCTTGGTCAAAAGACACAGGAAGTAACTGGGACTTCTGCATAGTTAAGAAACCCATCATCTTACTTGGAAATTATCTTCCCACTAAAACAAACATAAAAACAAACGAACAAACACACAGAACGGGCAGTCCATCTCAGTATTTCTGTTCCACCCCAGAGTTACGGGAGCAGGGAGAGTGGAGAGCTGCTTTGAAAGCTCACCTCCTGCTAAACCCTCATGAGAGAAGAACGAGTTTCCTTAGCTCCCATACTGCATGGATCTATGTAGCAGCCTTTAGGGACTGAGGAATCCAAAGCTGTAGGAATGTATGTGATGAAGACTTAGGGGCTATACTTAAATTGTGAACTTCACGCAGCTAAAAAAGAGAGTGAGAGAGAGAGAGCAACTGACTGAAGGCGTGAGAGCAGGCAAGGCAGGGTCACAGAAGAATATCATGACTTAAATACAACCAAGAGGGAGAGCTAGAAAAAGAAGCAGGGCAGGGGGATTTCTCATTTGGCCGGGCGCGGTGGTGCACGCCTGTAATCACAGCACTTTGGGAGGCTGAGGCAGGTGTATCACTTGAGCTCAGGTGTTTGAGACCAGCCTGGGCACCATAGTGAGACCCTGTCTCTACAAAAAATACAAAAATTAGCCAGGCATGGTAGTGCACCTGTAGTCTTAGCTACTCAGGAAGCTGAGGTGGTAGGATTGCTTGAGTCCCGGAGGTAGAGGTTGCAGTGAGCCAAGATTGCGATACTGCACTCCAGCCTGGGTGACAGAGGGAGACCCTGTCTCAAAAAAAAGAAAAAAAAAAGAGTATTATTTGTCACGGATATTGTCATAATTAAGGGAGATGTTTAATGTATACCCTTCATGCCACATCAATCCTTTCTGCTATCTTGGCAAAATTTTGTGTTAAAAGGACTCCTTTGGGGAGCATTAATCAATGAGGATATCTATCTTTTATTGAGCATTTACCAAGCGCCGTTGGGCTAAGCACATGGTGTCACGATGAATTCCCTTAGCAACCTTGAAAGTAGCCTCCATAACCTCTAGTTTAGTTGAGAAAATGAACACTTAGGAAAATCAATTGACCCACAGGGCTAGGTAGGGGCTAAGCTGGGATTTGAACCCAGGTCTTCAGAGAATGGTGAAGGATTCAAACCAGGTGGCCCTAATGGCAAGAAGCATCACGATTCAAGTTCCCTGAGAGGGCAGACTAGGAGGGAAATGTCCTTCCAGAGTGAAGCCTAAATGAGTCTTCCTTTCCCTGTTTGGGGTTTTCACCTGTTACACAAAGTATAGGAGCCCATGTAATTTTTCATAACAATTGGTGGTTTTGCTTTTAGAATTGTGTTGCTTCCAAAAACATCAGGCAGTCAACAGGGATGGTACAGTCTACTGGTTTCAGTCAGATGAGAACTATCGTTCTGCAACGATGCATTCTTAGTGAAATAATTGTGTATCAAACACAATGCCTGACTTTTAAAAGCTATAGGAGGTGAATTAACCCACAACCAATTTATATGACTCTCTTAATCTTCCAAAATGAAAATTTCAGTGCATAAATTCTAAAACACAGGACCTTGGTGTCAACTGTTTAAGGATCACCATTTGCCGACCGCTTTTTAAGACTAGTTTAATAGTAATTTCTGCCTATTTCTTTGAGTCATGACCCGTTAAATTGCCTGTGAATCTCTAGGATAAATTGTGTCCTTGGGTGACCAACTATTTAAATTGGTGATGACCACATTATGCTTGGAATATGTTTTTCCTTATCACTGATCCAGTTATTTTAAATTATAACTCTGTTTTTCAGTTTGTTTTCAACAAACTCATCAAATCTTCAGTCAACTCAAAGATACATGTATATTTGAAGTATTCAGGGAAGAGAACTAAAAAGATACTAATGAAACCGAGCTGTGTCATCAATCTCACCCTCTTTTAAGTTCCCAGAGACTGCAGTGCCCGGCCTTATGTTGGCACAATTTCATTGTGTTGTCACCCACGTTTATGCGGCTGTTTTCTCCAAGGCTGAGCCACTCCAGCTGAGAGCTGCGTCTGACTTGTGGCCTACCAGATGGTGGAGGCTCAATCAGTCTTTGCTGAGCAAATCAATGGATCCAACAAGTAGAACTGAATTATGGAGAAAGAAGAAAGAGGTGAAGCACGGACCGGGTAAGGCTCACCTGAATCAAATCAAAGGGTTTGGAAGACAAAGAAGATGAGTGGATGCATGCATAAGAATGAGGCAGTATCACAAGAGGCGCTGACTTTACAAGAGAATTATGATCTCCCCAGAGACAGACAATCTATCTAGAAAACTTTGCTCTCAGCTCCTGGGTAATTCTGGGTTAAATTAGCTCCATTAGCTCATAAAAACCACCATTAGCTCACCAAAACAAAAAGACATTAATAATAAAGAACTGTGTGTTTTTATAGCACTCTGCTTTTAGCAGCTTTCTCAGTGACATTATTTCATTTGAGCTTCTCAAAAAAAAAAAAAAAAGATTTTCTTCCCTTTTGGTGAGGAGGAGACTAAGGGGTTAAGTGGGAAACCCAAAGCCACCATTTAGTGGATCGGGGGTGCAGCTGGGACTAGAACACACAAGTCTAATATTGTTTTCACTGCTTGAGAAAATAGGACAACCCTAAGGGCCGGCCTGCCTACCCTGACTTGCATGAAAATTGCAAAGAAGCATTTTTATTGAAAAGCTCTACTGCTCTTTTTGGGAAAACCGCTTTCGAAGGGCTGTGTAAAAGGAAAATTGATGGCGGTAATTATGTTCCTTTCAATGTCCCCAGACATCTGCCGGGCTTGCCATTGTCCCGCACCCCGGGGCCTGCACTGCGGTGTCTGCGGGCTGCGCTCAGCCGGCGGGAGCGTCTGAGTCATTTTCCAGGCGGCTTGCTTTGCGTGTCAGCATCCTGTGGTTCCATATTTGTGGGCCAGAGTTTCCCCGCGAGACATGGAACACACGCTGAAGGAGGTCAGGAAGGACGCCTTGGACTGTCAGTTTTTAATTTCTGTTTTCATGTGCAACCTGATGTAGTTCCGCCCGGAAAAGCAACCCCTGTTTTCTTTCTATACCAGACACTACGAAAAAGAGATTTTGGTAGGCCATCTCATTTTAGTTTCTGATTTTTAAAATGAATGCTCCCCCTTTTTTAATCTCTAGTATTTCTTTTTTTTTTTTTTTTTTTTTTTTTTTTTGAGCCTGCATCTTGCTCTATGGTCTAGGCTGGAGTGCAATAGCACGATCTCAGCTCACTGCAACCTCCGCCTACTGGGTTCAGGTGATTCTGCTGCCTCAGCTCCTGAGTAGCTGGGATTACAGGCGCCCGCCACCACGCTTGGCTGGTTTTTGTATTTTGTTAAAGACAGGGTTTCACCATGTTGGCCAGGCTCATCTCGAACTCCTGGCCTCAGGTGATCTGTCTGCCTTGGCCTCCCAGAGAGCTGGGATTACAGGCGTGAGCCACTGTGCCCAGCGATCTCTGGTATTTCTTCTTCATAATCTAGCAGCTGAACCACGTGTGAATTTTCTTCCCTTTCTTCCGTCCTTTCCTGCTCATTTCAGGTTGTAACAGAGCAATTAAAACAAAGTAAAACTGTAACATGTGAACGTGGTAAAATACTAAGATGTCCAGGAGGGTATTTGGGAAAAGCAGGGTGGTTCTAAGTTGTGCAGGTCCAGAAGTTTATACCATGCAAGGCCTTCTCTTTAACAACACAGCAAATGTCTTTGGCAAATCTGACAAAAACAGATGTTTGTATGAGCACATGGCCTGAACGCCAATCCTCCAACCCAGGGCCTCAAAAGGGGCTGTGCTGTGAGGGGCCTCTAAGCTTAAGTCCTCACAGGAAATCCATACCTGGGGAACAGAAGACCCTCCCACTTGCCCCCTGTTTCCTAGTTTCTCTCCCAACAATCACTGTAGCTCTTCTCCAATGCAGCCCTCCAGAGAAAGTGTATGCATGCACAAAGTAAATTTCACCAGTTTCCAGTGTGGCCGAGGGGTCTTTCACTGCAGGGGCTGTTTCCCGAAGCCTCAGGTCATGGTGGCAGGTCACCTAAACACGCGCCTTTGAGGAACCTGTGAGTCCTGGCAATGTGACCCCGAAGAGAACGCATCGTGCAGGAATCTTGAGTGCACTGGGTGCCCGGGAGGCAGGATGCTGGCCAGGTGTCAGCGTTCTCACACAGGAGACCAGCAGCAAGCACAGAGAGAGGGGCCAGATGCCTGCAGGAGGACCCCTGGAATGGAAGCGTCATGCTGGGCACACACGAAACCTCCCGGGGGCTCCAGAAATGAGTGGAGGAAGTTTGGAGGAGGGTTTCAGATCCTAGGCCAGAGGGCTGCCATGAGAGGGGAGGCTCTTGTCACCATGGCGCCATGGGTTGACTTGTTAGAATTTCTGCCACCAGGCTGGCGAGGTCTTGGGGATTCAGGTTATGGCATCAACCAGACCCTCTATGCTCTGTGACAGTAAGACGAACAATCAGAATAAGGCTACTTCTTATCAGCTGAGAGCAGACATCTGAAAATCATACACAAACTCCCTTCTCGGGGCAATCTTGGAAAAAAGGGCCAGCCATTGGCATGAAGAAAAAGATTCTGCAAGGTTGGAGCTCGGCTTCTCGGAATCACATCCCCCCATGTGGGGTCAGGCCAGATGGGGAGAGAGACGGGGTGCCTCTCATGCAGTGTCTGACCTTGTTGGAAACTTGGACTCCTCTCTAGCCCAACTGCTATAGGATTACCCCACCCTAGGATTACGTTAATATTCTATACTCTCTTCTTTGTTATGGGATATTATCTGAATAAACAGAAGGATCAGAAGGGAGACGATCTTCAAAGGAAGCAGGCAGGCCGCGTGCCTCCCTCTGCAGACCACTCGGATGAGTAATTAGCATTTTGAGTCTCTGGTGGATCTTTCCTTCTTACTACAGTCCAACTTTATGTCCTGTTTCTTCATTTAATCTTCTTCACACCTCAGTAGGCTTATTCTCAGTCACATTAAGGCCAGGGCAGAATAGAATATGAAGCTGTGCCTTGAGTTAATTGAAACACAGACACTGGATGGATTAGGGAATGGCTGCAGTGGGTTGGGGAACCCACAGGAGAGTTAAAAAGCGAATCAGCACGCGGATGAGCTACTCAAAGGATGTATTATTTTACAAATATGCAAAAGGACGTGCGGATTTCCTTTTATTTCGTCTTTTCTCCCCTTCCTCCTTCCTCCCTCTCCTCACCTTCCAGCCTCCTCCTCTCATTTCTTTCTCCTTGGCCTGGTGGCAATGGCACCCACACCCCGGTGCCTGTACCCTGGTCTCCACACCCCGGCACCCGCAGCCTGCCACACTCTTTCATGACTGGCTCTGATGTTCTATGCTGGGGGAAGATGAGAGGGAGGACAAGGGCTTCCCCAGGACCTCTCCTATCACCCTCAGTGCCCTGCACTCTGGAGAACACAGAGTGTTGGCCATGTGTTGGTGGACACTCTTCAAGCCTGGGCACCTGAGCAATGCTGGCTTACTGTCATGAGCTTTGAGCAGGGACGCTGTGCTTTGAAGCATGTCACCCACAAAATCCAGTAATCTGGCCACTGCTAGAGGTTCACTTAAGACGCTGAAATGACAACAGGCTGGGTGAACTGCAAAGCACAGGTGTCTGCATTGCTCACCTGCCTGCATGCTGCACCTGCCTTTCTGGGCATCCCTGATGGGGGTGACTCCAGTAGAGACCCGCACGTTCCCACGTCACTCACACACAGAATGGCTGCTTCCATGGCTGTCAGAATGGATAGCTGAGCTTCTGTGATAGCTAATGAGGCACTTTATAAGCAACAAGGATCAATTGGAAAGCTGACTTGCCCATAGAAGAGCACTATCATGAAATAATTAGTTTACACAAAAATGTCTGTGGGCAGGAGAGAATGTGACAGGGCTGACAGCTTGAATCAGGTCACTTAAAAAGACAAAAGCTGGGGGTTTGGGAATCATGGAACCCCCCTCCCATCTGACTCCAGCTGGCCCTGAGACCACATCGGGAGCAGGACAAATATACTATGAGATTTTTAAAAGTCTGTGAGACGTGAGCCTAAGGAGTAATACATGGAGCTAGGTCATGTCTGCCGCAGGAGTCCTGAGCGTGGCCCGATTACTGGACCATAACTTATCCTAGGGAAGGGGTCTGGGATATCAGAGTAGATTGTTGGGGTCCTGCCCAGAGCAGCTGGGGGCAGATGGAGTCCAGAGGGTGACTGTCTTTGCAGTCCAAAGGGGGAGCCCCATCAGACCCTGGGTATGACCTCAAACATGGGGTTCAGATGGCACAGAAGGACAGGGGTCTTGGGGAGTGGCGACCAGGGCAGGCAGGGGAGGGGTGTAGAAGGTGAACTAAGGCAAAAAAGGGTCCAGAGAGTGAGCTGTGAGCAAAGCAAGGGTTCTGGAACTTCTCTTACAAAGTGCTGGCCAAGTCCCAGGACTGGTTGGCTGGTCAGGATTCACTGGAATGGAGCTTTAATGGGATTGGAAACACAAATCCCTGCAGGGAAGTGGTGGGAAGCTAAGAGAACCAACAGGTACATGTGAGGACAGATGGCAGGCACCGGCCGCAGCCTCAGCATCAGGGAGGCAGTAGGGATGGGCAGTGGGTGTAATGAATGGTGGGGGTAGGGTGGGGGTGGGCACCCAGGCTACTCAGCTCTCGCCCATTGTTGCCTGGTGGGGTTGTGGGTTCGATATTGCCAGATCTTCCAACCCAGATTTCCAAGTTAAGCAGAATAATGTTTAAATGTTGAAACTAATGCAGATGTCATTTTCATTTAAAAAAAATTGTTGCAATATAATGTACCTGCAGAAGAGTACTCCTATGATGATGGTACTGCTCAATGAATTTTTACCGATTGAATAATTTCATGCTGTCAAGACTGAGATCAAGAAATTAAACATTTCCAGCCACCGGAAAGCCTTCCTCAGGATCGAATCTAGTCACTCCTGTATCCCTGCCAAGTATAATCACCATCCTAGCTGCTAACAGCACAAATTAGTTTTGCCTGTTTTTGAGCTTTCTGTAAATGGAATCATAACGTTGGCAGTCATCTGTCTGTCTCCTCTCATTTATCATCATGTTTGAGAAATTCATCCATATTGTTGCATGTAGTTTTGTGTTCAAATTTTAAAAATAATCTTACAGGAGTCGAGATGGGGTGAGCAGAGGGATAAAAAGGCTTCCTGCAGTGTGCAAATGGGAGCGTTCAGACATCATAGAACGGCGAAAAGAGCATTTGGCCCCCGTAGAGACTCAGGAATGTCAGAGTCTCATGCCTGTGACACTTTCCCAAAACTTAAGGGTTGACATTATCGAGGACAAAGAAGCCATGGGCCCTGAGTTGTAACTTCCGCAAATCAGACAAGAGGTGTGATGAGTCTCTTGCCATATGAGGCAGCAATAACAATAATAGTAGTAGTCATATCAATAGCTAACATTTGTATGGTACTTACCACGACAGGTCCTGCCGTGTTTTATATATATTATTTAATCCTCATAACTGTATCAGTAACCTGGTTTTACAAATGAGGAAGCTGAGATGCAAAGGGCTTAAGTAACTCCATCTTAAGTAACTTGCCAAAGGTTACAGAGCTAGTAAAATGCAGACCCATACAGTTTTGAGCTCTGAACCAGTTTGCAATGAAAACAGTAAGTCCACGTAGAGACCTGCTCTTCAGGCTGGGCCAGCAGGAGAAGGTGAGCCTCCTGGGAGCCCAGCTTCATTTCTTGTGGGTAGAAGCTTCATTGGATTATCAGAAAAATTCAGTAAGACCTAGGAAAATAAGACCTAGGAAAATGTGTTCTTTGGGTGTGCAGCAGAGGGTGTGCTGATGATCTTATTGAAAAACCCAACACCTGCATGGGTGACACGTCACTGGCTGGTGGCCCCTGCTTTGGTAAAGGATCCCTGGCTTTGTGCACAGAGCTTACAGAGGGTTGCAGGGGCTCAGAGGCAGAGGCCACAGTGTGCCGTATGATGGTTGAAGGGCAATGCAAAGTAGGCTTCACCTTTGAATGGGCTTCATCCATCCCAGAAAACAAGCACTTGGGGGTTTACAAACCCCAGCCACGGGCTGTGGCCTTCTGGTCTAAAATCTCCCCAGACATCTTCATCTGCCCACTTGCTGTGGACTGAATGTTTGTGTCCCACTTCCCGCTCCCGCATGGATATGTAGAAACCTAACCACAGTGTGTGGGTATTGGCAGGTGGGGCCTTTGGGAGGTGATTAGGTCATAAGGGTGGAGGCCCCGTGAATGGGATTAGTGCCCTTATAAAAGAGCCCCAGGCCGGGTACGGTGGCTCATGCCTATAATCCCAGCACTTTGGGAGGCTGGGGAAGGCAGATTGCCTGAGCTCAGAAGTTGGAGACCAGCCTGGACAACATGGTGAAACTACACCTCTACTAAAATACAAAAAATTAGCCAGGTGTGGTAGCATGCACCTGTAGTCCCAGCTACTTGGGAGGCTGAGGTAGGAGAATCGCTTGAACCCAGGAGACAGAGATTGCAGTGAGCCGAGATTGAGTCACTGCACTCCAGCCTGGGTGACAGAGCAAGACTCCATCTCAAAAAAATAGATAAATAAAATAAATAAAAAATAAAAGAGGCCCAGTGGAGACCCCTTGCCCCTTCCACTACGTGAGGACACAGTGAGAAGTTGCCATCCATGAGCAGGAATGGGCCCTCAGCAGACACCGAATCTGCCAGCACCTTGATCTTGGAATCCTAGCCTCCAGAGCTGTGAGAAATACATTTCTGTTGTTTGTAAGCTGCACAGTCTATGGTATTTAGTTACAGCAGCCCGAACTAAGACACCACCCTAATGCTCCACTGCTTACACTTCCCTTCCTTGGTTCTTTCCTCCTTGTTGAGCTTCCTGCTTCAGCTCCTCCTCCTCCCCCCACGTCCCTTCCCTGCACAATACCTTAGGACGGGCGTCTTCGGCTCCCCTTTGGTCTCATTGCTTGGACATGACACCACCAGTTGCTCTATGAAGACACCTCTGCTTCCAGCCCTAGCCAAGGCTTCTTGCCCTTTAACTTTGACTCCAAGCTGGACCTTTTCTCTTTGTCACCCTGGACATCCTTTCACTACGTGGTGGGTAGCATCTGTCTTTGCTTCCTCAGTTTTCCTTACTTGTGTCTGCTGCAGAACATCCTCAAGAAATTTACTCCAAAAAGGTGCACTGGAGGAAATGTCTTTCTTTGGCTCAGCCTTGCAGAAGCAGAAAGTTGGAATGCAACTGATGCAAAGAAGCACTTTTCACTCTGGGAAAAGTAGAGGGCAGACCACTCTGAGCCTCCCTCCTGTCGTCAATAAGCTCTTATCAGAAGCCAACATTGTAAGGATTAAAACTATGACACCTGTGAGATGGCTTGGGGCCTCAGGGGCAGTGGGTGCCACGTGGGCCAAGAGCAGAGTGTAGGGGAAATGCAATGGGGGGTGGG
Organism: Homo sapiens; assembly: GCF_000001405.40. Lineage (NCBI taxonomy): Eukaryota > Metazoa > Chordata > Mammalia > Primates > Hominidae > Homo > Homo sapiens. The sequence continues at coordinate 234,786,115 of NC_000002.12, read as the reverse complement.
GGAGAGGGAGAGGGGCACATGCAGAGAGTGACTGTAAGGAATCAAGAAGAGAGGAATTTCCTGAGGAAACAGGTGGTCAGTATTGAGGATGATTGTCGGCATCATTGCTGTGCTTTCCTGGGCTGCTTGCTTTTCTGGGGAGGGAGGAGAGTGTTGGTCCAACCTAGTTCACCTGTGACTCTTGCACGCATGAGACGCTCTTACTAGCCTTTGTCACTTTCTCTTTGTTGATATATGAAACAGGGTGCCGATCTCCTCCATCCAGGAATACTTTGGCTTCAGTTTCCCCTGGCTGACAGGTAAGAGGTACAGACATTTGATCTTATTTCATCACAGGGAAGCAGCCTCCTCTTCTCATCCCTAGGTCTCCCAGCATCTGTCCCAGCCCTGCTCTTAACGCTGCCTGAGTTGCCCAGGGCTGCCATAATAAACTACCACAAATTGGGTGGCTTTTAATGACAGAAATATGTCTTCTTAGGGTTCCAGAGGCTGGAAGCCCAAAATTGTCCCGTAGGCAGGGCTGTGCTTTCTCGGAGGGCTGTGCTATCTCGGCAGGGCTGTGCTTTCTCGGAGGGCCTTGGGAGAGTGCTTCTGCTGTTGCCGGCATCCCCGACACCCTTGGTTTGTAGATGCAGTAAACCGGCCTTTGCCTCTGCCATCATGAGGCCTTCTCCTCCTTGGGTCTCTGTGTCTTCACAGGGCCTTATAGAAACACCTGTCATCTTGGATTAAGGCCCACCCTAATTGAATATGATCTCATCTTAATATATCTGCAAAGGCCCTGTTTCCAAATAAGCTCACGTTCACAGGTACTGGGGTTTGAGACGTCAATACATCTGTATAGGAGAAACATTTGGCCCCCACAGCCACTTCTCTTGTGCAAGTGCATGATGTGTCCCTGCTCCTGCCTGCAGCCAACCCCTCGCTCCAGTGCATCCCTCAGTCTTCGCTTTTCGGGAAATTCCTTCCTGCCATTATCCCTGTCTATTGGATTATTCTCATCAAAATGAAAACATGCTATATTGCCTATCTTAAAAAGAAGATATAAAACATATTTATTTTTATGTATTTTATTTTTATGGAGACAGCGTCTTGCTCTGTTGCCCAGGCTGGAGTACAGGGGTGCATCTTGGCTCACTGCAAACTCCACCTCCTGGTTAAAGCAATTCTCCTGCCTCAGCCTCCTGAGTAGCTGGGATTACATGTGCATGCCACCACGTCCAGCTAATTTTTGTATTTTTGTAGAGATGGGGTTTCACCACATTGGCCAGGCTGGTCTCAAACTCCTGACCTCAGGTGATCTGCCAGCCTCGGCCTCCCAAAGTGCTGGGATGATAGGCGTGAGCCACCGAGCCCGGCCAGAAGATATAAAACTTGTAAATCTTACATTCCTCCCTCAGGTTCTGCCCCACTTCTCTGCTCCTTTTTATTCTCTAACTCCTCAAAAATGTTGTCTCTTTTCTTACTTTGCATTCTCCCCTTGATCCACACAAGCTCACCACTTCACTGAAACCATCTTGGAAAGGTGTAAGTGTTTCGTAGAAAACAGAAGACTACATGTTTCAGCTTGCCTGTCACAATCTTGGCTTGTGGTCTGTGGCTCTGGTTTAATTAATTGTGATTCCTTTGTCTCTCAAAATGATCCCAGTTTGTATAATGACTTTTATAACTACCCCACTGTTGACTCCCACATTGCCAAACAAAATGGCCATTTTTAGCTCTCATCTTACTCCACCTCTCACCAGAATGTGACCCGACTCATTACCTCCTCCCCCTCCTTGAAATATTCTTCTCACTTGCCTGTTTAACACCATGTCTCTGCATCTGCTGCTATGTATCAAAGGATGTGGTTGCTATGGTGATTAGATGGTGAAATTGGGAAAGGATTGTAGTGTTCATAATCTACCTCAGTCAGAATTCTTGGTTAGAAGCAAATAAATGGACTCTGGCTATTTTTAACAAAAATAACAATTCTTAGGAGGCTATAGGTATTTATGGAAGCAAACAAAGTCCAGAGGTCCTGGCTTGGGAAAGTAGAAGGAAACAAAAGGAACACTGTGTGGTTTAGAAATAAGTGGGGAGGAAGAAAGGGGAGGCAGCAAGTGTAAACTGTTCCTCTGAGAAGCTTAAGAAGCAGGAGCTAGGCATGGTGGCTGATAGCTGGTGACTGTAATTCCAGCTACTTGGGAAGGTGGGGTGAAAGGATCACTTGAACACAAGAGTTCAAGGCCTCAGGGAGCTATGATCATGCCACTCCACTCCAGCCTGGGTGACAGAATGAGACCCTTGAAGACAAAAGAAGAACAACAGGAGGAAGTTAGAGAATAGTAGGTATGGTTAAATAGGATCAAAGAACGGGTGTCCTTTTAAGAATGGGTAAAACATGAGCATGCTTATTGGCAGAGAGACAAAAAAACAGTATGGAAAGGAAGAGTTTCTCTTATCACCATAGAATTAAACCAGAAATTAGTAACAGAAAATACCTGGAAAAACCTGAAATATTTGATATTAAACAAGAAGCATTTAAATAACCATGGTCAAAAAGGAAATCACAGGGAGTCTTAAAAAATATTTTGAATTAAATAAAAACACAACATATCACATTTTGTGGGATACAGCTAAAGCAGTGCTTAGAGGAAAATTAATAGCACTAAAGTGCTTATATTAGAAAAGAAGAAAGGTCTCAAACCAATCATCTATGTTTCCACTTTAAGAAATCTCAGAAATTTAAAAAAGGAAATTAATTCTAAAGCCAAAAGATGAAAAAAGTTGGTAAAGAGCAGAATCAATAAAATCGAAAACAGAAACTATAGAGAAAAATCAATAAAACCAAATGGTGGTTCTTTATGAAAGTCAGGGTAAGGAACAGATGCATTTGTGTGCATAAGTGGCAAAGGTAGGGGCTGGATCTGTGACAAACTGATGAAGGAATATCTGGTTTATTTTTGTGTGTGTGTGTGTGAAATAGTAGGTGGGATCCACTAAGAAGTGCATGAGGCACTGGAACTGGTGAGGAGAGAAGCAATATGTTAGTGTGTTTCCTGAGGAAATGGGACAAGTAACTGTATTGATTTCGACTGCTACTACGACAAATTACAAGAAATTTAGCAGCTTGCTTAACACAAATTTATTCCAGAGACGAGAAGTCCAAAATGGGTCTGTCTTGGCTAAAATCAAGGTGTCGGCCCGGCTGTGTTCCTTCTGGAAGCTCTAGGGGAGAATCTGTTTTCTAGCCTTTCCCAGCTTACAGAGGCCTCTCACATTCTTTGGCTCATGGCCCCATCCTTCATCTTCTAAGCCAGTAGTGTAGCATCTCCCAGTGTCTCTGTCTCCGGCCCCTGCTTCCACCATTGCCTCTCCTCCTGCCTCCCTCTTAGAAGAACCCTTGCAAATACACTGGTCTCTGGAATAACCCAGGATAATCTTCCAAGGTTTTTAACTTCATCACAGCTGCAAAATCTCTTTTGCCATGTAAGCTACTATGTTCACAGATTTCAGGGATTAGGATGTGGACATCTTTGGGGGGATAATATTCTACCAACACTGTAGCTAGCCAAGAATAAGTAAAAGAATTGAAAAAAGCACTCAGGTGTGGCAGAGGCTGGAGACCATGAAGTTATTGTGGCTGAAATCTGTAATTTAGGACTTTTAGGAATTGGAATCCGGGAACGAAGTTGGCAGACTGTAGGTCTAGGCCAGGGTGTGGAAATTTTCTTTGAATATAGCAGGACAGGGATACAGGGAGTAGGGGCTTTGAGAAAAGTGTAACTTATTTGCTAAATAGCAGGATTCAGGCTGAGTAAGAAAGGGAGGAAGAATGCTTACGGAGGGGAGGACATAAAAGTATCAAACGATGGTAAAATGTATAATCCAAGGTTTCAGATATGAGACAGTATGACAAATGGCTGCTAACAACTTTGAAGAAAAATTTTTATTATAGGGGATCCTCTCCTCTTTCATTCTAGCACATGTCAATTCATTAATTAGACTCAAGGCAGAATTTTCTTAGTTTTTTCTGTTTATTTTATTTTATTATTATTATTTTTTTGAGACGGAGTCTAACTGTTGCCCAGGCTGGAGTGTAGTGGCACAATCTCTGCTTGCTGCAACCTCCCCCTCCTGGGTTCAAGCAATTCTCCTTCCTCAGTCTCCCAAGTAGCTGGGATTACAGGCACCCACCACCACACCAGGCTAATTTTTCTGTATTTTTAGTAGAGATAGGGTTTCACCATGTTGGCCAGGCTGGTTTTGAACTCCTGGCCTCAACTGATCCACCCACCTCAGCCTCCCAAAGGGCTAGGATTACAGGAGTGTGCCACCACCCCCAGCCTCAAGGCAGAATTTTCTGACACCTTATCTTTCGTCTAAAGGAATGCATTTCATCTACTCTTGATACTGGTCAGAGGTCTCAGAATAAAAACGAAGTCCGTCTTCTAATGCAGTAATTTATTGCAGTCTTTTGTTGCATCTAATTTTTTTTTTATTATACTTTAAGTTCTAGGGTACATGTGCGTTGCATGCAGGTTTGTTACATATGTATACATATGCCATGTTGGTGTGCTGCACCCATTAACTTGTCATTTACATTAGGTATATCTCCTAATGCTATCCCTCCCCCCTTCCCCCACCCCACAACAGGCCCTGGTGTGTGATGTTCCCCATCCTGTGTCCAAGTGTTCTTATTGTTCAATTCCCACCTATGAGTGAGAACATGCGGTGTTTGGTTTTCTGTCCTTGTGATAGTTTGCTCAGAATGATGGTTTCTAGCTTCATCCATGTCCATACAAAGGACATGAACTCATCATTTTTTATGGCTGCATAGTATTCCATGGTGTATATGTGCCACATTTTCTTAATCCAGTCTATCATTGATGGACATTTGGGTTGGTTCCAAGTCTTTGCTATTGTGAATAGTGCCACAGTAAACATACGTGTGCATGTGTCTTTATAGCAGCATGATTTATAATCCTTTGTGTATATACCCAGTAATGGGATGCCTGGGTCAAATGGTATATCTAGTTCTAGATCCTTGAGGAATGGCCACACTGTCTTCCACAATGGTTGAACCAGTTTACAGTCCCACCAACAGTGTAAAGGTGTTCCTATTTCTCCACATCCTCTCCAGCACCTGTTGTTTCCTGACTTTTTAATGATTGCCATTCTATCTGGTGTGAGATGGTATCTCATTGTGGTTTTGATTTGCATTTCTCAGATCGCCAGTGATGATGAGCATTTTTTCATGTGTCTGTTGGCTGCATAAATATCTTCTTTTGAGAAGTGCCTGTTCATATCCTTCACCCACTTTTTGATGGGGTTGTTTGATTTTTTCTTGTAAATTTGTTTAAGTTCTTTGTAGATTCTGTACATTAGCCCTTTGTCAGATGGGTAGATTGCAAAAATTTTCTCCCATTCTGTAGGTTGACTGTTCACTCTGATGGTAGTTTCTTTTGCTGTGCAGAAGCTCTTTAGTTTAATTAGATCCCATTTGTCAATTTTGGCTTTTGTTGCCATTGCTTTTGGTGTTTTAGACATGAAGTCCTTGCCCATGCCTATGTCCTGAATGGTATTGCCTAGGTTTTCTTCTAGGGTTTTTATGGTGTTAGGTCTAACATTTAAGTCTGTAATCCATCATGAATTAATTTTTGTATAAGGTGTAAGGAAGGGATCCAGTTTTAGCTTTCTACATATGGCTAGCCAGTTTTCCCAGCACCATTTATTAAATAGGGAATCCTTTCCCCATTTCTTGTTTTTGTCAGGTTTGTCAAAGATCAGATGGTTGTAGATGTGTGATATTGTTTCTGAGGGCTCTATTCTGTTCCATTGGTCAATATCTCTGTTTTGGTACCAGTACCATGCTGTTTTGGTTACTGCAGCCTTGTAGTATAGTTTGAAGTCAGGTAGCGTGATGCCTCCAGCTTTGTTCTTTTGGCTTAGGATTGTCTTGGCAATGCAGGCTCTTTTTTGGTTCCATATGAACTTTAAAGTAGTTTTTTCCAATTATGTGAAGAAAATCATTGGTAGCTTGAAGGGGATGGCACTGAATCTATAAATTACCTTGCGCAGTATGGCCATTTTCATGATATTGATTCTTCTATCCATGAGCATGGAATGTTCTTCCATTTGTTTGTGTCCTCTTATTTCGTTGAGCAGTGGTTTGTAGTTGTCCTTGAAGAGGTCCTTCACATCCTTTGTAAGTTGGATTCCTAGGTATTTTATTCTCTTTGAAGTAATTATGAATGGGAGTTCACTTATGATTTGGCTCTCTGTTTGTCTGTTATTGGTGTATAAGAATGCTTGTGATTTTTGCACATTGATTTTGTATCCTGAGACTTTGCACATTGATTTTGTATCCTGGGAGTTGTTTATCAGCTTAAGGAGATTTTGGGCTGAGACTTGGGTTTTCTAAATATACAGTCATGTAATCTGCAAACAGGGACAATTTGACTTCCTCTTTTCCTAATTGAATACCCTTTATTTCTTTCTCCTGCCTGATTGCCCTGGCCAGAACTTCCAACACTATGTTGAATAGGAGTGGTGAGAGAGGGCATCCCTGTCTTGTGCCAGTTTTCAAAGGGAATGCTTCCAGCTTTTGCCCATTCAGTATGATATTGGCTGTGGGTTTGTCATAAACTGCTCGTATTGTTTTGAGTTACGTCCCATCAATACCTAATTGATTGAGAGTTTTTAGCATGAAGGGCTGTTGAATTTTGTCAAAGGCCTTTTCTGCATCTATTGAGATAATCACGTGGTTTCTGTCTTTGGTTCTGTTTATATGCTGTATTACACTGATTGATTTGCGTGTGTTGAATCAGCCTTGCATCCTAGGGATGAAGCCCACTTGATCATGGTGGATAAGCTTTTGGATGTGCTGCTGGATTCGGTTTGCCAGTATTTTATTGAGGATCTTTGCATCGATGTTCATCAGGGATATTGGTCTAAAATTCTCTTTTTTTGTTGTGTCTCTGCCAGGCTTTGGTATCAGGATGATGCTGGCCTCATAAAATGAGTTAGGGAGGATTCCCTCTTTTTCTATTGATTGGAATAGTTTCAGAAGAAATAGTACCAGCTCCTCTTTGTACCTCTGGTAGAATTCGGCTGTGAATCTGTCTGGTCCTGGACTTTTTTTTGGTTGGTAGGCTATTAATTATTGCCTCAATTTCAGAGCCTGTTTTTGGTCTATTCAGGGATTCAACTTCTTCCTGGTTTAGTCTTGGGAGGGTGTATGTGTCCAGGAATTTATCAATTGCTTCTAGATTTTCTAGTTTGTTTGCATAGAGGAGTTTATAGTATTCTCTGATGGTAGTTTGTATCTCTGTGGGATCAGTGGTGATATCCCCTTTATCATTTTTTATTGCGTCTATTTGATTCTTCTCTCTTTTCTTCTTTATTAGTCTTGCTAGTGATCTATCAATTTTGTTGATCTTTTCAAAAAACCAGCTCCTGGATTCATTGATTTTTTTGAAGGGTTTTTTGTGTTTCTATCTCCTTCAATTCTGCTCTGATCTTAGTTATTTCTTGCCTTCTGCTGGCTTTTGAATATGTTTGCTCTTGCTTCTCTAGTTCTTTTAATTGTGATGTTAGTGTGTCAATTTTTGATCTTTCCTGCTTTATCTTGTGGGCATTTAGTGCTAGAAATTTCCCTCTACACACTGCTTTAAATGTGTCCCAGAGACTCTGGTATGTTGTGTCTTTGTTCTCATTGGTTTCAAAGAATATCTTTCTTTCTGCCTTCATTTCGTTATGTACCCAGTAGTCATTCAGGAGCAGGTTGTTCAGTTTCCATGTAGTTGAGCGGTTTTGAGTGAGATTCTTAATCCTGAGTTCTAGTTTGATTGCACTGTGGTCTGAGAGATAGTTTGTTATAATTTCTATTCTTTTACATTTGCTGAGGAGAGCTTTACTTCCAAGTATGTGGTCAATTTTGGAATAGGTGTGGTGTGGTCCTGAAAAAAATGTATATTCTGTTGATTTGGGGTGGAGAGTTCTGTAGATGTCTATTAGGTCTGCTTGGTGCAGAGCTGAGTTCAATGCCTGGATATCCTTGTTAATTTCTGTCTCGTGGATCTGTCTAATGTTGACAGTGGGGTGTTAAAGTCTCCCATTATTATTGTGTGGGAGTCTAAGTCTCTTTGTAGGTCTCTAAGTACTTGCTTTATGAATCTGGGTGCTCCTGTATTGGGTGCATATATATTTAGGATAGTTAGCTCTTCTTGTTGAATTGATCCCTTTACCATAATGTAATGGCCTTCCTTGTCTCTTCTGATCTTTGTTGGTTTAAAGTCTGTTTTATCAGAGACTAGGATTGCAACCCCTGCTTTTTTTTTGTTTTCCATTTGCTTGGTAGATCTTCCTCCATCCCTTTATTTTGAGCCTATATGTGTCTCTGCACATGTATTCAGTGTCCTGAATACAGCACACTGATGGGTCTTGACTTTTTATCCAATTTGCCAGTCTGTGTCTTTTAATTGGAGCATTTAGCCCATTCACATTTAAAGTTAATATTGTTATGTGTGAATTTTATCCTGTCATTATGATGTTAGCTGGTTATTTTGCTCGTTAGTTGATGTAGTTTCTTCCTAGCATCAATGGTCTTTACAATTTGGCATGTTTTTGCAGTGGCTGGTACCGGTTGTTCCTTTCCATATTTAGTGCTTCCTTCAGGAGCTCTTGTAAGGCAGGCCTACTGGTGACAAAATCTCTCAGCATTTATTTGTCTGTAAAGGATTTTATTTCTCCTTCACATATGAAGCTTAGTTTGTCTGGATATGAAATTCTGGGTTGAAAATTCTTTTCTTTAAGAATGTTGAATATTGGCCCCCACTCTCTTCTGGCTTGTAGAGTTTCTGCTGAGAGATCCGCTGTTAGTCTGATGGGCTTCCTTTTGTGGGTAACCCGACCTTTCTCTCTGGCTGCCCTTAACATTTTTTCCTTCATTTCAACTTTGGTGAATCTGACAATTATGTGTTTTGGAGTTGCTCTTCTTGAGGAGTATCTTTGTGGCATTCTCTGTATTTCTTGGATTTGAATGTTGGCCTGCCTGGCTAGGTTGGGGAAGTTCTCCTGGATAATATCCTGAAGAGTGTTTTCCAATTTGGTTCCATTCTCCCCGTCACTTTCAGGTACACCAATCAGACATAGATTTGGTCTTTTCACATAGTCCCATATTTCTTGAAGGCTTGGTTCATTTCTTTTTACTGTTTTTTCTCTAAACTTCTCTTCTTGCTTCATTTCATTCATTTGATCTTCAATCACTGATACCCTTTCTTCCAGTTGATCAAATCAGCTACTGAAGCTTGTGCATGCATCATGTAGTTCTTGTGCCACGGTTTTCAGCTCCATCAGGTCATTTAAGGTCTTCTCTATGCTGTTTATTCCAGTTAGCCATTCGTCTAATCTTTTTTCAAGGTTTTTAGCTTCTTTGCCATTGGTTCGAACATCCTCCTTTATCTCAGAGAAAGTTGTTATTACCAATCGTCTGAAGCCTTCTTCTCTCAACTCGTTAAAATCATTCTCCATCTAGCTTTGTTCTATTGCTGGCAAGGAGCTGCATTCCTTTTGAGGAGAAGAGGCACTGTGATATTTAGAATCTCCAGCTTTTCTGCTCTGGTTTCTCCCCATTTTTTTTTTTATCAAAGTTTTATCTAACTTTGATCTTTGATGATGGTGACGTACAGATGGGGTTTTGGTGTGGATGCCCTTTCTGTTTGTTAGTTTTCCTTCTAACAGTCAGGACCCTCAGCTGCAGGTCTGTTGGGGTTTGCTGGAGGTCCACTCCAGACCCTGTGTGCCTGGGTATTATCAGCAGAGGCTGCAGAACAGCAAATATTGCAGAACGGCAAATGTTGCTGTCTGATCATTCCTCTGGAAGTTTTGTCTCAGAGGGCACCTGGCTGTATGAGGTGTCAGTCGGCCACTACTGGGAGGTGTCTCCCAGTTAGGCTACTTGGGGGTCAGGGATCCACTTGAGGAGGCAGTCTGTCCATTCTCAGATCTCAAACTCCATGCTGGGAGAATGACTACTCTCTTCAAAGCTATTAGACAGGGATGTTTAAGTCTGCAGAAGTTTCTGCTGCCTTTTGTTCAGCCATGCCCTGCCCTCAGAGGTGGAGTCTACAGAGGCAGGCAGGCCTCCTTGAGCTGTGGTGGGCTCCACTCAGTTCAGGCTTCCAGGCCACTTTGTTTACCTACTCAAGCCTCAGCAATGGTGGGCCCCCCTCCTCCAGCCTCGATGCCACCTTGCAGTTCGATCTCAGACTGCTGTGCTAGCAATGAGGGAGGATCCGCGGGCGTGGGACCCTCTGAGCCATGCTTGGGATATAATCTCCTGGTGTGTCATTTGCTAAGACCATTGGAAAAGCACAGTATTAGGGTGGGAGTGACCCGATTTTCCAGGTGCCATCTGTCATGGCTTCCCTTGGCTAGGAAAGGGAATTCCCTGACCCCTTGCGCTTCCTGGGTGAGGTGATGCCTCACCCTGCTTTGGCTAACGGTCCATGGGCTGCACCCACTGTCCTGTACCCACTGTCTGATAAGCCCCAGTGAGATGAACCCAGTACCTCAGTTGGAAATGCAAAAATCACCCATCTTCTGCGTCGCTCACACTGGGAGCTGTAGACTGGAGCTGTTCCTCCATTGTATCTAATTGTTTTCATCTATCAGGTATGATCTTGTCACTTGAACATCTTAAGAGAGAGGTACTATTTGCCAAACCTCAAACAGTTCTATTTGTTCTGTGTGCCTTGAGTAATAATTTAATCCAAAAATGGAGACATGTTTATTAATAGGCTATAGAATATTTTTCAGAGCCAAAGCAGAAGACGTGGTGACTGTTAGCCCTGAAGGCAGAGTTTTTCTGCTTAAGGAGTGAAGTAATGCAGAGACAGGGTGGAAGGAGAGAAAAGAAAAATGAATAAGATTTATTATAAGGGGAAAATAATGAAGAACTCTGCAGAATCATTCCCTGAAATTTACTTAAGAAATAGAGACTTTTGCTCTTTCTCCCCCTCCTCCCCCTTCTCTTCCTCTCTTTCTTTCCCCCTCCCTTTCTCCCTCCTTATTTTATTTTATTTTATTGTTGGTTTTTTGAGATGGAGTCTCACTCTGTCACCCAGGCTGGAGAGCAGTGGCGTGATCTCAGCTCACTGCAACCTCTACCTCCCAGGTTCAAGCAATTCACCTGCCTCAGCCTCCCAAGTAGCTGGGACTACGGGCGTGTACCATCACGCCCGGCTAATTTTTTTATATTTTTGGTAGAGACGGGGTTTCACCATATTGGCCAGGCTGGTCTCGAACTCCTGATCTCAAATGATCCACCCACTTAGGCCTCCCAAAGTGCTGGGATTACAGGCATGAGCCACCGCGCCTGGCCTTCTTTCATTTTAGGGGCAGCAGAGTGGAGCTTGTTTTGGGCCCTGATGAACTTGGATGATTTTCTGTCCCTGTTTCCTTATCGTACCTTACTGTACCTACCTTTTAGCTTTATTATGAGGCCTACTGAGTTAATATTTGTAAATCACTTAGAACAGTATCTGGGAATATGTGTTTGTTACATAAAATAAAGACTTAGCTCACAATGAGATTCACTGAGAAAACTGCAAGTATGTCAGAGAAAATTTTGCGTTGGCTCAGAACCAAGAGTGACTTACAAACACTTCTAAACTGTACCTGGAAGACATAGATCAGTGGCCTACATTTCAGTCACATATGCTAGACAGTTTTCTCTACCTTGTCTATGACAGTACATTTATTTCTCCTCTATTTGCCTTCAGATTACATTACAAAGTTGGCTAGTTTAAACAACAATCTGTGTTGTTAACCATCCTCTACTCTGCTGAAAAGGGAACTTCACCAACCAAAGGCAAACAGGAAGGTTAGTTAGGTTATGTAAGTCTGTGTACGGCCTGCAATCTAGATATTGCCAAAGCGGGATGAGGGGCATGGCAGCCTGGTCCCAGCAGAGCAGCAGGTGGGGATGATGTCACAAAGACATGGCAGCCCCAACACAAATCCTAACACTAAGATCACCATGGCAGAGAGCGGGCGGCCATGTAGATGCACATCCATGACTATCATGTGACTATTAAATCGTGTGACAAAAAAGAGGCCACAGTTGTTCACCAGCCACAGCTTTCAAAACAGGACTTGCTGGCAGGTGAGGCCAGTGTCACATGTCTTTAGAACCATCCAGGCAGCAGTTGCATGGCCCTAGGCATTTAAGATGACCTCAGAGTTGGGTTCCCCTCCCCACCACTTATCTTTAGGTTACTTGAGCAAGTTATTCAGCCTTTCTGAATTTAAGTTCTCAATAGCTCAATTGATGCCCTTATGGAAGGATTACTGTGAAGCTTCCATGAAGGATACACATAGCTTCTCTGAGCACAGTGCTTTGTGCATAGCAGATGGTCAGAAAATGTTCATTTTCTCTCCTGCTTCCATTTCTGCTCCTTGGCTGCTTGCATTTGAAGCAGGAATAAAACCTAGCTATTTCCCTGAAGAGTTCAACAAGTGTTGTATTACAGAGACAAGGCTGAGCCATTTCTTTCTTAAAAGGTCACTAACTATACGAAATTAGTCCCCATGATAAGGGAGTTTGCCTCTCGAGTCCAGAAAGTCACATGAGGGGGCAGGCAATCTGGCATATCGTGGGGACTTCAATGCAGTGGAAGTGATGGTGGTACCGAAGGGACCTGGCCACTGTCATTGACAGATGTGACTGAAAGATCAGGGGAGCTGCTTCTCCAAGACAGGCCAGGTGCATTTCCAGGCACATTTGCAAATTTCCAGAAACTGCAAGTCACCGTGCTCCCTTGTCTCCCAAGGTCCTGGAGGGCAGTCTGTTCTCCTCTGGGGAGAAGTCCATTTACACTGCAGAGTGGGCGTGATGCAGTCTCAGCATGGGCATTTGTCCCTGTCCTTCCCATTACTCTGCCCCCCTCCAGCCTCTTCTCAATATTCCTGCTCTCCAGTTCATTACTGGACAGCAGAGCCCAGCACTGGGCTATTCTAGAGCAGCATCTTTTTGGCACCAGGGACTGTGGAAGACAATTTTTCCATGTTTCCATGTTGGCTGGGGGAGGTGGGGTGAGTTGAGTGGGGCTGTGGGCATTAGATTCTCGTAAGGAACGTGCAACCTAGATCCCTCCTGTGTGCAGTTCACAATAGGATTGAAGCTCCTATAAGAATCAAATGCTGCTGATCTGACAGGAGGTGGAGCGCGGGCGGGAATGCTTTCTAGCCTGCTGCCGTCCTCCCTGCTGTGCGGCCAGTTCCTAACAGGCCATGGTGTGTGGCTGTGGCTCAGGGGTTGGGGATCCTGGTTCTAGAGGACAGGAGGAGAGAAGAAAAAGAAGTCGGCTGCTACTTTCAGGAAGAGCTCAGTGGTATGCAAGCCAATCTTCGGGTTGACCTAGCCTGCTTTGTAGCAGCAATTTCACCCTTCACCCTGCCAGTGGCCCGGTTAGTGGTGAAAACCTCCAAGTGGGAAGGAGGATCCATTAGAATAAATCATGAGGAACTCCTCAGTCTGTCTCTCCAGCCCTGTCCTTGGATCTCCAGTTCATCGACTAAATCCAGCTGCCTGCTGACAGCTGTGTGGGGGGTGGAGCAGAGGAGATGTCAAGGGTGCACTGAAATGGAATTGGCCCCAACCCACTGCTTCATTTCCAAGGCTTCCCTTATCCCCCACCTGGACCCGTTTCTCTTCCAGTTCTCCTTTGCTGAAGCCAAATACAGAACTTACCTAGTTCCTGTCCTGCCCTCACCCCTCTCTAAACGAGTCCTGTTTCTGAAACATGTCATAGCTCTGCTCTTCTCTGTCCCCCACTGTGTCATATTGTCCGAGCCATCATCCCTTCCCACCTGGATTACCCTGGTAACCACCTACACGGATATGGCTGCTTCTGGCTCATTGTGTTAGTTTGTCAGGGCTGCTGTAACAAATCACCGCCAACTGGGTGGAGTAAACCACAGGCATTTACTGTCTCGGTGCTGGAGCCTGGAAGTTCGAGGTCAGAGCATCAGCAGGGCTGATTCCTTCTGAGGCCATGAGGGAGAATCTGTTCTAGGACCTTCTCCTGGCCTCGGGGGTTTGCTGGCAATCTTTGGAGTTTTTTGGCTTAGAGGAGCATCACCTTGGCTTCTGCCATTATTTTCACATCATTTTCCCTCTATGTGTGTCTGTCTCTGTCCCAATTTCCCCTCTTCATAAGGACGCCAGTTGTATTGTATAAGGGCTCACCTGAATTACTGCATTATAACTTGATCATCTCTGTAAAGACCCTATTTCCAAACAAGGCCACATTCTGAAGTACTGCGGGGGCTAGAACTTCAATCTATCTTTTTTGGGAAGACACAATTCAACCCTTAAAGCCGTCTAATTCATTCTCCCTACAGCAGTGAGCATTCTTTGAAAAGGCAAATCAGAGCCCATCATTCTCCTGTCCCAACCCTCTAGCCGATTCCCTTGCACTGAACTGAAATTCTGAGCCCCTTATCCCTGGCTGGCATACAGAAGCCCCATTTATCTTGTCCCATCCACCTCCCTACCTTCCTCCTGTCCTACTTCAGCCTTTTGTCTGTTCCTTAGATACAGCAAGCTCCTCCCCATCTTAAAGATTTTGCAGTAACCCTCTCTTCTTTCTAGGAAGCCCTGTCTCCTGTTTGGTCTGTGACTGACTACTTCCTGTGGTTCAGATCTCAGCTTAAATGTCACCTCTGCAGGGGGCCACTTTGACCCCCAGCTCAAAATCAGACATCTCATCCCACCCCTTACACCACCCCATTGCAATGCTCGGAATGGCCCTTATCAGTGTCTTGTTATTCATTTTATTTCTGCCTTCCACTCTAACCCCTCTTAGAACATCAGCCCCGGTTGGGGGGTGGGGGGCATGGACTTGTCTGTCTGGTTCATTATTAAACCCCCAGCAGTAAGAGGAGTGCCTGGCTCCTAGCTGGCACTCGGTAAATACAGGTCAGATGAATGAATAAATAGATCTGTCCCTGCTCTCTTTTAGCCATGTTTTTGGCTAATTTTGGATGCTGGTAGGCACTTTGTTCTGGCAGAATTTTGTAGGGCAGGGTTTCTCAACCTCACCAAGATGGAAACATTGTAGCTGAGTAATTATTTGTTTAAGAGGTGTCCTGTGCATTGTAGGATTTTTACCAACAGCCCTGAACTTTACCCACTAGATTCCAGGAGCAACCCCCCACTCCTAGGTTGGGACAACCCAAATTGTCTCTAGGTATTACCAAATTTCTCCTGTGGGGCAAAATCCACCCCTGCCCCCTACCACTCAGTCATCTCCATTGCAGGGCCAGCCACAGCTCTTACAGGACAGCTGTAAGAACAAGAGTTCTGGGAGGCTTTCAATTACACCCATCTCCAAGTGGAACTCTCCAGGCTAAGAGGATGATGACCACCAGCAGGTAACGCAGTGAAGTTGGTGGCCTGTCCCAGGAGAAAGCAGAGTGCAGGCTGTGGGGCAGACAGACCTGATCTTGATCCCAGCTCCATCTCGCACTAGCTGGGTAAAGTAGACAAGCCACTTAGCTTATATTCAGAATGGAGATGGGTGGGATTGCTAGGTGGGGTTAGTAGGAGACAGTGGATACAAACACAAGGCCTGGTGCAGGATCACGCGCTGTAGGAGCTGGGCTAATGCGGCACTCACAGCAGGGAGCTCCGGGCTCCTGGTAAGGATGGCATGGAGAGCGCAGGGAGAAAGGGGACTTGGCAGCCGTCCACTGAGGCCTATACTCATATCCAATTAACATACTTGCTCTAATTCTCTGGTCCTTTGACTCACTAATTTTCTGGTTCCACAAAGCCTGACTGTGCCGTGAGCATCTGCAGCTGGCCAGGGCCTCAGGGAGGCTGTGGGAAGGTGGAGAGAGAGGCAGCCCAGCCGGCAGCTGGGCGAAGAGCCTCCCAGCACAGATCTCTTTTTATCAGCGCTGAATTCCCCCAGCCAGTAAGTACCCCCTGCAAAGGGGTGCGGGTCCTCCCTCCCAACTCCTGCACATTTTCCTTTTGTGACTTCATTCTGCTTCCCAGGCTCTTCTTGGCATGAGCTGAGGGGCAGAGGTTATTGGGAGGAAAAGAGAGCAAAAGCTAAAACATAAGAAAGCGCATCTGATCCTCTTAAAAGAGTCTTTCAAACAGCTACACGGGCATCCACTGTGAGGCCTGAAATATTTATATCCAGCAAAGGATCTATGGGAAATGCCTCCCTGATTTGAGGACAGCTGTAAGAACAAGAGTTCTGGGAGGCTTTCAAAGTGGGAGAACAGAAGAAACCACATTTGAACTTCTCTTAACTTAAAAAAAAAAAATAGCCTACCCAATTAACTAACTGAATTCTAAGGAGATAAGCAAAATTATTGTTAATTTATTTTATTTATTAGAGACAGGATCTCACACTATCACTCAGGCTGGAGTACAGTGGTGTGATCTCAGCTCACTGCAGCCTCGACCTCCTGGGCTCAAGCAATCCTCTAGCCTCAGGCTCCCAAGTAGCTGGTACTACAGGCACGCACCACCATGCCCAGCTAATTTTTTTGCTTTTTGGTGGAGGTGAGGTCTTACTATGTTTCACAGGCTGGTTTCAAACTCCTGGGCTCAAGCAATCCTCCCACCTTGGCCTTGAAAAGCGCGGGATTACAGGCATGAGCACAGTGCCTAGCCTTAATTAATGTTAAATTAGTTTAAAATGTATTACACCTAAGGTATTTGTGGGGCAGGTGATGGAGGGAGGTGGTAGTGGCTGGAGTGGGGACTGTCCTTGGCAGATGGCGTCCACTTCTAGGGCCAGCTCTATGGGCAAGTCTCAATAGGAGTGACACTGGAGGTTGTATCAGAACCAAGGTACAAATAGGTTGAAAGTCTCAGGAGTAGAAACAGAGCGCCATGGGAGCTATGGAGAGCCAGCAGGTCTGCAGAACCAGGCTCAGGGGCCAGGGCCTCAGTGAGACCAGGGCAAACCTTCTTCTCAGGGGAGGAAGAGGGTGAATCGAGTCCCAGCTTCACAGCCTCCCAACTTGAAACTGCAGGAGAGAGCAACTGTTGCTACCAGCACACATGCATTTGTCCTGGGAAAGGTGACGGCTCGGGGGTCATGGCCAGCCCTGGACTGAACCCTGTGATTGCTGCTGTGATGGCTGGGATGGGCTCGCAGGCTGTCTCTGTACCCGGCTGTACCAACAGGGGTTGGGGTTATTTTAGAAAGGAAAGGGAGGGGTAGAATTGTGTCTGGCAGTCACCACCCCATGACTAACTCTCAAATGGTGGGTCATGTTCCAAAGCTCACTTCATTCAGAGAGGAACGAGTTGGCCAGACTCTTGAATTGGCTTTGCATGAACCTAAGAGGAACAAGAGGATTCCACTGATTTTTTAGATCTGAGTGTGTTGTCTTGTCTCAGGCGGACCTGCACTTGGAGCCCCAGAGGCAAAGGCAGGCGTAACCCTTCTGTGGTGGCTGCTGGGGTTCTTCTGGGAGCCCCGTCTGAGGACTTCCATGACCCCAATCTCATCCTTTCCCCTGATGTTCCAGGGCATGGCTTGAAGCAGGGAGCAGTGTGCTCTGGTGCCTGACCAGGGTGACATTTGCTGCAGTGGTGACTTTACCACTACTTTACTTTTTGTCACTAAGAAGTTTGGAAAATGAGTGCACCATCATAGTGTGTTTATTGTGTCCCCAAAAGATGTGTCTGAGTCCAAACCCTGGTTCCTCAGAATGTGACCTTGTTTGGGGACAGAGATGCTACAAATGTAATTGGTTAAGATGAGGTCATCCTGGATTGGAGTGGGCCTACTCCAATGTGACGGGTGTCTTTATAAGAAAAGACAGAGAGAGAGAGAGAGAGAACGAACACACAAATACCCCATGAAGACACAGACACAGAGGGCAGAAGGCTGTGTGAGGACAGAGGCAGAGGTTGGAGAGATGCCGCCATAAATCAAGGAACACCTGGAGCCACCAGGTGCTATTTCTTGCCTAAGATCCTCCAAGCAAGGATTCCTCCCTAGGACCTTAAGATGGAGCTTGGCCATATGACACCTTGATTTTGGACTTCCCATCTCAAGAACCATGAGAGAACAAATTTCTGTTGTTTTAAGTCACCCAGTTTTACAGTCCTTTGTCATAGTCATTCTAGGACATGCATATACCATCTCAAGGGGTTGTCTGCTTATGTTTGTTTTATGTGTGCATGCATGAGCTTTGTAATCCATCCAATCACATCCCTCATTCTAGTACAACAGGATCCCAAGTAACCTCAACTTTCATAATTATGATTAGAAAAATAAGTAAACATCTGACACATTTCCTATTTTTCTGGGTTATAAAGTCTTATCTGCTCTTCATAGGATCCATGGGGAAGGTAATGTGTGCACAGTTCACACACATTCAGCTCACTCTCCACCATAAGTGTTAAGATTTCAAGGGAGGTGTGGCCATTCCCAGTTCACACTGAGGCCCAGAAGACTGAATGGCTCCTGTAGTTTAGAACTAATCAGAGTGACTCTTTGGTTTCTGCCAATGAAGACCCAACCCAAGTAGCTCCAGCAAAGGGGCAGGTGTTTCCTGTGACCCCCCTCAGGGAGGAAAGCCCAGCTGGCCTTGGCAATGGTGGAATTTGGGCTCTGTCCTTCTTCCTAGTCAGTGCCCCTCGGAGTGGGCTGCTCTCTCTCCTCCCAGCCCCACAGGGCAGGAGACCTGGCTGCTCACATCAGCCCATCTTGGCCACTCGAGAAGAACTGACTGGCTTCCCTTGATTCCTGGTAGAAAATCCTGGGAAAAGATGGCTTGAATCATGGTGTGTAGGTTCTTACATTTGGATCAGTCACCTGTGAGCAGAGATTGGAGCCCTGTGATCAGCCAGGTGGGCATTTCAGCCCTAGACCACCACTGTGGCCAGGGAGTCAGGTTCTGGAGGAAGACAGCAGCTCCCAGTGGAACCACGTGATTGGAAGGAGTTTCCCAAAGGGGCAGACAAATGGATGGCGCCTGCTAGGAGCAGAGCTGGAAGTGGTAGCTGATAGAGCCAAGATCCTCCCCTCACTTGGGGGGCGCATGTGGGTGTTTAGAGGCCCAGTACTGTACTCTGAAGTCCTCAGCAATCCTTTAAGAATGTGATCCTGGTTCATGCCTGGTGGTCATTTAGATGAATTTGATGAGATTTGCTCACAGGCGACCTAGAAGCCAGTACTGTGTCTACAGGGAGTAGACAGTCAACAGAAGCGGGTTAGATAAGACTGGGGTGATCTCAAGCTGTGTCAGGGCCCGCCATGCTGATGCGGATCTTCCCCATTGTTACTCATCTCATAGGAATCACCCCCAAATTAAGGTTTAATCATTTATGCATTTGAAAAAAAAACCCATTTAGAATTTTACAAAAGATATTGTATTAGAGTTCTCCAGGGAAACAGAACCAATAAGATCACATAAAATTCACCATTGCAGAGACTAAAAGTGCATTTCTGTAAAATGGAACATGGCTACACCATTTAAGTCTTAAAGACAATGCTTTCCTTGCCTTGTTTGGATTAGTTTGATGGTAGTTCAGATGGTTTTGGCCATGATGTGAAACTGCGTTTGCTGTATTTTGCACACATGCATCAAGCCTTATTATTAAAAGACAGAGCTGAGATATAAAGATTGCAGTTTGCACAATACAAAATACTGTTTTTTTAAAAAAAGTTATGTTCCTTTATATAAATAATTTTTAAAAGTTCTTTATTGAGAACACTATTATTGCAGAAAGAAAGATAGCATCCTCTATAATTAAGAGTGAAAACATTTCCTCATGGTCAATATTTACTGTCATGTCTACTATTAACTTTCAGAAACTTCCCCTCTGTAACAGAAACATGAACTGAGAAAAAAAAAAGGAAAAACTAATTAAATCAAAACTTTCTCTTTTAGTTTTCTAAGATTTATCAGTGGTTAATTTTAGGACAAAACTACATTTGAGCATTTACCACTAAAGTAATACGACAAAAAGTCTTAATGTTTCATGTTGGGTTGTAACATGATTCTAACACTGGAATGGTGTTGGATTTAGTCACCATTCAGCCATCCACCTTTCTATGAATCCATTCTTCCACACATCTCTCCTTCAAATATTCATAGAGGACCTAGTAGATTCCAGACACCATCCTAACTTCTGGGCATGAGACATAAATAAGAGATTCCCTACCTTCAGAAGGCTTCTCTTCTATTAAGTGATGAAAAGACACAAAATAATTATTCTGTGAATGGTAAGTACTGCAATGGACATGAGGAGATGTTACTTTGGGAGCACATTGGGAAGGACGTAATCATAGCTACCTTCACCTGAGCGAGCACTCATTAGGTGAAGGGGTTTACATAGATTATCTCATTTCATCCTCTCAATAGCCCAGTGATGCAGGCACTGTTATCCTCCTCTTCATTTTACAGGGGAGGCCACTGGGACACAGAGGGTTGGAATATCTTACCCAAGATCTGACAGCTAGGAAGTGCAGGAGCCTCCTCTCGGGTCCTACATTCCATCTGAGGACTGGATCCTGCTGGAAGAAGGAAGGAGGTTTATCCAGGGAGGGTGTGCAGGTAGGAGGCTGTCGTGATTCATCACGGGAAGTCAATAAAGGGTGAATAAGGGCAGTGGGAGGGGCCAAGGACAGCAGTGGGGATGGTCAGAGGGGCCAGCACATCACATGAGATGACCGACTGGCTGTAGGGTGTGAGGGGAGGAGGGAGGCCAGTAGAGTGCCCTTGTTTCCAGCTGGGGGCTGCCATCAAAGCGGGCACTGTTCACTCAATCAGGAAGGAGTGCAGCAGGTGGAGGAGGCTGGGTGGGAAGCAGGTGGGTTCAGCTGTAAAATAAACCTTATTCAGTTGATGACCATGCATTCTGAAGTCCCTGCACACTTTGAAATCTCTGAGAAGAGGTCCTGCCGAGTCCTTCTGCAGCTGCTCTCAAGCTAGGAACGGCGGGGCTGCTCCTGACCGCTGCTTCTCCCCCAGCCCTGGGTGGGGGGCTGTGAATACCCTTTGGGTCCTCTTCAGGCTTCTCAGGAGCAGGGAAGGAAGGCCAGCACAACTGCGGATGCCCTGGAAAAGCCAGCCCACAGCCGGGGTCCCTGTGAGACAGCAGGAATCTGTCAGTGTCCCTGAGGAATTGGGGATCCCAGAGTGGGGACAGGGAGGCCCAGGGGAGGGGCTGGGGAAGGGACAGCTTCTTGTAGCCACATCCACCAGGAGCCAAGCCCCAGGCCCTGAATTTCATCCAGATAGACACTCAGGAGATTGGGAATTTATCTTTGTGTCAAAGGTGCTTACCGGATTCACCTGCCAAATGTTGACTTTATGCCGATTTACATATCCTATGTTAATTAGCTTTCTTAATACTGATATTTCCTAGAGTGTTTGCAAGATATTGTGTCAGGGGAAAAATATTTTCTTGTTGCATGAAAGGTACTCCTAAACTCAGCACCTGGTGAACCAAGGGGGATCATCATAAACATGTTAACAGGAGGCCTTCTGAGCAGGAACCACAGCAGGGTAATGCAATCATGAAAATCCTGTAAATACATTCCATTCAACCAAACCTCCTTAAATGGCTTCCAGCCCACATTTCCTAAAGGTTGTAACTTACTCTTAAGATTACAAAGATCTGGCTGGGCGAGGTGGTGGCTCATACCTGTAATCCCAGCACTTTGGGAGGCTGAGGCAGGCGGATCACTTGAGGTCAGGAGTTGGAGACTAGCCTGGCCAACATGGTAAAACCCCATCTCTATTAAAAATACAAAAATTAGCTGGTGTGAAAATTAGCTGGGTGTGGTGGCACGTGCCTGCAATCCCAGCTACTCAGGAGGCTGAGGCAGGAGAATCACTTGAACCTGGGAGGCGGAGGTTGCAGTGAGCCAAGATCATGCCACTGCACTCCAGCCTGGGCGACAGAGCAAGACTCCGTCTCAAAAAAAAAAAAAAAAAAATTACAAAGATCTTTTCAATCAAATGAATTGTTATGGTTTGAATTGGGTGCCTCCAAAGGTGTCAAAGTCTAGCCCCCAGTGCCCAAGAATGTGGCCTTATTTGGAAATAAGGTCTTTGAAGATAATCAAGTTAAGATGAAGTCATTAGAGTTAGTTCTAATCCAACAGGACTGTCCTTACAGAAAGATGAAATTTGAACATAGAGACAGGCAGGCATAGTGAAGACACAAGGAGGAGAGGGCCTTCTGCAAGCCGAGAGAGGCCTCGAGAGACCCTCCCTCCCAGCCCTCAGAATGAATGAATCACCCTGTTGACACCTTGATCATGGACTTCCGGCTCCTAAAACTGTGAGAAAACAAATGCCTGTTGCTTAAGCTGAGCAATCTGTGGTGCTTTGATATAGCAACCCTGGCAAACTCATACATGAGTTATCTCGAAGTTTGCATTTCGAAACTGCATCATTCCCACATCTGTGCTGGAAAATTATAATGGCTGCTGGACTGGGACTATGTATACATGAGAGAGCATGCCGGAGTTTACAGTCGGGCCAAGAGAAGATATCTCTGCTGCACAAAACTGAAAGGCATGGTGAGAGATGAGAAAAGTGGCACCCTGGTCACACTCCTCTGTGCTATGGCCATGCAACCTGGCACACTTGCTTCCTGGAGCCTGAGGTCTTGTGGGGCTCCCTCCAGGCTGAGCCTGCTAATGACTTCCTTCGAGGGCTGAGCATCAGAGTCACTGCAGTGCTTGTGGAAAATGTGGTTTCTATGGCCCCACCAGCCCAACACAATCAGACCCGGAGGGTGGGGCTGCAGATGTGCATTTCCACGAACACTCTTCAGGGATTGGACATGCTCCATGGGAACTGGACGAGCAAGGCTTAACTTTGCTTCTGTCAAACTACAACACAAAGGCAGTGAGCTCTAAGGAGGGCTACTACGTGCTTTAGGCCACTTCCGGAACCCTAGGACTGTTAATTTATTTAATCATTAGTCTGGTATTTTTAAAAAAGTCATGATTTCTTTTCTCGCCAATAAAAACACTGCTATTCTCTATGCATGCCTAAATTCTTTTCAGAGCCAGTTAACATAATTTATTTAATACGAGTCAAGATGACAATGAAGTAAATCAACTCTTGATTTGGTAACAGAGTTGCATTTCTCTGGGCAAGAGTAAGCTGAAGTAATTAACCAGTACCTTAAAGCTGATGATCATATTGCAAGAAGCAAAGAGAAATTGTTAATTTTTTTTTTTTGAGTTGGAGTCTTGCTCTGTCGCCCAGACTGGAGTGCAGTGGTGCGATCTTAGTTCACTGCAGCCTCTGCCTCCTGGCTTCAAGTGATTCTCCTGCCTCAGTCTCTCGAATAGCTGGGACTACAGGTGTCCGCCATAATGCCTGGCTAGTTTTTTTGTATTTTTACTAGAGACAGGGTTTCACCATGTTGGTCAGGCTGCTCTCAAACTCCTGACCCCAAATGATCCTCCTGCCTTAGCCTCCCAAAGTGTTAGGATTACATCTGTGAGCCGCCGTGCCTGGCCAGAAATTGTTAAAAATTTAATAATGAATATATAAGTTGGATAAAAATAGAGAAAAGATTGGGTAAAGATGATAAAGACCAAAATAGAAATTGTATGCTCCCAAGCACAATGTAGGATGAAGGAGACAGGAATTTGGAGTCAAAAATTCAGGTTTGCATTGCAATTCCAGCCTATGTGCAAATCAATCTGAGTCTATTTTATCATTTATAAAAATGATAATAGGAATAAGGAGAGAATGTTTGTGATAATGTGCA